>NC_000001.11:178942162-179245193 GCF_000001405.40 Homo sapiens | reverse complement strand
TCGGGGTGTTCCATTCATACCCTTCCCCGCTTTAAGGCTACTTAGGCCTCTTTAAAGATCATCAAATAGTTTTGGAGAAATGGCACATAAATTTCTGTTTTACTGTAATCCTTTTCTCCATTCTCATCTTCAGAATAATTTGCAAGTTAGAAATGAACATTCTTCTCATCCTATACTTTGAAAATATGATGTTATGGCAAGTCAATATTTTCTATGGCAGGCATCAATGATAGTCATCTTATAGGCACATGTCTAAATAGGCTACCTTCTTCCATTTCTGTCAAAAGTCTCATTGAGTGTTTCTACATGTCTTAAGAAAATTGAAAACTCACCAAAAACTTTTATTATTGTCTTAGCCTGTTTGAGCTGCTATAAAAAGATGCCTTAGACTGGGGTAATTTATAAACAACATGGGCCGGGCACGGTGGCTCACGCCTGTAATCCCAGCACTTTGGGAGGCCGAGGCGGGCGGATCACGAGGTCAGGAGATCGAGACCATCCTGACTAACACGGTGAAACCCCGTCTCTACTAAAAAATATACAAAAAAGTAGCCGGGCGTGGTGGCGGGCGCCTATAGTCCCAGCTACTCCGGAGGCTGAGGCAGGAGAATGGCATGAACCTGGGAGGCGGAGCTTGCAGCAAGCTGAGATTGCACCACTGCACTCCAGCCTGGGTGACAGAGTGAGACTCTGTCTTAAAAGTAAAAAATAAAATAAAATAAAATAAAGAACAGGGCCAGGAGTGGTGGCTTACGCCTGTGATCCTAGCACTTTGGGAGGCCAAGGTGGGCGGATCACCTGAGGTCAGGGATTTGAGACCAGTGTGGCCAACATGGTGAAACCCCATTTCTACTAAAAATACAAAAATTAGTCAGGTGTAGTGACGGGCGCCTGTAGTCTCAGCTACTTGGGAGGTTGAGGCAGGAGAATCACTTGAACCTAGGAGGTGGAAGTAGCAGTGAGCCGAGATTGCGCCGCTGCACTCCAGCCTGGGCGACAGAGTGAAACTTTGTCTCAAAAAAATAAAAATAAATAAATAAATAAACAGCAGGTATTTACTGCTCCCAGCTCTGGAGACTAGGAAGTCCAAGATCGTGGGGCCAGTAGATTTAGTGTCTGATGAGGGCTCACTCTTGGCTTCATAGATGGCATCTTCTTGTTGTGTCCTCATGTCGCAGAAGAATCCAGCAGCTTACTCAGGCCCTTTATAAGGTGTTAATCACATTAATGAGGGCTAGTCTTCATGACCTAATCATCCCCTAAAAGCACCACCTCTTAATACTATTGCACTGGGGATTAGGTTTCAACATAGGAATTTTGGAGGACACAAACATTCAGGGCACAAGTAAACAAATCATACATTGTCTTCGTCCATATTGTACTGCTGTAACAGGATACCACAGACTGGGTAATTTATAATAAACAGAAACTTATAGACTCACAGTTCTAGAGTCTGGGAAGTTCAAGATCAAGCAGCCAGCATGTTCCGAGGGCCTTCTTGCTGCTTTGTCTCATGGCAGAAGGTGGAAGGGCAAGGAGTAAGAGTGAGAGAGCAACAGGGTGTCGAACTTGGTTTTATAACAAACCCACTCTTGATAACTAACCCACTCTCACAATAATGACAATAATTACCTCCTATTAGGCCCTATCTCTCAACACTGTAGCACTGGGGATTAAGTTTACAACACATAAGCTTTAGGGGACACATTCAAATCATAGCATTCTGCCCCTGGCCCCCCAAATTCATATTTTTCTCACAATACAAAATACATTCATTCCATCCCAATAGTCCCCAATGTCTAACTTTTTCCAGCATCAACTCAAAAATCCAAAGTCCAGAGTCTCACCTAAATCACATGTGAGTGGGACTCAAGGCAAGATTCATCCTGAGGTAAATTCCTCTCCCACTGTGAGCCTGTAAAATTAAAAAACTAAGTGTTTTCAAAATACAATGATGGGACAGGCATAGAATAGACATTCCCATTCCAAATTGGAGAAATGGGCAAGAAGAAAGGGCTAACTGGTCCCAAGTAAGTCCAGAATCCAACAGGGAAAACAACATTAATTATGAAAGCTAGGGAATAATCTCCTTTGACTCCATGTCCTGCATCCGGGGCACATGGAGACAGGGGTTGGGCTCCCAAGGCCTTGGGCAGTAACTCGCATGTACTGGAGTCTTGTACCTGCAGAATTTATTGTTGTTGTTGTTTCTGTGACTCAAGGCATCACTTGATAGACTGTAGAAAGTGTGACTGTGACTGTTGGTGGCTGGGCGCAGTGGCTTATGCCTGTAATCCCAGCACTTTGGGAGGCTGAGGTGGGCGGCTCACTTGAGGTCAGGAGTTCAAGACCAGCCTGGCCAACATGGTGAAACCCCATCTCTATAAAAATACAAAAATTAGCTGGGTGTGGTGGCGCGTGCCTTGTAATCCCAGCTACTCGGGAGGCTGAGGCACGAGAATCACTTGAACCTGGGAGGTGGAGGTTGCAGTGAGCTGAGATCACACCACTGCACTTCAGCCAGAGCAACAGAGCAAGACTCCATCTCAAAAAAAAAAAAAAAAAAAGAAAGTGTGACTGTTGGTAGGACCTGTCAGAATCAGCTCTCTATTATGAGGGGCCAACCCATCTGTCATCAAATTTCCCCTTTTGTTTGCCAACAAGACATTTAGTTGCAACCTCAGAATCAGGAAATATAACTTTATTCAGTTTCATAGAGCAATCAAGGATTGCATGCTAATCCGTGTTAGTTTTTCTGATATGCCCAGATCAATTCACCAGCAACTGTTTTAGACAGAGCATTGGTGTCTTTTGAGGAGATGCAAAAATTTTTCATTGATGCAGAAGTACTTACCTTTCTTATTCTGGACTTGTGAGATTTAGTCTTAAAGTTAGTACTTTCACTGTCCAACTCCAAATTATTTCCTGCAAATTGTGTGGTACGCTGTTTTGGTTATTTGCCTCTTTAATCCTGTTATATGGGTCCTTCTATCTATATTGCATTAAAACAACACAATAGCTTAGTCTTGTTTTGCAATGATGTCAAGGTAATGCTGGCATAGGTATTGTAATTGTTCTTTTTCATTATTTGAACTTTTAGAAAACATGGTCACAATATTAAAAGTTAAATAGTACTATCTGCATACAAAACACAATCGTTAATCCACAGGCAAAGTCAAAGACAGAATATTACAAAACACATAAATAACCCACTTCAACTGCATCCCTTGGAGTAAGGCAACAATGGAAGATCTGTTCTTGTGAACTGCTAACCAGAGTGACCAACATCAGCCTGGGGAACTGAGACGGCAGCAGCAACCAGCGACTACAGAAGGCAGATAATTTATGTTGAATCTATTTGACACTAACAATAGTGTTGCTTTCAGCCTCTATTTTGGGGGCCATCACAAGGCTTTTGCACTGGGACTTTTCCTGTTGCTGGCAAGGGGCTTCCCAGGACCTGGGATTTTCATGCTGGGCCACTCCTTTCACATAATTGCCTTTCTCACTCTATTCAGATGCTCACACAAGATTGTTGCTCTGTGGGGACGCTCTATTCAGCCTACTTGGACTCTAACATGTCTTCCTCCTGGCTGATTGTCCTCCCAACATGGATTCTCCTTTACCCTGCCTGGGCTGTCCCTCGATAAGTGTAGTGCTTAACACACAAAAAGATATAGACTAGAAGAGAATAGAAAATAGCAGTATATCACAGTAAAAGTAAGGATTATAGCCAGGCACAGTGTCTCATGCCTGTAACCCCAACACTTTGGGAGGTAAGGTGGGAGGATCCTAGGAATTTGAGACCAGCCTGGGCAACATAGGGAGACCCTGTCTCTAAAAAAATTTAAAAATTGACCAGGCGCGGTGGCTCACGCCTGTATTCCCAGCACTTTGGGAGGCCGAGGTGGGCAGATCACCCTGAGGTCAGGAGTTCGAGACCAGCCTGCCCAACATGGAGAAACCACGTCTTTACTAAAAATACAAAAATTAGCCAGGCGCGGTGGCTCACGCCTGTAATCCCAGCACTTTGGGAGGCCGAGGCAGGCAGATCACCCGAGGTCAGGAGTTCGAGACCAGCCTCAGTAACATGGTGAAACCCTGTCTCTACTAAAAATACAAAAACAGCTGGGTGTGGTGGCACCTGCCAATAGTCCCAGCTACTCGGGAGGCTGAGGCAGGAGAATCGCTTGAACCCGGGAGGCGGAGGTTGCGGTGAGCCGAGATGGCGCCATTGCACTCCAGGCTAGGCAACAAGAGTGAAACTCTGTCTCCAAAAAAACAAAAAAAACAAAAATTAGCTGGGCGTGGTGATGCGCATCTGTAATCCCAGCTACTCGGGCGGGACTCGGGAAGCTGAGGCAGGAGAATCTCTTGAACACAAGAGGCAGAGGTTGCTGTGAGCTGAGATCCCACCACTCCACTCCAGCCTAGGTGACAGAGTGAGACTCCATCTCAAAAAAAAAAAAAAAAAAAGAGTTTAAAAATTATCTGGCCATGGTGGTGCACACCTGTAGTCCCAGCTAGTTGGGAGGCTAAGGCAGGAGGAATTGCTTGAGCCTAGGAGGTCAAGGCTGCAGTGAGCTATGATCACACCATTGCAATCCAGTCTGGGTGACAGAGTAAGACTCTGTCTTAAAAAAAAAAAAATAGGGGATTGTTTCCTGAAATCCATTTTTTTTTTTTTTGAGACAGGGTCTTGTTATTTCTCCCAGGCCAGAGTGCGGTGGCACAATCATAGCTCACTGCAGTCTTGATCTCCTGGGCTCGGGGTATACTCTTACATTAGCCTCCCTAGTAGCTGGGACCACAGGCACACACCACCATGCCCAGCTAATTTTTCATTTTTTTGTAGAGATGAGATCTCACTATGTTGCCCAGGGTGGTCTCGCACTCCTGGGATCAAGCAATCCTCCCATCTCAGCCTCCCAAAGTGCTAGGATTATAGGTGTGAGCCAACATGGCCAGCCTCTAAAATTCTTAAAATTTGTTGTGTGTGTGTATATGTGTGTGTTAACTGCATTAACTATATTGCAATGTAAAATGTATTTCTTACTGTTGATAAAGGTAAAATAACATTTGAAAACCAGTATTTATAGTATGATCCCAATTTTGCTTTTAAAAAAGTGAGCCAACTCTTAACGGGGTAGTGAGGAAAGAATAAAGAAAAACTTTTACCTTTTTAATCTATGTTCTGTATTACTTTAATTCTTGTAACTAAGATACGTATTATTTACTTTAAAAAATTAACAAAAATGGGGGCCGGGCGCAGTGTCTTACGCCTGTAATCCCAGCACTTTGGGAGGCCCAAGCAGGCGGATCACCTGAGGTCAGGAGTTCAAGACCAGCCTGACCAACATGGTGAAACCCCATCTCTACTAAAAATAAAAAATTAGCTGAGTGTGGCGGTGCATGCCTGTAATCCCAGCTATTTGGGAGGCTGAGGCAGAAGAATCGATTGAAACTGGGAGGTGGAGGTTGCAGTAAGCCAAGATTGCTTCATTGCACTCCAGCCTGGGCAAAAAAGTGAAACTCTGTCTCAAAAAAAATTAACAAAAATGGGCTGGGCACGGTGGCTCACACTTGTAGTCTTAGCACTTTGGGAGGCTGAGGCAGGTGGATCACCTGAGGTCAGGAGTTTGAGACCAGTCTGGCCAACATGTTGAAACCCCGTCTCTACTAAAAATACAAAAATTAGCCAGGTGTGATGGCACACATCTTCCACACCTTTAATTCCAGCTACTGGAAAAGCTGAGACAGGATAATCACTTGAACCTGGGAGTTGCAGTGAGCGAGTTCTTGCCACTGCACTCCAGCCTGGGCAATAGTGAGACCCTGTCTCAAAAACAAACAAACAAACAAACAAACAAACAAACCAAAAACCACAAAGGCCAGGCATGGTGGCTCACGCCTGTAATCCCAACACTTTGGGAGGCCAAGGCAGGCGGATCACCTGAGGTCAGGAGTTTGAGACCAGCCTGGCCAACATGGTGAAACCCTGTCTCTACTAAAAATACAAAAAATTAGCCGGGCCTACTGGCACACGCCTGTAATCCCAGCTACTCGGGAGGCTGAGGCAGGAGAATCGCTTGAACCTGGGGGGCAGAGGTTTTAGTGAGCCGAGATCACGCCACTACTCTCCCGTCTGGGTGACAGAGCAAAACGCACTCTCAAAAAAAAAAAACAAAAACCCAAAAAAATGTAAATATGTGTATATATGCACAAACAAAAGAAAATAACGCTTAAAGGAAAAAAAAGAAAAACGCCAAAAATACATACATCTGAGTGGTGAGAGTATGGAGAACTTTTTCCTTCTTTATACTTTTCTGCTTTTGCAAATTTCCGAAAATGAGAATTTATTACCTGATCATTTTCAATTTAAATTTCCAAAAGAAATATTAGAGTGGCATGTACCTGTAGTCTGGCTATTTGGAAGGCTGAGGCAGGAAGATCACTTGAGCCTAAGAGTCCAGGCTGCAATGAACTATAACTGTGTCACTAAACTCCAGCCTAGGTGACAGAATGAAACACCATTCCTCAAAAAAAAAAAAAAAAAATTAAAGAGAAATATGAGGGGGTCCACCTCAGTGACCTCATTTTAACTTGATTACTTCCGTAAGAACTCTATTTCCAAATATGGTCACATTGTGAAGTATTAGGGGTTAGGACTTCAACACATGAAGTTCGTGGGAGGCACAATTCAGCCCACCCACAACACCAAGTTTGCTCATAGCATGGTGGTCCCAGTGCTAAGAGAGCAAGAGCAAACGCTGCAAAGACTCCTGAGTCCTCAGCTACAAAACTCTTACAACCTTCCTTCCACCATATTCTATTAGTCAAAGCAAGTCACAAGGCCAGTACTGATTCAAAGGGTTTAAAGGGTGGGGAAATAGATTTACCTCTTGATAAAAAGACCAGCAAGGCTGGGCGCGGGTGACAGTGCAAGACTCCATCTCAAAAAAAAAAAAAAAAAAAAAAAAAAAGACCAGCAAAATATTATGGCCATGTTTTCAACCTATCACAGGTCTTTAATGTTTTTTGTGTGTGTTTTTTTCGAGACAGAGTTTCACTCTTGTTGCCCAGGCTGGGGTGCAATGGTGCGATCTCAGCTTACGGCAACCTCCGCTTCCCGGGTTCAAGCGATTCTCCTGCCTCAGCCTCCCAAGGAGCTGGGATTACGGGCATGCACCACCACACCTGGCTAATTTTGTATTTTTTTTAGTTAAGACGGGGTTTCACCATGTTGGTCAGGCTGGTCTCGAACTACTGACCTCAAGTGATCCACCTGCTTCAGCCTCCCAAAGTGTTAGGATTACAGTCAGGAGCCACCATGCCCAGCCCTTTTTTTTTTTTTTTTTTTTAATAATTAACTAGCTATAAGGCCTTGGGGTATGACAAAAGTATAGATTCTTAGAAACAGAAGGGACCCAGGCCAATTTTAAGTCCCACTACTTAATACATTTCCTCTGCCCTCTGCCACCCCCAGCTCCTCTTCTTTTCCCATTTGATGAGATGTTCCTGGATAAGCTCATCAAGCCCCTGTGTTCCTGCTTAGGTTGTTTCCTCTCACTTGAAAGCCAGTATCTCCACCCCCACCCCATCTTTTTATTGAAGTATAGTGTTCATACAGAAAAGTGCATATGCTTACTCACTAAATATGTACAACAATTATGTTCCGATTAAAAATAATGTAAACAGAAAAGTATTTATGTGTGTACATTTGACCCCTGAACAACACGGGTTTGAACTACAAGGGTGTAGTTATATGCAGAGTTTTTAAATCAAAGGCGGATGACTTCAAGGGATGTGAAATATGCACATACATAAGTTAACTTTTTGTATAGGAGGGTTCTGCAGGGCACACTGGGCAACTTGAGTATGCACGAATTTTGGTATACATGGGGGGGTCCTAGAACCAATCCCTCATGTATAGAAGGACATGTATAGAAGGACAACTGTATATATATATATATATATATATATATATATATATATATATATATATATGCATGCATACACACACATATAGAAATCACATAAAATATATCTCTCTCTCATAAGTTTACTGCTTGACAAATTTTGCAAGGTAAACACTCCATTAGCATCTGAAAGCAGAACATTACCAGTACCTCAGAAGCCCTATTCATGTCTGTGTCCAAATTTCTTCGTTTTAAAAGGGCACCAGTTATACTGGATGACTTCACTTTAACTTGATTACTTCTGTAAAGACCCTATTTCCAAAGAAGTTCACTTTCTGTGGTGCTAGGAGTTAGGGCTTCAACATATCTTTTTGGGGGACACAATTCAACCCATTTAATGGGTCATATTAGAATTCAAGACATCTGAGATTTGATGAAATCATGGTTATAATCCATTTTTTGCTTAAGCTAGTTTGAGTTGATTATCTGGTATAATCACAATGTAACCAATACAATCAATACAAATGCTCTGGTGCAACCATGTTTGCTTAATGTGAATTACTTACACATAATTAGTAAACTGGAGAATGGTGTCAGTAAAACAAGTAAGTTGTGTTACTTCATTTGGACTTTTCTCAGCATGTTAATGTTTTGAAGTGATATGTAATAAACATCCTCACAATTAGAGAAAGCTTTTAGCAATTTATGAAGAAGACTTAAAAAAAACATAATTGAACCATGCAGAAGTGCCATTGTATTTATTGTAAATACAAGTGCCTTCCTTCAGTGAATAAGCAACTAGTTCAGTGGCTTCAGGAACCACCAAAGTTTCTATTAAGCTATCTAGAAAGCTGCCAAGAGCAGATGAAGAAGCTGCAAAGACAATGTCCTGTGTTCTCCTTTTAGAGGGTTTTCCAGACCTTCCTCAGGATCCTTGTTTCCTCTCCACTTCATAGGTGCATCTCTTGTGACTCTGCTTTCTGCCAAAAAGGGCAAGCTAAATTTGTTTCTCAATGTTCCCTAAAATGCAGTGCTCTTCCCATTTTGCTAAGCTAACTCCTACTTATCTCTTACCTCTTTCCCTTTGCCTGCTCCTGGGAGAAGTTCCACATCTCCTCAACTACCTCACCTTCAAATGGTTATACGTTTCCACAGTAACCCCTTATCCCCCTATCAACACTTACTACACGTTATTGTAATTACATGTTTATGGATGTCTTCCTCAGTAGAGTATAAGCGGGTAGGTCTTATTCACTACTGTATCTCAGTAATTAGTACAGCGCCTGGAATACAGAAAGCGCTCATTAAATATGAATTAAATATGCTGGGCATGGTGGCTCATGCCTGTAATCCCAGCACTTTGGGAGGCAGAGGTGAGCGGATTACTTGAGGCCAGGAGTTCAAGATCAGCCTGGCCAACATGGTGAAACCCCATCTCTACTACAAATACAAAAAAATTAGCTGGTCGTGTTGGTGGGAGCCTGTAATCCCAGCTACTCAAGAGGCTGAGACAGGAGAATTATTTGAACCCGCAAGGCGGAGGTTTCAGTGAGCCGATATGGTGTCACTGTGCTCTACCCTGGGCCACAGAGCAAGACTCCATCTCAAATAATGATAATAATTTAATAAAATAGAACATTAGAAATCTTAATTTTCTATCTTTTGATAATTTGGTTGTAGTAATTTGCTAGGGCTGCCATAACAAAGTACCACAGATTGGGTGGCTTAAACAACAGAAATTTATTTTGTTACAGTTCTGGAAGCTGGAAGTCCAAGATCAAGGTTGGTTTCTCCTGAGACATCTCCTTGGTCTGTAGATGGCCACCTTCTCCCCGTATTTTCACAAGGTCTTCCCTCTGTGTGTGTCTGTGTCTAGATTTCCTCTTCTTATAAGGACACCAGTCCTATTGGGTTAGGGAACACCCTAATGGATTCATTTTAACTTAGTCACTTCTTCAAAGACCCTATCTCCAAAGACAGTCACATTCTGAGGTACTGCAGGTTAGGACTTCAATATTTGAATTTTGTGGTGGTGGGGCACCCAATTCAGATCATAAGGGCCTTATGGAGGAGAGCTGAGGCATTCCAACCGGCAGCAGCACCAATGGTCAGACATGCACATTCAGTCATCATGTACCTTCTAGCCCAGCCAGTGCTGTTACATGAACCAAGGTAAGATCAGCAGAACTGTCCAGCCAATCCATAGAAATGCAGGAAGTAATAAATCACTGCTGTTTTAAGCCACTAGGTTTTGTGGGGTGTTTTGTTATGCAGCAGTAGAGAACTGAAACAACCCATTTCACATCAGTAATAAACTAGGCCCACATCAATAATTAACTATCACTACACTACAGTTAGTGATAGGCTACATGTTAAATGGATTGTTTAGTCAGCTATTTCATTACCTTTGAAAGGGAAATGAGTAATAACTTATTAATTTTAAATGAATAGATATTATTGCTACTGGTAACATTTATACAGCACTTGGCCAGTTGTTCGAAATAGTCTCCTAATAATTTATAAGGTTTTTTAAATCAAAGAAATGTTGAATCATACACTCTTGGGGCTAAAAGGAACAAGAGGTCATTTAATCTGTCTCCCTACTTTCAAAGAGAATGACTAATTCTGTGCCAGCCAGATAGGAATCTTCTAACTCCTCCTCCTCCTCGTTATCTCATCCAAAAAGACTTTTAAAGTGTCAATCTGTAAATGGAACTGTATTTGGCACTCTATAGGTCTTTAAAGATTTAATACAACAATGCAGAGACAAATCACATAAACAAAGTCCAAAGAACTGTGTACATAAACAGTTTAAGAAAAATGCTGGCCAGGCTCTGGTGGCTCGCACCTGTAATCCCAGCACTGTGGGAGGCCAAGGCAGGTGGATTACGAGGTGAGGAGTTCAAGACCAGCCTGGCCAAGATGGTGAAACCTCATCTCTACTAAAAATACAAAAATTAGCCAGGTGTGGTGGTACACGCCTGTAATCTCAGCTACTCAGGAGGCTGAGGCAGAAGAATCGCTAGAACCTGGGAGGCGGAGGCTGCAGTGAGCCGAGATCATGCCACTGCACTACAGCCTGGGCAACAGAGTGAGATTCTGTCTCCAAAAAAAAAAAAAAGAAAGAAAAGAAAAAGGAAAATGCTATACGTAAAATTACAACAAAATTTTTTTCTCTCAATTTATCTACATAAACATTTTCAGCCCACGTAGATAAATATAGATAGATAAACATAACTATATAAACATGCATATATGCAAGAAAATAAAAGATTTGGGGAAACATGATAGCTTTCAAATATGTGAAAGATTTCATGTAGAATAAAGATTATATTTGTTCTGTGTAGCTACATGGTAGAATTAGAACTGGGGTGAAACAGGTGGAAGTTTCAGGGGAACATTTTTCAGTTTATCTTTAGGAAGAACTTTTTTTTTGAGACTGAGTCTGGCTCTGTCACCCAGGCTGGAGTGCAATGGTGTGATCTCAGCTCACTGTAAGCTCCGCCTCCTGGGTTCATGCCATTCTCCTGAATCAGCCTCCTGAGTAGCTGGGATTACAGGCGCCTGCCACCACGCCCGGCTAATTTTTTGTATTTTTGGTAGAGATGGGGTTTCACCATGTTAGCCAGGATGGTCTCGATCTCCTGACCTTGTGATCCGCCCACTTTGGCCTCCCAAAGTGCTGGGATTACAGGCGTGAGCCACTGCGCCTGGCCCAGGAAGTATGTTTTAATAATTAGAACCTTTTGAAAGAAATGGATACCCTCACTGGAATTACTGCAGAGAGGATTCCAGATTAGCCTACATGACCTCTAAGTTTCTTTCCAACTCTATGACACTTGAGTCATGTGTCAAAACAAAACAGCCGGGTGCGGTGGCTCACGCCTGTAATCCCAGCACTTTGGGAGGCCAAGGCAGATGGATCACAAGGTCAGGAGATCGAGACTATCCTGGCTAACACGGTGAAATCCCATCTCTTCTAAAAAACAAAAAATTAGCCGGGTGTAGTGGTGGTCGCCTGTAGTCCCAGCTACTCGGGAGGCTGAGGCAGGAGAATGGTGTGAACCCGGGAGGCGGAGCTTGCAGTGAGCCGAGATCGCGCCACTGCACTCCAGCCTGGGGGACAGAGCGAGACTCCATATCAAAAACAAAAAACAAAAAACAAAAAACCATATTTGAGGGATGTAGAGGAAGGTAAGCGAATTTTATAACGAAAGAATTATTACCAGTTGTGGTTAAGGCCTGTACTGAATAGAGTCCGAGGAAACTGTTAGGTCTGTATTAATAAGTCTGAGGTTCTCTTATCAAGGAGGCAGGATCTGAATAGAATACTGAAGAGGACAGTAGAATCCTGTAAGGGAGTCACTCGAGACTTATATTAGGGAGAATATAATTATTGCAAAACTCATAGCTAAAAGGGATACATCTCAGAAATAGGCTAATTGGATAAAGTATGTATGCCTGCCATAGGAAAGGTGGAGGTTGGAGGAACAGGAGATGGAAGAACATTAGGCAATTATAATCCAGTTATCCTGGAAAATAACTTCGAAACACTAGGTGAAACGTTTATTTTGTTTATTTATTTATTTATTTATTTATTTTTGAGACAGAGACTCCCTCTGTCACCTAGGCTGGGGTGCAGTGGCGCAATCTCCTGTCACTGCAACTTCCGCCTCCTGGGCTCAAGCAATTCGCCTGCCTCAGGTTCCCCAGTAGCTGGGATTACAGGCACGCGCCCCCACGATTGGCTAGTTTTTGCATTTTTAGTAGAGACGGGGTTTCACCATATTGGCCTGACTGGTCTTAAACTCCTGACCTCAAGTGATCCGCCCACCTTGGCCTCCCAAAGTGCTGGGATTACAAACATGAGCCACTGTGCCCGGCCCATTAGGTGAAAATTTTAGACTTAAGACTTTGTACGTAATGAATGAGAGGGAGAGTGTGGTCAAAGCAATGAGAGAAGCAGTTTCTTTGAGTGAGTTGCTTGGTGCTAAAGGTGAGGAATCTCTAGGAAGAAAGGGCTAGTAGCGGGAGAAACCAGCGCAGAGATGCCTAAGCTAACACTGTGTCTTACATAACGCTGTTTATATAGATGAAGGGAAGAGGTAGATATGAGAGATACTGTAAAACTGTAAAAAGTATGGCAATAGCCTAGAAATGCAGACTGGTGAAGTCAGGGATTGGTGAGGCATTACTCACAAGCTCCTTCCTTCTGGAGAGAGTGGTGTTGCTCCTGTGATAAGGATGATGAGGATGAAGAGTATCTGTGTCTTCAGCACGCCTTACTGCTGTTGGTGATGTGTCTGATCTTTTATGCTGGCCTCTGGCCATTGCTCAAATTTATATATATATATATATATAAAATTTGAAAAAGTTAGGCTTGTAAAACCTAAAACCATTATGTTTTTTGTATTAATAGTATATGCATATATGACACCAGTTATATGCCAAATACTGTTTTAAGTACTATACATATATATTGACTAATTTAATTTTCACAATATTCCTATAAGGTAGATACTATTTGTTATCATCATCAGTTTACAGATAATGTACTGAGACACAAAAAGGTTATGTACTTTGCCCAGATCAAATAGTCCATAAGTATCAGGGCCAAGTTATGAACCCAAGCAGTCTGGCTTCAGAGCCCCTGCCCTTAGCCACTGCACTCTACTGCAGGCTGAGCAGCCCTTATCAGAAATGTTCGGACCACAAGTGTTTCAGATTTGGGAATATTTACACACACATAATGAGATATCTTGGGCATGCGACCCAAGTCTAAACACAAAATTCATTTATGTTTCATATACACCTTTATACACATAGCTTGAATGCAATTTAATACAATATTTTAAAAATTTTGTGCATGAAACAAAGTTTATGTTAAGTACTTACGTGAAATGTTCCACCTCTGGCATCATATTGGTGCTCAAAAAATTTCGAATTTTGCAGCATTTTGGATTTTCAGATTTGAGATGTTCAACCCATATATTCATCTATCTTTATATAGTATGCATGAATTAGCAGAGAAACCAAACCATTATCCCCAAATTAAAATTTTCTCCCATAATAAAAATCAAACAGTAAACCAAATTCCGGCTCTGTGACATCTTTATCCCTTTCGAATGAATTTTTTTCAGTAGTTGCAAACACTGGGAATTAGAAGAAAAGACAGGTATTTTAAACACAGGGAAACTTTAATCCAAATGGAAAGTTCATATTTTATCCAGTGTTTACACATAGTGTTTCCGTTCCCATTTTGGAGTTAATTTCAGTTATTTCTGGCTACACCCTAGATGGCAATGGAATAATTTCATAGTGCTTTTACAACAGGCAATATCTACGTCAGTGGATGGTTCATCTAAGGTCAACCTGGTTCAGGAAAGATATGCAAAGGAGAGCTTCATCCACCTCTTCTCCCAACCCTACATTTCCAGTGGTTGTTTTGTTCCTTCTTTGCAGTGGCTCCCGTCCTGTCTAATTTAAGCAAAATTTCAGTGTAGTACCTCCATTAACTGATACTTTTTATAAAGCAAATTGGGAAGCCAAAAGAATAACAGGAGAATGATCAAGATTTGAGAATTAAAAAAAATTGAATTAAGATGCAAGTAAACACAGTGGGAGAGGGGGATGGCGAGTCAATTGTATATAGTATATGTGTATGTATAAAACGCTTCTTTTCTGCCTCATTCACTCTCTTTAGACTGCATAAGCTAAAATGAGTAAGTTCTGACTCAGAAACAGGGTCAAAGATATATATTTTTTCTCCTTTGTCATCAAAAGAAGACCTGACCACGTGCACAGTGTATAAAGGATGCCAGTGGGAAGATTAACTTTACTGTCAGGCATTGTAAGGAAACAGAAACTCACATATGGTGAGATGGTAAAGGAGTTCAAGAGGAATTCATGGTAATATAATATGAGGAATGGGGCTACAATTGCGTCCCCAATGAGACTATAGAAGGCACACAATCCAGGCCAGTGCGATTTAACATCATGAAATAATCTCCAAAAATTAAAATCAAATAAGGTAGCATTTTACTCTCTTCTTGTAAATTTTATACCATTTTAATTTTTACTGGAGGCCTGCTGCTGACAAGGGTGTTTAAAAGAGATCCCCCTGGGTATTTTAGAGCTCCTTAACTGGATGGCAAGGACCAAATAAATGCCTTGTGCTTTTCTGCCCCACCTGTGCCTGCACCTGAGCTGCGCACGCGGTGGCACTGAGCCCTCGACTCACTCATTTGACAGGTGGAGGTGGGATGGGGAAGGCCGGAGACCGACCAACCCCAAAGGCGGTAGCGTGTGGAGCCGAACGCGGGAGGGGGTCGGCTGAGGCGGATTGAGGGGGGGGACGCCGAGGTGCGGCGACAGGACGCGGAGGACGAAAGACCTCAAGCAGCGGTGGCCGGCAAATGAGGTGGGCACTGGGGGACCCACCCTGCGAGGAGGCGGGGGCGGGGACGGGGGGCGCGGCGCGGCAGGGCGGGGCGGCAGCCGGGAAGCCCTCCTTCCCCGCGGCGGAGGTGACTGGCGGGCGGGGGGCGGGGGGCGGGGGGCGGGAGACGCTCTGTCCCACGCTTTCCCAGCGCTCGGTGGTTTAAAGATGGCGGCGGCGGTGGCGGCGGCGGCGGCGGCGGCGTTGGGGGCGCGGAGCCGCGACAGGAGGAGGGAAAAGCAGAATCTGTGAGTCGCCTGGAGGCAGCGCGGCGGCTGCCGTGAGGAGGCCGGGTGCGGAGCCGCCGGTGGCCCAGCCACTCAGGGCCAGGGCCTGGGCTGGGAGGGAGAGACCGGAGCAGCGCCAGGAGCCCGAGGCCGGAGCCGAGGAGGAATGTGACCAGGGGTCGGCGGGGGCGCGGGAGTACGCGAGAGCAGGGATGGGGCAGCAGGTGGGCCGCGTCGGGGAAGCTCCGGGGCTCCAGCAGCCTCAGCCCCGCGGGATCCGGGGCAGCAGTGCAGCCAGGCCCTCCGGCCGCAGGCGGGACCCGGCGGGGCGCACCACAGAGACCGGCTTCAATATCTTCACCCAGCATGGTGAGTGTGTCTGGGAGCCGGCATGAGAGCGTGGGGGAGGCCGGGGGTGGGGTCGGGGCGGGGTGGGTGGCGGACGGGCTGCCCGAGGGGTCGGAGGGTGGAAGGTGCCTGAGAGTGGGGGCGGAATCCGCTGCCATCTGGTCCAGTCCTGGGAGGCGAGTCACACCCCTCCCCCCTCGCGTCTCTAGCCTGGCTGGCAGATCCCGGGGGCGGAGAAGGAAAGAGAAGTGGGTTTGGGGACCCTGGATGGTCTGTCCTCTACTCTGGGACGGGACTATGCGGCTGCAGAAAGAAAGTGAATGGCAGCTTCAGGAGAGGGAAGGATGAAGGGCAGTATTAGCTCAGTCCCAGAGGTGGGAGCATAAACCCGTCGTTAGTGAAGGGGAAATGGGTTGTATCCTAAGGGATTGGGAAATGGGAACTGAATTTCAGGAGATTGTGGAGTACAAGGTATGTGTTTACGTTAGGTGATGAGCAGTGTCAGGATAGTGAACTGTGGACAGTGTCAAATGCTTTTCTGTAGGGAAGATGAAGTTAGCATCATCTTATCACTTTTGACATGCTTTTGTGGTTTATTTTGTTTTGTATTTCGTTTTTACTAGAAATGAAAGGCTTTGCCAAAGCCTCTGTACTATGCTTCAGAGTAGGACACACAATTCTGAGATTGCTGGCAAGGGCTAGAGGTTGGTGGGCATGGTTAGGACGTCAGTCAGGATATGAACAAGTTTTCCTTTGTAGTGTGTGCGTGTGCCCATATACATACATACATGTATGTATGCTCCCTGTAGTCTGAAACCTATTATTTTGATCTCATTGTCAATGTATTTTTAGAATAGTTGTCTCCAAACTTTTTTTGTCTTGTTTTTTTGTTTTGTTTTTGTTTTTGTTTTTTTTGAGACAGAGTCTCGCTTTGGTCCCCATGATGGAGTGCAATGGCGGGATGTCGGCTCACTGCAATCTCTGCCTCCCGGGTTCAAGTGATTCTCCTGCCTCAGCCTCCCGAGTAGCTGGAACTGCAGGTGTGCACCACCACGCCCGGCTAATTTTTGTATTTTTGGTGGTGGTGGGATTTTGTCATATACTCCTGACATCAGGTAATCTGCCTGCCTTGGCCTCTCAAAGTGCTGGGATTACGGGTGTGAGCCACCACCGTTCCTGGCCCAAACTCTTTTTTTTTTTTTTTTTTTTTTGGAGACGGAGTCTCATTCTGTCGCCCAGGCTGGAGTGCAGTGGCGTGATCTTGGCTCACTGCAACCTCTGCCTCCCAGGTTCAAGCGATTCTCCTGCCTCAGCCTCGGAGTAGCTGGGATTACAGGCGCCCGCCACCACACCCGGCTAATTTTTTGTGTTTTTAGTAGGGTGGGGTTTCTCTATGTTGGCCAGGCTGGTCTCGAACGCCTGACCTCATGATCCACCCGCCACAGCCTCCCAAAGTGCTGGGATTACAGGCGTGAGGCACTGCGCCTGGCCACATGTCTCCTATTGAAGATGTGCTTGAGTGTCTCTTTCGGGTATATGAACACTTTATGAAGGTGATATATGAGCTAATCTTTATTAAAATCACTTCCTAAAACACAGGATGGAAGAATGGATTAGTAGTTTACAGGGAAGAAATCATCCAAGTAAGCTTCACTTTGTGGGAAGTGTTACTATGCATTAAACTTGGCCTAGTAGGCAATGGTGATCCTCTTGCTTTACTATCTTATTCGGTATGTAAGATTTTCCAAGAAAGAGGAAGTCATGAAGAATGGAATAGGAAGACATTTTGAGGATTTGGATCTATGGAGAGGGAGAACAATTTGGGTAGAAGAAACAACTTGAACGGGAACATGGGAATAGATATAATTTGTTGATGGGCTAGTGAGGAGACAGCTGTCAGGAATGAAGCATCATTATGAGTTGGAAGAAAAAGATCATAGAGCAAAAATTGGAAGAGTCAAGTTCTGGTTCTGGCTCCACCTGCCTGGGTGATTTTAGTCACCATCTTTGGGTTTCTTTATCTGTAAAGTGAGGAGGTTGGACTGGATGATCTCTAAGATACTTTCTGGTTTTAAGATTTTATGATTCTAATTAAGAAGCAGTAGAAAGAAAATTTTGATAGGCTGGATGGGACTGGGTTATGGAAAATCTGGCAGAGAAGTTTATATCCATTTACCTGATTGGCTAGTCTTTACCTGAAAGACTGGCCTTGAGTGGTGGCAGTGGAAATGGGAGGAGTAATTTCAAGGGTCCTTTCATTCATTCAACAAACAAGGGTTTTTTTTGAGCACCTGTTATGTACTGGATTGTGGGAATGTTGCTGTGAACATAACAGAGTCCCTGCCCTTTGGAACTTAAAGGACTTTATGATTTGATAGAGGATGAAAGAAGAGAGATCACTTTGGAGTATTTGTTAAGGGCATGAACTCTGGACCCATTTTTCCTGGATTTGAAACCTTGCTTGGCTGCTTATGAGCTTTGTGACCTGGGACAAGTTATTTAACTTTTTGTGTCTTGGACTCTTCATTTGTAAAGTGGTGATAATAATAGTACCTAGTATTAAATGAATAGTGGCTGGGCACATAGTATGAGCTAAATGTGTGTAGCTGCTGCCATTACTAATACTACTGTTATTATTAAAAACAGGAGTAATTCGGCCAGGTGCGGTGGCTCACGCCTGTAATCCCAGCACTGTGGGAGGCCGAGGTGGGCAGATCATGAGGTCAGGAGTTCGAGACCAGCCTGAGCAACATGGTGAAACCTCGTCTGTACTAAAAATAGAAAAATTAGCTGGGCATGGTGGCACGCGCCTGTAGTCCTAGCTACTCAGGAGGCTGAGACAGGAGAATCGCTTGAACCCGGGAGGTGGAGGTTGCAGTGAGCCAAGATCGCGCCACTCCAGCCTGGGTGACAGAGCGAGACTCTGTCTCAAAAAAAAAAAAAAAAAAAAAGTAGGGATAATTCAAAGATGACACCAGGATTTAGAACCTGGCTAACTGGGATGATGAAGATTCTATTGACAAGTTTGGAAGTTAGAAGCTGATTGAAAAAATGGGAATAGGTCGAGTTTATTGCCAAAGACTAGTATGAAAAGAAAGGAATTAGCAAATAATATAGGAAACAAAGGTGCAGTGAGTACTGTTTTTTAGACAGATGGGTTTAAAAAGTTTTTTTCTGTACATCATAGTTTCTTTTTTTTTTTTTTTTTTTTTTTTTTTGAGGCGGAGTCTCACTCTGTCGCCCAGGCTGGAGTGCAGTGGCGCGATCTCGGCTCACTGCAAGCTCCGCCTCCCGGGTTCACGCCATTCTCCTGCCTCAGCCTCCCGAGCAGCTGGGACTACAGGCACCTGCCACCACGCCCGGCTAATTTTTTTTTGTATTTTTAGTAGAGACAGGGTTTCACCGTGTTAGCCAAGATGGTCTTGATCTCCTGACCTCATGATCCGCCCTCTTCGGCCTCCCAAAGTGCTGGGATTACAGGCATGAGCCACCGCTTCCGGCCACGTCATAGTTTCTTAACCTCGGCGGCATTGATATTTTGGGCTGGCTAATTCTGTGTTTTGGGGGGCTGTCCTGTGCATTGTAGGATGTTTAGCAGCATCCCTGGACTCTACCCACTAGATGCCAGTAGCACCTTCTTTTTGCCCCTTACTTGTTATAAAAATGCCTCCAGACATTGTTAAATCTCTTGGGGGGCAGAATTGCCCCTAGTTGAGGACACCACTTAGAAATGTGATAGATTCTGAATTGAATGAATGAATGAATGAATTAGATTCGAAAGCTTCTCAGTGGATGTATCATTTGACCTTTACATGGTAAATGTAGGTGCTCGAATCTAGTGTACAAATTACTGTCTTGAGTTTGCCATATTGAGGTATTAGCACATAATTTCATATATGAATGTTAGGTCTGTTAGACTCTTGGGTTTACATGTAGGTTTTAATATAAGCCAAATAATACATTTAGTTAATCAGTAAAAAGGTACATACATTATGGAAATGGTTTATCAGAGTCCAGGACTTTTCTTTCTTTAGCTAAAATGGTCATTTTTTATCGTTAATAATATGTGGGTAAGCTGTGATAATAATTTGCCTTGCCAAAAGTGATTTTTGTGAATGTAATTTAGAAGGAACAAAAATAATAGAGCCATTTTTGGTATGAAAGGAGTGAGTGCTGTGTGACTTTTCTGAGATCTGCTATTTTTTTTGTCAACTCTTTTATTTTATGTTTTATTTTAGAGAAAGGTCTTGCTCTGCCACCCAGGCTGGAGTGCAGTGCTGCGATCGTAGATCGCTGCAGCCTTAAACTCCTGGACTCAAGCAATCCTCCTGCCTCAGCCTCCCGAGGAGCTGAGACTACAGGCACACGCCATCACACCTGGGTAATTTTGTGTTTTTTTTTTTTTTTTTGTAGAGACGGAGGTCTCACTATGTTGCTCAGGCTGGTCTCAAACTCCTAGGCTCAGGTGATACTCTGCCTCGGCCTCCCAAAGTGCTGGGATTATAGGCGTGAGCCACTGCGAGAGGCAAGCTCTGCTATTAAACCTTTCTGGTGAGCTGATGTTTCATGACTAATAATCTAGGGTTGAATACTTACTTGCTGTTGAATATCTCACATACCTTTTAACAGCTGAATGATTTTACTTTAGCTTCCCTCTCTCATTTTCTAAAAATTCTATTAAAAATTAACTTTAGGCTGGGCGTGGTGGCTCACACCTATAATCCCAGCACTTTGGGAGGCCGACGTGGGCAGATCACCTGAGGTCAGGAGTTCGAGATCAGCCTGGCCAACATGGTGAAACCCTGTCTCTACTAAAAAAATACAAAAATTAGCCAGGTGTGGTGGCGGGCACCTATAGTCCCAGCTACTCAGGAGGCTGAGACAGGAGAATCCCCTGAACCCCGGAGGCGGAGTTTGCAGTGAGCCGAGATCGCGCACCTGCACTCCAGCCTGGGCGACAGAGCAAGACTCCGTCTCCAAAAAAACCAACAAACAAAAACCCTTACATTATGAAGTTTGGAATAACAAAAATTTTTCCTTAAATCAAACTCATTATTTTAAGTGATCTGATTTATTTATTTATTTTTTATTTTGGATCTGTAGTTTTTTTTTTTTTTTTTTTTTTTTGTAGTGAGTAGGGTCTCACTCTCTTGCCCAGGCTGGAGTGCATTGGCGAGATCATGGCTCACTGCAGCCTTGACCTCCCAGACTCAAGTGATCCTCTCACCTCTCAGCCTCCTGAATACCTGGGACTATAGGTGCACGCCACCATGCCTTTCTATTTTTTTTTTTTTTTTGTAGAGACAGAGTTTTGCCATGTTGCCCATGGTGGTTTTGAACTCCTGGGCTCAAGTGATCTGCCTGCCTTGCCCTCCCAAAGTCCTGAGATTACAGGTGTGAGCCACCGCACCCGGCCAGTAGTTCATGTTTTAATCTTTGTGGAATGAAGGCTGTTGGCACCCCAGGTTGAAAACGATGCTATGGAAAGCACAGGAAGGCTGTTGTGAGGGAATTTTAATTGTGGTGACTTAATATAAGAACTAAACTTCATTTTTTATTTTTATTTATTTTTCTTTTTTTCTTGAGTGCCAATCCTGCAGACTAAACTTTTAAAAAAAAATCAGCTGTTAGATTTTTATTAATCTCCAAATCTGTGTAAGTTATAGATGTGTAGTTGGGGTCCATATTTTTAGCAAAGTAATAAGTTGTGGTACAGATTCTGTTCTCATAGCCCACTTGGCAGTAAAATTCCAAGTAAAGTGATGAAGTCTGAAGTTTCTCTGTAAGGGTCTTCAGCCTGCTTTATTCGATAGTTTATTTATTTACTTAGGTGGTTTTTTTTTTTTTTTGAGACAGGGTCTTGCTCTGTTGCCTAGGCTGGAGTGCTGTGGCATGATGATAGCTCACTGCAGCCTCAAACTCCTGGCTGAAGCCATTCCTGACTCAGCCTTCTGGGTAGCTGGGACTATAGGTGCGTGCTACCATGCCTGGCTAATTTTTAAATTTTTCTGTAGAGATGGGGTCTTGCTGTACTGGGCCAGGCTGGTCTTAAATTCCTAGGCTCAAGTGATTCTCCCACCTTGGCCTCCCAAAGTGCTGGGATTACAGACATGAGGCCCTGCATCTGGACTTTTTTTTTTTTTTTTTTTTTTGAGAGGGAGCCTTGCTCTGTCTCCCAGCCTGGAGTGCAGTGGCGCGATCTTGGCTCACTGCAACCTCCTCCTCCTGGGTTCAAGCAATTCACCTGCCTCAGCCTCCCGAGTAGCTGGGATTACAGGCGGCTGCCACCACACCTGGCTAATTTTTGTATTTTAGTAGAGATGGGGATTCACCATGTTGGTCACACTTGTCTCGAACTCCTGGCCTCAAATGATCCGCCCACCTCAGCCTCTCAAAGTGTTAGGATTACAGGCGTGAGCCACTGTGCCCGGCCTGTTTTTTTTTTGTTGTTGTTGTTATTTTAAAGGTATTTTAAATATATTCCTCTGAATATCATCTTTAAAGGATCTGACATGATTTTTGTCAAAATAAATCATAAGGTGTAACCAGTTTGTGGGTTCCTGGTGAGTTTCAGGCCAGGCGCGGTGGCTCATGCTGGTAATCCCAGTACTTTGGGAGGCCGAGGTGGGTGGATGACGAGATCAGGAGATCGAGACCATCCTGGCCAACATGGTGAAACCCTGTCTCTGCTAAAAATACAAAAATTAGCTGGGCATGGTGGCGCGCACCTATAATCCCACCTACTCAAGAGGCTGAGGCAGGAGAATCGCTTGATCCTGGGAGGCAGAGGTTGCAGTGAGCCGAGATCGTGCTACTGTACTCCACCCTGGGCAACAGGAGCAAAACCCTGTCTCAAAAAAAAAAATTAGCCAGGCATGGTGGCGGGCACCTGTAATCCCAGCTACTCAGGAGGCTGAGGCTGTAGAATCACTTGAACCTAGGAGGCGGAGGTTGCAGTGAGCTGAGATCACGCCACTGCACTCCAGCCTGAGGGACAGGGCGAAGACTCTGTCTCAAAAGAAAAAAAAGTTAAGTGTAAGCCAGTACACTGACCTCTCCATGAACTTTTCACAGTAGGAACTTTAACACTTTCCGCAGAGTATCCTGTTCTTCTAGGCTTTTCATAGAATGCGAAGTTAATGGCATGTGATGTTCCATAGCATAATCTGCTAAAAAGTGATCATCTCCTTGGAAGAAAAGCCGTGGGCTGCAATCACACATCCAAATTGACAGACATCTGAATGGATTCTATATAGAAAGAAAAGATTCGTGTCTTCTGGAATATGAATGTCCACTTTTAATAAATTCAAACAGATCCTGACATAAACATCATGGGTTTTACGTGACCCATCATTTCATGGATCCTTGGCACCAAATCTTTGGGCATTGTATAACCCAACCCACTGCAGTAGGGAGGAAACACCTTGAAAGGACACTCCTGGTATGAAATACGTTTTTTTTTTTTTTTGGTAAAATCCTCTATGGGAATAATTATCAATTAGGGGATAACCTGTGAAAAACTTCTCTGAGTGGTTTAAGTTTAAAAGATACTACACTAAATTGCCAGTATTGATGAACACATAAGTGTCTGTTGTCATGATGTAGTTGGCAATGGGGCAAAACTCAGTTACCCACCTGAATGCCATAATAGGTTGTTTTTGTTGTTTGTTTGAGACGGAGTCTTGCTCTGTCACCCAGGCTGGAGTGCAGTGGTGCGATCTTGGCTCACTGCAGCCTCCACCTCCTGGGCTCAAGCAATTCTTGTGCCTCAGCCTCCCAAGTAGCTGGGATTACAGGCACACGTCACCATGCCTGGCTAATTTTTGTATTTTCAGTACAGATGGGTTTTCACCATATTGGCCTGGCTGGTCTCAAACTCCTGGCCTCAAGTAATTCACCTGCCTTGACCTCCCAACGTGCTGGGACTACAAATGTGAGCCACTGTGCCTGGCCAGTTTTCAAGGTCAGGTTTTTGTATGTGTCTAAAAAATCTCGTTGGATTACATCACTATAAAGAAGATGTTAATCGTCCGAGGACAGTGCTAACAGTTTGTCTTCTCTTTTAGCCCGTTGGCCTACTAAGAAAAATGTGAGAACCTCATATCGCCATCAAGACTTTTTTCACCCCAAGTAACTCTAATGGCCTGTCTGGCTTTCACATCTGAGGGGTGGGAGGTCACTAGGATAACCAGAATTGGATTTTGATCAGAGCAGTTTGAATGCTCTCAAAATGTGAAGTGAAAGCCTCATCTGTAAATTGGCTCATACTTGTAAAAGTACATCCAGTCTACATATTCTGTCACATTGTAGTGGGGAAGGCTGAGAGGTACCACATCAGGAGGAGAGTCAGGAGTGGCAGCAGCAGGAGACCCCATGTGAGAGATCTCAGTGGGAAGGGCAGTCTGGAGAGCCAGGGCCATCCACAGCAGCTCAGAAGCTTGCGAACTGCAAGTTCTTCTTGATTGATTTCTTCTGAGTGAAAAGACCTTCAGTTTCACCAGTTGAACATTCAGCAGTATGTAGCTGTCAGAAATAATGCTACTGAAAACCAGACTTTCAGACTGGCTTAAAATCCTGCCATATACTGCTTATAAAACACATACCTGTAGAATTTCAGCAGAGATTAAAGCACTAGCTGAAGTTTGTTTTCTGTATTCCATGCTTTAGTCAAAACACTCAAGATTTGCTGTGAACTACTCCATAAACAGAAAAAAAGACATGGTTTGGTAATTTCTTCCTTGGTAGATTTTCCTGACAAAGTGACCATCGCCTAAACAAGGCACTGTCCTGTGCGGCACATACCCAGCTCACAAGTGGCAGGCAGCTGGTGCTCAACCTGCTTTAAACGGAAAACAAAAACCAAACAAGAAAAACCAGCATCTCCCCACCATTGTATGTTTTTATTCCTCTTTACTTCAGTCTCTTTCAAAATAGGGAATGATAATGTTTGTGTAGTTTTTAGAGCTTTTGAAGAAGACCTTTTATGTCTTTCATCTCACTTGACCTTTACAACTACTCTGAAATAGGTGAAGCAGGTATTAATCTTCCCATTTTGTAGATGAAGAGTTTAGAAAATTAAGTGACTTCTTGAGGTTACATAGCTGTTAAATGATAGAGCTGGGACTGATAGTTTTGTCTCCAAGTCTTGCCATAATGTGGAGATTTAGAGAATGTGGGTTTTAAAATCAGTTATAATTGGATATAAATCTTGCTTTGTGTCTGACATTGGTACATGGTTTATCCCTCACAACAGGTTGTTGAAATAATTAAGTGATAAAATTGTACGAGACTCTTAAGTGCCAGGCACTGTGGTGCTCAATAAATATCAGTTTTATTGTCATTATTTACCTCAAGATGATTGTGAAGATTATATGAGTTGTATGTGAAAATGTTTTGTAAACCTAAGCACTGCTATTGTTATCATTGTGATGGCATGCCAAAGTGTAGAATTGCCTTAGCATTTATATTTATTACTTCATTTTCTCTTCTTATTAAGCTACTCTTATTAGAGGACTTTCAGAAAGCAGTAAAAGGTAAGGGAATTTTGGGGATCTGAAATCACAGGAGAATCTGAAATCACTTTAGGTCTACCTTCCTTGTAAGGTAAGTGATATCCTCTCTAGACCATTTGTCTTTGTCTTAGGGACTGGGTATCAGTATATGTAGTGCCTGGTTCTTGTAGACATCTTTTTCTTCCATCAAAGAACTTGAACCAGAAACACTGGCCAATGCAAATTTAAAGTTGATAGAGACTTCATTCTAAGTTGGCCCATTTGTTTGCTGGTTAATAGTTAATGACTTTTTTAAATGACTTTGTTGTAACCTTCTTCATCTGACATCCTTTAAGACCTTTTTTTTTCTTCTTCTCTGTGTTATTTTTACCTCTGGATGTAAAGTTTCTTCTTAAAGGCTTGTTTAGGCCAGGCATGGTAGCTCACGTCTGTAATCCCAGCACTTTGGGAGGCCGAAGCAGGTGGATTGCTTTAAGCTCAGGAGTTCAAGACCAGCCTAGGCAACGTGGCGAAACCCTGTCTCTACAAAAAATAGAAAACCTAGCCAGGCGTGCTAGTGCACACATGTAGTCCCAGCTACTGGGGAGGCTAAGGTGAGAGGATCACTTGAGGCCAGGAGGTTGAGGCTGCAGTGAGCCATAATCACGTCGCTGCACTCCATTCTGGGCGACAGAATGAGACCCTGTCTCAAAAAGAAAACTTGTTTAGTGTGATTATCTTCTTGAAGTTGTGAGTCAGATGGGCTTTTTCTTAATGTGGCACTGCACATACAGAGATTTCAAAATACTTAAGAACCTTTTCCATGTTAACAGATGTCTTCTGGACGAGGTAAATATGTAGCTACTTCAAATCATATAGAACAGTTCTGAAACTTGAGCGTGGAGAGCTTGTTAAAGCAGATTGCTGGGTCCCACCTCCAGGGTTTCTGATTTAGGGCTGAGGAGGAGCTCAAGAATTTGCATTTCTGGCAAATTTTCAGGTGTTACAGGTGCTGCTGGTTGGGGACCATGCTTTGAGAATCTCCTGCTCATGTGAGATTAAGAAGAGTACTTGGCCTGGTGTGGTGGCTCACGCCTGTAATCCTAGTGCTTTGGGAAGCCAAGGCAGGTGGATCACAAGGTCAGGAGATCAAGACCATCCTCCTGGCCTACATGGTGAAACCCCATCTCTACTAAAGATACAAAAATTAGCTGGGCGTGGTGGCGTACGCCTGTAGTCCCAGCTACTCGGGAGGCTGAGGCAGGAGAATTGCTTGAACCAGGGAGGCAGAGGCTGCAGTGAGCCGAGATCGTACCACTGCACTCCAGCCTGGGTGACAGAGCGAGACTGTCTCAAAAAAAGAAAAGAAAAGAGTACTTGATCAGAGGTGATTGAATGACTGTCAGAAAACAGGATGTAATGTACTAACTCTCTTCAAAACTGGTTCAGAAATTCATTTGTTCCTAGCCTATTAGTGTCCACATGCAAGTCACCACAGTCTTATACCATTTTTTTGGTGGTTTATCTCTAAAAGTTCGTACATTAGAGGTCTCTTGAGAGACACATTTTTGAAAAAAATCTGGAGTTATCAGGGAAAGGGGAAGTAGAAAACAGTTCTGCTGACTCATTCTTGAGCAGATTGGGCTACAGTTCCTGGAAGAATTGGGTAATGAAATAATTGCCATTTATTGAGGGCTGTGTGCCAGGCATGTTCTAAGTACTCAATATCTGTTTTTTCTTTTAAAACTCATAAAACCCTCGTTGCTCAAATTAAAAAATATTAGAGACCAAAGAAGATGGGATGTCTGTTTGTGATTCTATAGTTTTGGTATATGCTGGTGCCTAGTTACCTTTTAGAATATGTGTGTATGTAGTTATACATATGTATGTATATATATAATACAAAGATTTTTAGGTATTTTTTACCCCATCTGTCTTGACCAGTGATGAGGTTTTCAGACTGGTAGACCAGGGTTAGATTTGTATAGTATGTGGCTATGGATTGAGTCTTAGATATATATGATGGTCTAATGAAGGAGAGGTGGGAACTCACCATACCATTTGGAATCTCATGGTAATGTTGAACTCCTGTCTTAATCTTTAGGCTTAGTGTTACTAATATTTCTTTTCTTTTTTTTTTTTTTTGAGGTGGAGTCTTGCTCTGTTGCCCAGGCTGGAGTGCAATGGCACGATCGAGGCTCACTGCAACCTCCACCCACTGGGTTCAAACGGTTCTCCTGCCTCAGCCTCCCGAGTAGCTGGGACCACAGGTGCATGCCATCACACTCGGCTAATTTTTGTGTTTTTAGTAGAGATGGGGTTTCACCATGTTGGCCAGGCTAGTCTTGAACTCCTGACCTCAGGTGACTCATCCACCTTGGCCTCCCAAAGTGCTGGGATTACAGGTGTGAGCCACCACACCTGACTGAGCCACAGGCCGAGCGGCTCTTTTTTTTTGAGATGGAGTCTGGCTCTGTCACCCAGGCTGGAGTGCAATGGTGCCATCTTGGCTCACTGCAACCTCGGCCTCTTGGGTTCAACCTCGGCCTTCTGAGTTCAAGCGATTTTCCTGCTTCAGCCTCCTGTGTAGCTGGGATTACAGGTGCACGCCACCACACCCAGCTAATTTTTGTATTTTTAGTAGAGACGGTTTCACCACGTTGGCCAGGCTGGTCTTGAACTCCTGACCTCAAGTGATCCGCCTGCCTTGGCCTCCCAAAGTGTTGGTATTACAGGCGTGAGCTCCCACGCCTGGCCTCCAATCATCTTATATTAGAATCTATGTAACTGGCCGGGTGAGGTGGCTCATGCCTGCAATCCCAGCACTATGGGTGGCCAGGGCAGGCAGATCATGAGGTCAGGACTTCAAGACCAGCCTGGCCAATGTGGTGAAACCCCACCTCTACTAAAAATACAAAAATTAGCCGGGCATGGTGGCGTGCGCCTGTAGTTGCAGCTACTCGGGAGGCTGAGGCAGAAGAATTGCTTGAACCCGGGAGGTGGAGGTTGCAGGCCCAGATCACGCCACTGCAGTCCAGCCAAAAAAAAAAAAGAATCTGTGTAACCACATGATATATTTAGCTTATTATTGCAATATGCAACTTATAAAGACCTTTTCCCCCAGGTGATAATGGCAGGAGAATTTTTAAAAAATTTTAGCTTAACACTCCAGAGCATTTTCTATTTTTTTATTCATTTATTCTGTACTAATTGCCTATGTTGATGGCTCTGAGAGAATTTTTAGATACAATTTAGACAGAACTGCTATCTAAAAGAATGTTGCTGATCAAATAGATGTTGATGAACATCCTTACGAAACAACTAAAAAGAGATGTGTGTGTCTGTGTTTGTGAGGATATTTTGTACAAAAACTCTTGGTTGCCTTTTTGGATTGAGTGCATAATTTCAGTATGTAAATTTGTTGTCATTATACTAATTAGAACATTTTGTCAGTATTTTCAAATGAAATTCACTCAAATTCATGGATAAATACACATTAAATATATTACTATCCAACGTTTAAACTTAGTTGCTTAAAAATATGAAAACAGCACTTAGCTTTTTTCCCACTTGCTGGTTGCTGTAAATGTGCTGATTCTGCCGTGGTAGAACTGCCGGCTTCTCTATAGTGAACTCTGCCATTATTGGCTTTTGATCCAGCAGAACGCTAAAGCTGGGCAGGCCCAGGCCATTTGTATTCTCGGGTTTGCTTTCTAGGGAGAAGAAGTGTTCAAAAACCTTTCACTTCATGTGGACAAGGTCAAAAAAATATTCTGGAGCTTAGTATAATACATAATATGTACACATGTAATTTTGTTAACATGTTTCTCTCTGTGTGCTAATTCCAGCAAATTAAAAAAACAGTACTGAGTTAGGACTGAAGATTACCACTTAGCATTTTGTTTCTAGGTAATTGCTAAGAAAACATTAAAAAAAACTGACAATACTAACAAGTACAATTTGTATCACTCATCTGTTCCTTATAGGAAAGAAAGGTTGATACCTGAAGGTTTTTGTTACAGTAGCTTTCTTTTACTCATTTTGAAATTGGCACTTTTCTTTTCTTTTTTTTTTTTGAGGCAGAGTCTGGCTCTGTTGCCCAGGCTGGAGTGCAGTGGCATGATCTCAGCTCACTACAACCTCTGCCTCCTGAGTAGCTGGGATTACAGGCATGTGCCACCACGCCCAGCTGATTTTTGTATTTTTAGTAGAGAAAGGGTTGTTAGCCAGGCTGGTTTCGAACTCCAGGCCTCAAGTGATCCACCCACCTTTGCCTCCCAAAGTGCTGGGATTACAGGCGTGAGCCACAGTGCCTGGCCATGCATTTTTCAGTTGCATAAAAATATACAAAGGTATCTCAAGGTTAAAAAAATAATAATTCAGAAGCATATAGACTAGACATGAAAGTCCCCTTTGACATTCTTGGCCCAATACATATTCCCTTATTAGAAGAAACTACTGTTTGTGGTTCGATAGGTGTTTCCCACACCCAGCCATTTCAGAACTTGCTGTGTATTTACATATATATGAGTATATATATTAACACTTCTCTTGCCGTTTCATAAATGGCATTATACTGTATGAATTTTCTCCCCAATTTTTTTTTTTTTGGAGACTGAGTCTTATTCTGTTGCCTAGGCTGGAGTGCAGTGGTATGATCTCGGCTCATTGCAACCTCCACCTCCTGGGTTCAAGCGATTCTCCTGCCTCAGCCTCCCTAGTAGCTGGGACTACAGGCGCCCGCCACCACACCCGGCTAATTTTCGTATTTTTAGTAGAGAAGGAGTTTCACCATGTTAGCCAGTCTGGTCTCAAACTCCTGACCTCAGGCAATCTGTCTGCCTTGGCCTCTCCAAGTGCTGGGATTACAGGCATGGGCTACTGTGCCCGACCCACAATTTTTGTGTGTGTGTTTATTTATCTGGAAGGTCTTTCTATTCCAGTATTTGTAGATTTCTCATCCTTTTTGACAGCTTTATAGTGTCCCATGCTTTAGCCATATATTTAACCACTTTCTTATTGATGAATACTTGTTTATAAGAATATTTAAATATCTTCTCCATCTTTCCTGTGTTTTTTCTTTATGTTTGTAATTTGAATCCATCCGAAGGGTATATATATTTGAGCTTGGAACAAACAATGTTTTTCCATTGTATTAATTTGTGAATAGTCCATCAATTCTCCACTGATTTGAAAAGCCATATTTATCATATATTCTCATATATATATATATATATATATATATATATATGTCATTTTAAAACTGTTGTTCCATTGATCTTTGTCTCCTCCTGCACATTGTTAATATACTATTTTAATTATTGTAAGCTTATATAGTGTGTATGTGTATGTGGTTAGCTCCCCAATCATTATGTTGTTCTTAAAATTTTATTTAGATGTTGCATCTTATATCTTCCAAAGATCTTTAGGATTATGTTGTTAAGATTTAGGAGATTTTGATGGTCATATCAAATTATAGGTTAATTTGGGGGTGAATTGATGTTGCATTATTGTGTTTTTATGGCCAAGAACATGACATCCCTTTGCCAGTCCAGGCAGATCTTTTTTTGCCCCTCAGTAAAATCTTTTTCATTTTCTTAATCTTGTTTTTGGACATTACTTGGTAGGTTTATTAGTGGGCATTTTATGATTTTTGTTGTTAAGTATAATCTTTCCTAATTGCTTATTGCTAATGTATAGGAAGCCTTGATTTTGTATGTCCATCTTGAGTCTAGGTTTGGTTGCCTTACTTGTATTGCATCTAATAACTTTGTACTGATATTTTTATTTTATTAAAACTGATATTTCTAGATAATTTTTTTCTTTTAAGAGATAGGGTCTTACTCTGTCACCCAGGTTGGAGTGCAGTAGTAGCATGATCATAGCTCACTGCAGCCTCCTGGGCTCAAACAATCCTCCTGCCTATAGCATCCCAATGTACTGGGATTACAGGTGTGAGCCACCACGCCTGGACTCTTTTAGTTATTTTTACCACAGTAATACATGCAGGCAGTTTTAGAAGTCAAAGAATATGACAAGATTTAAAATGGAAAAAAAATTAGCAGCACCCATCCATTTCCTCCCTATATTGGTACTGTTGAGGATGGCAGCTAGTAGCCACTGTGGCTCTTGAGCACTTGAAATGTCCTTTGTCCTAACTGAGAAGTATTGGCCAGGAGTGGTGGCTCACACCTGTAATCCTAGCAGTTTGGAAGGCTGAGGTGGGAGGATCACCTGAGCCCAGGAGTTTGAGACCAGCCTGGGCAATATAGTGAGACCCTTTCTGTATTTAAAAATAAATAGGCTGGGCACGGTGGCTCATGCCTGTAATCCCATCTCTCAGGGAGGCAGAGGCGGGAGGATAGCTTGAGCCCAGGAGTTTGAGACCTGCCTTGGGCAACATAGCAAGACTCTGTTCTCCACGAAAAGGAAGAAAAAAAAAGACAAAAATAAAAATAAGCGTAAAAATAAATAAATAAATACAAATAAGCTAATTGAGAAGTACTGTAATAAAATACACATTATGTTTCAAAACTCAGTATGGAAAAAATGAATATAAAGTACTGCATTAATTTTTTTATATTGATTACATGTTTTAAATAATATTTTAGATAGACATATATATAAAAATTAATTTTTTGAATTTAAATTTTTGATGTAGTTACTAGAAAAAGTAAAATGGCATTTGTAGCTTGCATTATATTTCTTTTTTTTTTTTTTTTTTGAGACGGAGTTTCACCCCTGTTGCTCAGGCTGGATTGCAATGGTGTGATCTTGGCTCACTGCAACCTCCGCCTCCCAGGTTCAAGCGATTCTCCTGCCTCAGCCTCCCAAGTAGCTGAGATTACAGGCTTGTGCCACCACGCCTGGCTAATTTTGTATTTTTAGTAGAGACAGGGTTTCTCCATGTTGGTCAGGCTGGTCTTGAGCTCCAGATCTCAGGTGATCCTCTTGCCTCGGCCTCCCAAAGTGCTGGGATTATAGGCATGAGCCACCACGCCCAGCCAGCTTGCATTGTATTTCTTTCTTTTTTTTTTGAGACGGAGTTTTGCCCTTGTTGCTCAGGCTGGAGTGCAATGGCACGATCTTGGCTCACCACAACCTCCGCCTCCCGAGTTCAAGCAATTCTCCTGCCTCAGCCTCCCGCGTAGCTGGGATTACAGGCATTTGCCACCATGCCTGGCTAATTTTGTTATTTGTAGTAGAGACAGGGTTTCTCCATGTTGGTCAGGCTGGTCTCGAACTCCCGACCTCAGGTGATCCACCTGCCTTGGCCTCCCAAAGTGCTGTGATTACAGGTGTGAGCCACCATGCCCTGCCCAGCTTGCATTATATTTCTAATGGACATTGCTGCTTTAGATGGTAAGACCTGTGAGAACAGGAACTTGGTCTTGTTCACCCTTGTAGTCCCTGTACCTTTAATGGTGCCAGGCACTCAGTAGTATTTAAATGATTGATATATTCAGCAAGTAGGATGATGTGGTTTGGCTCTGTGTCCCCACCCAAATCTCACCTTGAATTGTAATAATCCCCACGTGTCAAGGGTAGAACCAGGTGGAGATGATTGAATCATGGAGGCAGTTTCTCCCATGCTGTTCTCCTGATGGTAAGTTCTCACCATGTCTGATAGTTTTATAAGGGGCTTTCCCCTTCACTTGGCTGTTCTCTCTCCTGCTGCCCTGTGAAGAGGTGCCTTCCACCATGATTTCAAGTTTCCTGAGGCCTCCCCAGACATGTAGAACTGGGAGTCAGTTAAACCTCTTTCCTTTATAAATTATGCAGTCTCTGGTATTTCTTCACAGTAGCGTGAGAATGGACAAATACATAAGGAGAGAGTATTTTCCTCATTGTACACTCAGAGATATTGTACCTGGCATGTTACAGTGCAGATTTTATTCCACGGAGGTGCTTTGAACTAATCTGAGTTTTCTTTGCAGTTATTGATTGGTAAACAGTTATTTAAATTTTTTTTTTTTTTTCGAGAAGGATTCTTGCTCTGTCACCCAGGCTGTGGTGTGATCTTGGCTCACTGCAACCTCCATCACCCGGGTTCGCAGTGTTGAACAGGCTGGTCTCGAACTCCTGACCTCAAGTGATCCACTTGCCTCGGCCTTCCAAAATGCTAGGATTACAGGCATGAGCCACAATGCCTGGCCTAAATTTGGTTTTATTCTCCTGTATATGTTTTTCCTTTGATTACTGTATTTTTAGTTTAATTGCACTTATAAAAATTTTATTTTTATTTTTATTTTTTGAGACGGGATCTCACTGTGTTGCTCAGGCTGAAGTGCGGTGGTACAGGCTCACTGCAGCCTTGACCTCCTAGGCTCAAGTGATTCTCCCACCTCAGCCCCCTGAATAGCTGGGACTATAGGCACATACCACCCCACCTGGTTAAATTAAAAAAAAAATTTTTTTAGGGATTACATCTCTTTTGTTGCCCAGGCAGATTTCAGACTCCTGGGCTCAAAGCAATTCTCCCGCCTCAGCCTCCCAAAGTGCTGGGATAACAGATGTGAGCCAGCAGGTCCAGCCTAATTGCACTTTTAAGTCTTAGACTGAAAACTTTATGAAATCCTATCTTCATCACTATATGTCTTGTTTTCTGTTTTATTTTGTTCTTTCATTGACCCTGATATTTGGAAAAATTCTAATGCTTTTATAAGTTCTTTGATCTAATTGTTTCAAGTCTTCTGTTTCCTGAAATTATTAACTATCTTTAAAGAGAAAAGTCATCTTGGCTATATGCTGTGGTTGTCAAGGTGGCGTCAGCTCTGAGCAAATATTTTTCCAAGCTTGCAAGCTTGAGTATTCTCAAGTCTGAGGTCATGCTCATCTATTTATATTTAAATATTTATTCTTTCTTCCTGGCAGTATATGAAATATTTTTATTTTTATTTATTATTATTATTTTTTTGAGACAGAGTCTTGCTGTGTCGCCCAGGCTGGAGTGCAGTGGTGCAATCTCGGCTTACTGCAACCTCCACCTCTCAAGTTCAAGCAATTCTCCTGCCTCAGCCTCCCGAGTAGCTGGGACTACAGGCGCCCGCCACTAAGCCCAGCTCATTTTTTTTGTATTTTGTTGTAGAGGTGAGGTTTCACTGTGTTAGCCAGGATGGTCTCGATCTCTGACCTCGTGATGCGCCCACCTCGGCCTCAAAGTGCTGGGATTATAGGCGTGAGCCACCACGCCTGGCGAAATATTTTTATTTTTATCCTTTAAAAATTTTTCTCTTAAAGCTTTTTTTTTTCTTTTTTTTTTTTTTTGTGAGTTAGAGTCTTGCTCTATCACTGTTGGAGTGCAAGTGGCATGATCTCAGTTCACTGCAACGTCCACCTCCCATGTTCAGGCGATTCTCGCCTCAGCCTATCATGTAGCTAGGATTACAGGTGTGCACCACCACGCCCAGCTAATTTTTGTATTTTTGGTAGAGGTGGGGTTTCACTGTGTTAGCCAGGATGGTCTCAAATTCCTTACCTCAGGTGATCCGCCCACTTCAGCCTCTCAAAGTGCTGGGATTATAGGCATGAGCCACCGCACCTGGCCGGTGTTGTTTTTTAAAATCATTTTTTTTCTCATTTAAAGTATTTGCTTTTAACATATTTCTGTCCTGGTACAGTGGCTCATGCCTGTAGTCATAGCACTTGAGGAGGCTGAGGGGGAAGATTGCTTGAGGCAGGAGTTTGAGACCACCCTGGGCAAAATAGCAAGACCCCTGTCTTTAAAAATAAAATTAAAAGTTAGCTGTGTGCCTGTAGTCCTAGCTACTAGGGAGGCTGAGTTGGGAGGATTGCTTGAGCCCAAGAGTGTGAGGTTACAGTGAGGTGTGATTGTGCCACTGCACTCCAGTCTGGGTGCAGAGTGAGACCCTGTCTCTAAAAACAAAAATAAACATGTTTCTTATTACTTGAAATGTTTGGCTGCAGTTTAAGAGCTGGCCATTTTGGGTCATTTCTCTGAATCTCTGAATTTCTCTGAATCTCCTGCTGGTTTGTTTTTCTTTTTCCTGAGAGTGAGTATTTGTATGAGGGTGTTGGTTGTTTTTAAGATAAAATTTTTGATTTTGGTAGCTAGAGAGACATAGGTATAAAAATTTAGAACTGGAAGAGACTGTAGAAGTCATATATTCTAATATATTTGAATTACAGATGGGTAAATGATACTTGGGTAGTTGAAACAAGTTGATTATGGACCCATAGCTTAGCAGTAGATGTATGGGGAGAAAAAGTAGTTATTTTTTCCTCATCCATTGCTAGGTTCATGGCTGAGACCACTACAGCAAAGGGCAGATTAGTGAGAAGAACATACAAATTTATTTAAGTTTTATGTGACATGGAGCCTTCAGAAATGAAGACCCAAATCAACAGGGAAACTTATGTAATTTTATGGGTTAGGTTTGATGGAGAGTGGACAGCGTGTAGAAGTCTGATGGACAGAGGGAGAATGATCTAATGATAATAACCTGGGGGGAACTTAGCAAGGCTTGTTTGGTCATAGTCTTCTCAATGTCCCTGTGTCTTCAGAGATAAGGACATTCCTTTCCTCTGAGTAAAGGGAGGGTACCTCTGGAATGAGGGTCTTATAACCTACTTCAGAGAAGAAGATGAGATAATTCTTCTATGGTCTGCTTCAGAGGAGAAGGGCTGGAGAAGGTCAGAGAGACCTCTTTGCTTCTGCTGTTTCCTCAAATGCCAAGGTGCTGTATTTTGGACTAGTGTGCCCTGAACCCAGTCTTAGAGCACAGAAAGACTAGAATCTAACCCATTTTTCTAGATTTAGTTTCTAGTTATTTTTTGTTAGTGCCTATTTTTTGCTTTTGGTAGTATTATTACATCATTGAGCATTTATGTGCCAACATTTCTGTAAACTTTATCTCATTTAATTCTTAGCTGATAAATGATGAAAACAGTTTTCAGAACAAGGCATATAACTCCAAAAATTACACTCTTAACTGTTGTGCTTTAGTGGTAGAATGGTTTAGGGATTGGGTGCTTGTGTGTCAGACACATTATCCTACTACTTCATTTAATCCTCAGAACTGCTCTAAGAGCTGAACATACTCTCTGGCTTTACAGACAAGGACATTTGGCTAAGAGAGATTGTCTTCTGCCTTCAGACCACACAGCTAGTAGGTTGCAGAGCTTGATTGTAAGTTTTGTTGTTTCCCAATTCTCTGCTACATCTGAGGGGAGATATCCCTCATTGATATTCCGGTCTTCCCAAAGCCTTCATGATAATATGATAAGAGAAAAAAGCAAATGTATACATGCAGCCATAAAAAAGAACAAAATCATGTCCTTTGCAGCAACATGGATGCAGCTGAAGGCCATTATCCTAAGTGAATTAATGCAGGAACAGAAAACCAAATACCCTGTGTTCTCACTTATAAGTGGGAGCTGAGCATTGAGTACAAATGGACATAAAGGTGGGAATAATAGACACTGGGAACTATTAGAGGGGAAGGAATGGGGGGGGCAAGGGTTGAAAAACCTGTTGGGCACCGTGCTTACTACCTGAGTGACAGGATTATTCGTACCCCAAACCTTAGTGACACACAATTTACCCATGTGACAAATCTGCACATGTACCCCCTGAACTTAAAAGTTGAAAAAATATATATATAACATATACAATTCACTTTATTAAAGGTTAATAAATATAACTGATTTATTTTTAGGCTAGTCTTCGTGTACTATTTTTGTGCCTTTCTCAGATATTTTGTGGACTTGAGTCTGAAGTAAATATTTATAAAGGGAAAGTAGATAACTGCTATTACCAGGAAAATACTTATTCAAAAAAAAAGGATATTTAAGAGATAATTAGAATGACTTTACTGACCTTGTTTTCTTACACTAATAATTCATGAAGCATTTAGATTTTCTGATTGAGTGTTTTCTGTGACAATATCAGTCAGAGATGTAATCATTTATAAACATGCTGTTAATGGCATGGACTCTGGTGTCAGTCTGTGTGGGTTTAGATCCTCTGTTAAATTTCTGATTTTGGTAGCTTGACATAGGTATAAAAAAATTTACAACCTGAAGAGACCTTAGAAATAATGTATTCCTGGGCAAGTTATTCATTCGCTATGTGTCCCTTTTCTCACCAGTAAAATAGGTATGCTAATAATACCTACCTCATAGAGTTATGAGAATTAAGGAATTATTACATGTAAAATTCTCAGCTAGTGCATGATTAATGGTAAGTACTCAAAAAGTTATAGCTGTTATTGTTTTTTAAACATTATTTTTTAACATTTTTATTGGTTGAAATAGGTTTCAGACAATTGTAAATAAATTTTAAAAAATTAAAAAATGTTAAGGCTGAGAGAATTTTGAGACCTTAATACAAGGTAGTATATTGTATCAGGCTTGTTCTGTGCCTAGGCTTAATTACCAGATTTCTGTGCTTCTGGACTTATAATGTATAGTTGTCGTTTTAATGCTAACATTCTGATTGGATACGTCCAGCACTTCACTTGGGTAAATCACAATCTTTCTTTCCTCCCTCACAAAGGACACTTTGAAATGATCCTAAAATACCTTCTTATTCAGATAGATAGAACAGCTAGTGGTAGAGGCCCTAACAAAAAAAAAAAAAAGAAAGAAAAGAATGGAGAATCAGAGGAGCTGACTTCAGAAGGTAATGGAAGGGACTGTTGTTATGTGGGCATACTGGGGATCACGACACTCCATGGACAGGCATCACTGTACAGCTGTGCCTGTTGGAAACTGGAGCTGGCAAGCTATTAGAAATTAAGACTGCATATTCTGTCTCTCTCTTTCAGGAACTGCAAGGTTTGGCATCTCTTTTTCGCTCTGTACATCTGTTCAGTTTTCCTTTCTTCCAGCTGGCTTTCTCAGTTTCAGCTTGTATGTGGAGTGTAATGGCTGCTCAGCTCCTTTATCAAGAGAATTCTCAATCTATCCTTTCGGCATTTATCCCTGCTGCTAAATGGCTGAGTTTTTTAAAAAAATTTAAATCATTTGTTTGTTTATTGAAGGGTCAGTACATTTATGTGGTTCAAAATTCAAGAGATACAGTTTGAAGTCTTCCTGCCACTCCTTTTCTTCAGCCACCCAAATTTTGGCAATCCAAATCACCAGTTCGTTGTATATACTTTCAGAGATATATTATGCATGTGTACCTGTATCCGTGTATATTCTCCCCATTCTTTTTTTTTCCCCCTAGATGGATGCTATTATATAGCTTATGTTGGACATTCTTTCATGTCAGTAAATAAAGAACTTGCTTTTTTTTTTTTTTTTAAATGGATGCATAGCATTTCATTGTGTGGATGAATTATATAATTACTTTGTTTTCAGTTTTTTGCTGTTGTAAACAGTGTCCTAGTACAAACCCTAATATGTGTCATTTTAGACATGTGCTAGTATGGCTATAGAATAAATGCCTTGAATTTGGAATTGCTTATAGAAAGGGGGTGGGGATTTCAGAATAACCATGTGTTGAATAAGCTTTTATCCACCTTTTTGTATGCTAAATCCTGTGTGCATTTGATTCTATTTCTGCACTTTATGTTCTCTTAATTTGCCTGTCAAATAATGTGCCAATATCACAGTTTTAATTATTGTACTTTTATAATGTACATGTATACATTATAATGTATAATGGTAGTTAAGGGTATAGACTTGAACTAAGCTGCCTAGCTTTGAGTCTTGTCTTTATCACTTTCTTAGCTGTGTGACCTTGGGCATGTTATTCAACATCCCTGTAATTCAATGTCCTTATTTGTAAAATAGAGATGATAATGATACCTATCTAATAGAGGGCTGATGCAAGGATTAAATTAGTTAAGCTATATAAAGTGCTTAGAAAAGTACTTAGCCTGTAGTTGGTGTTGTATAAGTATTAGGTCTTTATTTTTTTGCTGTTATTGGCAGGGCTAGTTCCTCTTCATTGTTATTTTTTCAGAATATTCCTGGCTGTTCTTGTTTGCTTACATTTTATTTTAACTTTAGAATCAGTTGGTCTGTCTAATCAGGATAGACTAGGTAATAAGTTAGTATCCACAACAACAATCCCCCTTACCCGCCCTCCCTAATCTCAGTGGATTAACACATCCAAAGTTTGTCACTTGTAATACATGTCCCATATGGATCAGGAGGTGGGTCTTACCCCCTCAGACCCCCCAAAGGAGGTGGGAGGTGGGCTATACCCATTTTTTATCACCCAGAGACCCAGGCTGACAGAGTCTTCAACCATCGTTCTAGAAAGCTGGCAGTTAGCATTGCAGAGAGAAACAGAGTAATGAGTCAAGTACTAGTGGAAACTAAAAGCCAGAAGGGATATATGTCACTTCCTTTTATATCTCACTGGCCAAAGCAAGTCATGTGGTCTCATGTAATGCCGGGGGGCATGGAGAAAGTGTAGTTTTGTTATGTGCCTGGGAGGGCAGCTGGAAATATTTGATGAAGAGTTGTAATGGGCCGGGCGCAGTGGCTTATGCCTGTAATCCCAGCACTTTGGGAGGTTGAGGTGGGCAGATCACGAGGTCAAAAGTTTGAGACCAGCCTGACCAACATGGTGAAACCCCGTCTCTACTAAAAATACAAAAATTAGCTGGGTGTGGTGGCACACACTTGTAATCCCAGCTACTCAGGAGGCTGAGGCAGGAGAATCTCTTGAACCCAGGAGGCACAGGTTGCAGTGAGCCAAGATCACGCCACTGCACTCCAGCCTGGGCGACAGAGTGAGACTCAGTCTCAAAAAAAAAAAAAAAGAAAAAGAGTTGTAATGACTTTGCTCTGCTGGTTGCTAAATATTTGGGTCACCCATTATGTTACATGCAGCACTCTGAGCCCCTTCGTTGGAGACACTACTCATGTTTCTATCTAGTAACTACATTTATCTGAAACTCTAGAATAACCGATGTACAGAGTCTATTAATCAGATTCAGAGGAGGTTTCTCTTGGTCTAGACAACTGTGAATGAAACAAATAAGTTATCAGTTGGTCTAAAACAATCATCTTAGTTTTTTTGTGTGTGTGTTTGTTTTGCTTTTTGAGACAGGGTCTTGCTCTGTCACCCAGGCTGGAGTGCAGTGGCGTGATCTTGGTTCACTGTACTCTCTGCCTCTCAGGTTCAAGCGATTCTCATGCCTCAGCCTCCCGAGTAGCTGGGATTACAGGCATGCGCCACCACCTCTGGTTAATTTTTGTATTTTTTAGTAGAGAGGGGGTTTTGCCATGTTGGCCAGGCTGTTCTTGAACTCCTGGCCTCAAGTGATCTGCCCGCCTCGGCCTCCCAAAGTGCTAGGATTACAGGTGTGAGCCACCAGACCCAGCTCATCTTAGTATTTTTGTAGGTTCCTTGCTGGGTGGGAGTAGAGATGCGGAGGGAACTTTCACTTTTAACTCTGCATATGTCTGTGTTATTTGAATATTTTTTTGCAGTGAGCAGATAGCATGTAAAAGGAAATATTTTGCCGGAGGTGGTGGCTTATGCCTATAATCCCAGCACTTTGGGAGGCAGAGGCGGGTGGATCACCTGAGGTCAGGAGTTCGAGATCAGCCTGGCCAACATGGCAAAACCCTATTTCTACTAAAAATACAAAAATTAGCTGGGCGTGATGGCGCCCACCTGTAATCCCAGCTACTCGAGAGGCTGAGGTAGGGGAATTGCTTGAACCTGGGAGGTGGAGGTTGCAGTGAGCTGAGATCAGGCCACTGTACTCCAGCCTGGGCGACAGAGCGAGAGACTCCATCTCTAAATAAATAAATAAATAAATAAATGGAAATATTTTAAAAGCCTAAAACTTTTAATCCTCACATCAGCTCTTTCTATTAGATAGGTATCATTATCATCTCCGTTTTACAAATAAGGACATTGAATTACTGGGATGTTAAATAACGTGCGCAAGGCCACACAGCCAAGGAAGTAGTAAAGAGAAGGGTCAAAGAGCCAGGCAGTTTAGCTCAAGTGTACTGCCTTAACCACCAGGCTATGCTGCCTGTTATAAAAATGCAGTATTTAAAACAGCGTGATACTGGCACGTAATTTGACAAAAGAATTCTCTTATCCCAATTTCATACTAAATGAAATAATGTATAGCATGTGGGGCCAGAGCTGGAACATGAGACCTGAGACCTAACTGTAAGCTATTGCCTACCAAGATGCCTTTCTTAATGCATGGGCTTCTTTGCATAGCTTGTTACAATAATACAAATAGAGGTTATTTTTTTTTTCTTATTTGCAGTGAACATAGCAACAAAAAAAAAAGACTGTTTACTTTGAGAAGAATGATCTTTGGGATAATAATACTTGAAAATGAGGGATGATCCAGGAAAGTTACCTGGAGAGGATGACCTCAGTGAGAGGGCAGTCTGTACTGATAGGGAGGGTGATGGTGCATACTAACTGGTTTCCAATTTGAAGATCTTTTCTGGAGTACTTAGTTGTATTTTATTTATTTTGATCACTGAGTTTTAAGGAAACAGCTTACAAAGGCAACAGAAGAGAGGAAAACCTTCATTCTTTGTGCAAGTATAAAATGTTTATTAAAACACAGAGATTTTGTTTTGACGTTAGGAAATAGAAAAAATATAAGCCATTTATATACTACATTCTTCCTTTACTTCTCTGATGGGAAATGAAAAAAATGATTTGTTCTTTTTACAAATGCAGTATGTTTTATTACGGGAAAAAATCAAGCAAAAACTAAAAACAAACCCCATACCCACTTTCCTACTGGGAGACAACAATCTAATAAAAGTTCTGGGGTGTATCCTTTTAAGCCTCTTTGATGTGTGTATCATTTTGTATTGCTAACCAAAACATATACAAAGCAATTTTTTGTTGTCATTTTTCACTCATGTATTTTGAACCTTCTAAACTGGAGATCTTAAATTGAAGGAGAAAGGGTTTTTGGTGGTTGGTTTTTGTTTTTACCTCTTTTTAGAACTTACTTCACATTTATTTCTTTTCACACTATTTAACATCCAGTACTTTTGTCTTACAATTTTTATTGTTATTTGTTTCTTCTGTTAGATTCAGTTCCTTGAAGGCGTCTGTATTCTTCATTCTGTTGAGCTCATATTAAGTTTACATGAGGACAGGACATATGTTAACAGAAGTGATTGTAGGGGAAAAAGGCAGAAGACATTTCAGCAGTTATTTCAGGGTACAGATCAATCACTGATTCACTTACAGTCCAGTGTTACTTAATTTGCTGGTGTAACCAAAAACTAAGGAAGTACACATTTGTATACAGGTATTTAGGCTCCTTTCCTATTTTTTAAGCTGAGGTAAAATATTCTTGTGATGTTAATTTTTTTATGTGACCTGTTGAACAGAACATACTCAGTCTAAGATACTGTTAACTATTGAAAACAAAAATGTGTAGGAGGACAGCAAGGCTAATTCCTTTTAAAATGTCATGAGTTAATTTCTTTTAAGAAGAGGGAAGCGTGGGTTTCCTGACTAGTTTTTAGGTGGTGATTTTTAAAAGAATAGCACTTCCATATTGTTAGCAGCTAATCTGGAAATTTGCATATTAATTGGTAATAAGCAGAAATAAGAGCCAAGATTTTCTTTTCTTTGCTGAAAAAGTATTAATAGTTACCAATTCTGTTACAGTATAGAAGACCAATAATGATATATATGTTAAATTGCATCAAATGATATTTATCCCAGTGTGCTGAGATTATTTTTTTTTTTTACTATCTTTAAATCTTTTTTTTTCTTTTGCCTCAAAAAGTGACATTTATTCAAAGAAAAAAAAATGACAAGATGTCCATCCCTTGGCTCCCTTCCCTCTCCTCTCCTGCTGTTCCTCGGACCCCTGAGATTGAGCCCTGGCTGGGGTTGGGTGGCAGGACAGCCCCTCAGATGAGGTCGGCAACATTGAGGGGCATTTCCTCAATGGAGGTGTTGTAGAGGGTCTTGATGTCTCAAAGAGTCCTTTTGTCTTCTTCTGTCACCATGTTAATAGCCACACCTTTATGGCCAAACTGTCCACCTCAACCGATTCTGTGGATATAATTTTCCCTATTGGTGGGAAGGTCATAGTTGATGACTAAAGAAACTTGCTGCATATCAATGCCTCTGACCTACGTCAAGAAAGACAACTCTTCAGCATGTGCACAAGAGGACACGCTATCCCGAAAGGAAGACTCTTGGGTATCCATGTAGGCAGCCAAGGAAGGCAGAGGAAATAACCAGCCCTGTTCCCCAAATGCCTTAGGCATGCCAGATTCTGTTCCAGGTTGCTACTTTCCTGAGAGGGGCACTGGATGTTCCCCTTGGAGAGGGAATCACCTTGGATTACTATCTTTAAATCTTAAAGGGATTTTTCTCATAGATATTCTACTTAAGTATAGACAAATAATTTAATCATCCCATAATGTATCCACCATATTTGTGGCTTGTAAAAGTTTTAAAAGTTGGGCATAAGTAGCTGATAAGTTACAAAAAGATACAAATTTCAATAAGGTAATTTTAGTTAAAGTGACAGGAAATGGGGGTGCATTTTGAATAGAAAAACACAGAACTCCAAAAACAAGACAAAAAACCATGTTATTTCCAAAGAGAACATCTCAGTTGTGCAGAAAGAATTAACATAGCAGGCCTGATTGAGACTGATATGCTTAGCGAGGTCTGCTTGCAAGGTTGGCCCTTGGCTGGCATCTAGGAACTTAGATTTGGGGAGGGTTCCTACATTTCCAGAACCAAAAAGAGTGGCCCATTGTGCCTAAGCTGTTTGTATAAACAATGTGGTTTATAGAGAACACCTTTCTTTCTGGGAGTCTGGAATTTTGCTGTGTAGTAGGCAGAGGGTGCTTATGTGATCACCCCCTAAGAAGAACCTTGGAGACAGCATTTTACACATGTTGTTTTAATTCATTGCTGGAGGAAGTAAGTATGTCTTGTGTGACTCCACTGGGAGAAGACTTGGACACTTGCGCCTGGTTTTCTCTGGACATTGCCCCATGTACCTTTTTCCTTTGCTGATTTTGCTTTATATCCCTTTGCTGTGATAAAGCACGGCCATGAGTACAACTATGTGCTGAGTTTTCTGAGTCCTCCTAGTGAATCATCAAATCTGAGGGTGTTCTTGAAGATTTCCAATACAATAGTGGATCAGATAAGTTTATAATTGGAATCTCCATGTTCATACAAAATCTCTACATGGAAGCTTTCAATGGGTAGGTAGCATTTTTTGGGTTTAAGTTGTGCCCAAATGGGGTGGGAGATAGAATATGCGAAACTAAAAGTTTGGGATCTGAAGGAGAGAAAAAAAGGCTCTTAATTTGTGACTGAAAAACTTCTGTTTAACTTTTATCTTTGTGAAACTGTACCTTGCTGTCTAGCTATCTGATAAGGTTCTGTACTGTATAGAAATATATTATTCAGGAAGGAGAACTGAAAGTGCGACAACATAAATGTAACTCAAGAAAGCATTGTGGGCCAGGCGCGGTGGCCCATGCCTCTAATCCTAGCACTTTGGGAGGCTGAGGCAGGCAGATCACCTGAGGTCAGGAGTTCAAGACCAGTCTGGCCAACATGGCAAAACCCCATCTCTACTAAAAATACAAAAATTATCCAGGTGGAGTGGTGTGCACCTATAATCCTAGCTACTCAGGAGGCTGAAGCACGAGAATCTCTTGAACCTGGGAGATGGAGGTTGCAGTGAGCCAAGGCTGTACCACTGCACTCTAGCCTGGAAGACAGAGGGAGACTCCGTCTTAAAAAAAAAAAAAAAAAAAAAAAAAGGCATTGGGGGCCAGGTGCAGTGGCTCATGCTTGTAATCCTAGCACTTTGGGAGGCTGAGGCAGGAGGATTGCTTGAGTCCAGGAATTTGAGACCAGCTTAGGCAACACAGTGAGACCCTGACTCTACCAAAAGTTAAATTTTGGCTGGCATGGAGGTACATGCCTGTAGTCCCAGCTGCTCGGGAGGCTGAGGTGAGAGGATTGCTTGAGCGCAGGAGTTCAAGGCTGCAGTGAGCCATGATTATTGCCACTGCACTCTAGCCTGGGTGACAGAGAGAGAATCTGTCTCAAAAAAAAAAAAAAAAAAGGAAAAAGTGTATGGGTTTTGGAACTAGATAGATCTATGTTAAAATTCTGGTATTAACTGTGATTGTTTAATTATTTCTTCATTTATAAAATGAGGATAATGCCTGCTGCATAGGGTGGTTTGAGAATTAAATTAGATACTGTATATAAAACTTCTACCACTATATCTTTCATATAATAACTCAAAATGTTAGAGTACATGTGCTGTGAAGATGTAGAGAGATTGGAGAAGTTTAAAGGGGGAGAAAAAGAGAGAAGGTAAAGTTTGTGTTTCTCTTCTGTTTATTGTTTGATGTGAGGTTGCATAGGAAGATTAGTAGGAGAGAAGAAACATTAAGTTTTGGAAAATGGAATTTTAAATGGATCTCCACAATCACCCACTGAGACTTTTTATAGTTTAAGAACTAGGAATATCATAAATACAAAGTCATTTAGAGGATGGAAGAGGCATAGAAACTGTTTCCATACCTTTACAGTGAGGTTGTCATGAATTATTGACACCTGTGTGTTAGTAGGTTTCAATAACTGATTTAAACACATCCAACCTCATTCCCTCATCACAAATGCTTCCAGATAATAATGGGATAATTTGCCAGGTGTGGTGGCTCACGCGTGTAATCTCAGCACTTTGGGAGGCCGAGGCGGGTGGATCACCTGAGGTCAGGAGTTCGAGACCAGGCTGGCCAACATGGCGAAACCCCCATCTCTACTAATAATACAAACATTAGCTGGGCATGGTGGTGTGTGCCTGTAATCCCAGCTACTAGGGGGGCTGAGGCAGGAGAATCGCTTGGACCTGGGAGGCAGAGGTTGCAGTGAGCCGAGATCGTGCCACTGCACTCCAGCCTGGGCAACAGAGCAAGACTCCATCTTTAAAAAAAAAAAAAAAAGGATAATTTGGATAAATTTATAGACATGATACCCTATTAGCATTCCTAGAATTCATGTTTTCATGTTTGAAAAGATAGTGGCATCTTGAAACAGAATTGTGTGTGATTCTGGTATATGTGGCTTTGTTTTTTTTTTTTTTTTTTTTTTTGGAGATGGAGTCTTGCTCTGTTGCCCAGGCTGGAGTGCAGTGGCGTGATCTCGGCTCACTGCAGCCTCTGCCCCCCTGGTTCCAGCAGTTCTCTTGCCTCAGCCTCCTGGGTAGCTGGGATTACAGGTGCCTGACACCACGCCTGGCTACTTTTAGATTTTTAGTAGAGACGGGGGTTTCACCATGTTGGCCAGGCTGGTCTCGAACTCTTGGCCTCAGGTGATCCACCTACCTTGGCCTCCCAAAGTGCTGGGATTACAGGCATGGCCACTGCGCCTGGCCTGGGTGGGTTTTTTAAAAATAACTTTTTAATCTTGAAATAGTTTCAGGATTACAGAAAAGTTGCAAGAATAGCACAAACAACTCTCATGTGCTCTTTGCCTAGATTCCCTAATTGTCAACATTTTGTCTCATTTATTTTATCGTATTCTCTCCCTCTTTACCTTTCCTTCCTTTTCCTTCTCTTTTAAACTAGGAGTGTGTATCAAAATCACCTGGAAAACTTTTTTTTTTTTTTTTTTGGCACAGGGTTTCACTCTGTCATCCAGGCTGGAGTGCAGTGGCGTGGCACAACTCGTTGCAGCTTTGACCTCCTCAGGCTCAGGGGACCGTCGCACTTCAGCCTGTCAAGTAGCCGGGACTATAGACGTGTGCCACCACGCCAGCTAATTTTTATATTTTTAGTAGAGACATGGTTTCACCATGTTTCCCAGGCTTCTCTTGAATTCCTGGACTCAAGTGATCCGCCCGCCTCAGCCTCCTAAAGTGCTAGGATTATAGGTGTGAGCCACTGTGCCCAGCAGAAAACAATTTTTTTTTTTTTTTTGAGACAGTTTCGTTCTTGTCACCCAGGCTGGAATGCAGTGGCGTGATCTCAGCTCACTGCAGCCTCTACCTCCTGGGTTTAAGCAATTCTCCTGTCTTAGCCTCCCGATTAGCTGGGACTACAGTCACATGCCACCACGCCTGGTTAATTTTTGTATTTTTAGTAGAGACAGGATTTCACCATATTGATCAAGGTAGTCTCAAACTCCTGACCTCAGGTGATCCACCCTCCTTGGCCTCCCAAAGTGTTGGGATTACAGGCGTGAGCCACCTCACCCGGCCTTTTTTTTTTAATTTTTTTTTTTTTTTTTTGAACCAAGCAGGTGTATTCTGGAAGAAAATCAGACACCCTCCCTGGTTAAGAATTAGTTAACTATAATGTATTGGTGAATTGAGTTTATAGTCTTTTGGTGGGGGTAAAAGGGCCCTCAAAGTCATAGCAGGTTTAGTTGTACAGCCTTGAAGAGTATTTGATTTGCTCTTTAGCTTTTTCAATATATATTTTTTATTATCCCTTGGGTGCCATTGTTGCTATTGAGAAACTGTCAGTATAATTGTCCTTTCTGTAGACAATCTGTCATTTCTATCTGGTGGTTAAATTTTTTTTTTTGTCTTTAGTGTCTTGCATTTTCACTGGAAAGTGACTAGGTATAGATTTCTTATTATCCTACTAGCAATTTTTTGTGCTTCCAGAAACTACAGCAGTTTTTGGAAAAGTCTCAGCAATTATATCTTCAAATATTGCCTCGTTCTCATTTTTCTTTTCTTTCCCTCTTGAATGGTATTTAGATATGTTGGACATTCTATTCTGTCCTCATGTTGCATAACTTCTGTTTGATATATTCAATTTTTGTATCACCATGCTACATTTTGTGTATTCACAGTCATCTTTAGCTGAGCTAATCTGCTATTTGATTCATCCATTGAACTAATTTCAATTATTATGTCTTTTATTTCTGCAGGTTCTGTTTGATTCTCTTTAAAATCTGGTCTTATAAAAAAATTGTGGTAAAATACATGTAACATAAAATTTACCATTTTAACCATTTGAAAATGTACAGGTCAGTGGGGTTTTTTTTTTTGTTTTTTTTTGTTTGTTTGTTTTTTAAGACTGAGTTTCACTCTTGTTGCCCAGGCTGGAGTGCAGTGGTGCTGATCTTGGCTCACTGCAACCTCTACCTCCTGGGTTCAAGCGATTCTCCTGCCTCAGCCTCCCGAGTAGCTGGGATTACAGGCACCTGCCACCACACCCGGCTAGTTTTTGTATTTCTAGTATAGATGGGGTTTCGCCATATTGGCCAGGCTGGTCCTGGAACTCCTGGACTATTCTATTCCAAGTTGCTACTTCCTGAGAGGGTCACTGGATGTCCCCCTTGGAGAAGGAATCACCTTGGATTACCATCTTTAAATCTTAAAGGGATTTTTCTCATAGGTATTCTACTTAAGTACAGACAAATAATTTAATCATCCCATAGTGTATCCACCATATTTGTGGCTTGTAAATGTTTTAAAACTTGGGCATAAGTAGCTGATAAGTTACAAAAAAGATACAAATTTCAATAAGGTAATTTTAGTTAAAGTGACAGGAAATGGGGGTGCATTTTGAATAGAAAAACACAGAACTCCAAAAACAAGACAAAAAACCATGTTATTTCCAAAGAGAACATCTCAGTTGTGCAGAAAGAATTAACATAGCAGGCCTGATTGAGACTGATATGCTTAGCGAGGTCTGCTTGCAAGGTTGGCCCTTGGCTGGCATCTAGGAACTTGGATTTGGGGAGGAACTCCTGGCCTCAAGTGATCCGTCCACCTCGGCCTGCCAAAGTGCTAGGATTACAAGCGTGAGCCATTGCTCTTTTCATACTGTTGTGTAACCATCCATCACTACCATATAACCATACATGACCACCATCCATCTCCAGAACTCTTTTCTTCTTCCAGACTGAAGCTCTGCATCTGTTAAATTATAATTCCCCGTTTTATAATTTCCTCTAGCCCTTGGCAACCACATTTTACTTTCTGCCTTTATGAGTTTGACTACTCTAGGTTCCTCATATAAATGGAATCATATAGTATTTGCCCTTTTGTAACTGGCTCATTTCATTTAACTTAATCTTCAAGGTACATCTGTGTTGTAACGTGCAGGAGAATTTCTTTTTTTTTATTTAAGGGCTGAATGATATTTAATGGTGTGTATGTAGCCCATTTTCTTTATCCACTCATCTCTTTATGGACTACTTTGATTGCTTCCACTTTTTGGCTATTGTGACTAATGCTGCAGTGAACATGGGCATGCAAGTATATCTGAGTTCCTGCTTTCAATTCTTTTGAATATATATATACAGAAGTGAAATTGTTGGATCATACAGTAATTCTATGTTTAATTTTTCTGAGGAACCACCATACTGTCTTCCATAGTGGCTTTACCATTTTATATTCCCACCAATAATGCACAAGGGTTCTAGTTTCTCCATACCCTCACCAACATTTGTTATTTTCTGTGTTCGTGTGTGTTTTAGTAATAGCCATCCTAATGGCTGTGATGTGGTATCTCACTGTTTTTTTGTTTTTTGTTTTTTTTGAGACAGAGTTTTACTGTGTTGCCCAGGCTGGAGTGCAGTGGTGCGATCTCAGCTCACTGCAACCTCAGTCTCCTGGGTCCCAGCGATTCTCTTGCCTCAGCTTCTTGAGTAGCTGGGACTACAGGAATGCACTGCCATGCCCGGGTAAGTTTTGTAGTTTTAGTAGAGATGGGGTTTCACCTTGTTGGCCAGGCTGGTCTGGAACTCCTGACCTCAGGTAATCCACCTGCCTCAGGCTCCCAAAATGCAGGGATTACAGGCGTGAGCCACCATGCCTGGCCTCTCATTGTCGTTTTGATATGCATTTCCCTAATTATTAGTGATGTTGGGCATTTTTTAACAAGTGTTTATTGGCTATTTGTGTATCTGTTTTCGAGAAATTTTTAAGTCCTTTGCCCATTTTTGAATCTGTTTGCTTTTTTGTTGTTGACTTGTTGGTCTTTGTTTTATAGTGCCATTTTCTTCTTACTATCATTACCCTCTTTTTTTCTTTAAGCATATTAAACGCAACATATTTGTTCCTGAGTAACCAGTTATTCCCAAATTTAGCAGCTTAAAACAAACAACATTTATTCTGAGTGTCAGAAATCTGAGAGTGGCTTAGCTGGGTGGTTCTAGCTCAGGGTCTCTCACAAGGTTCCAGTCATACTGCTAGCTGGAGCCCTTGTATTCTTCAGTGGATTTTAATTATTTGCAGAAATATGAAGTGTTTTGTGTGTAGAGTTTTAATATGTGTGTAAATAGTGTGTTGATACCTTAAAAATTGTTTTTTAGAAATCCTTATTCCATGTTAGCAGAAATTATATGATATGTAAAAAAATCATTTTCAAGCCTCCATCAGTAGTTTCTCAAATTTATCTTTGATAACCCCTGGCTCTTTAGGAAGCACTCTACTTAATGTTCATGATTTGATTGTTGACATTTAGTTCAGTGAAGTAGTTTAATTTCCATAAAAACTTCCTTTGCCCGTTAGGAAACTATTAAGGATGATTGATTTTTCACTTACTAAATTCGTGCTCATGTAACAAGATTCTTGAAAGAGGTTATTGTATTTGAAACACTGGAAATGGTATTTGTCAAAAAAAATGTGTTTCTACCTTGTAGGACCTTCACTGTAGTCAAAATTATGAAATTTATGAAAACTAATGTTAACTCTGTTTTGACCATGGGAAAAAAGATATTTAGGTGAGATTATAAAAAAGTGAATTTATTATGACAGAGTTTGATTAGTAAGTCAAAAAACTGTTCCTCACCAGTCCACTAGGGGATACTCCAGTACTTAGGAAGAAAATCCAGTTGTTGCTATCACTTAAAAATTTGGCCAGGATCGAGACCATCCTGGCTAACAAGGTGAAACCCTATCTCTACTAAAAAAATACAAAAAATTAGCTGGGCCACATGGTGGCGGGCGTCTGTAGTCCCAGCTACTCAGAAGGCTGAGGCAGGAGAATGGCGTGAACCTGGGAGATGGAGCTTGCAGTGAGCCGAGATCGCGCCATTGCACTCCAGCCTGGGCGACAGAGCGAGACTCCGTCTCCAAAAAAAACCAAAAAAACAAAATACAACAGCAACAAAAAATTAGGCCAGGCACGGTGGCTCACACCTGTAATCCCAGCACTTTGAGAGGCCAAGGAGGGTGGATCACTTGAGGTCAGGAGTTCAAGACTAGCTTGGTGAACATGGTGAAACCCCATCTCTACTAAAAATACAAAAAATTAGGTGGGCGTGGTCGCAGGCGCTTGTTATCCCAGCTATTTGGGAGGCTGAAGCAGGAGAATTGCTTGAACCCAGGAGGCAGAGGTTGCAAGTGAGTCAAGATTGCGCCATTGCACTCCAGCCTGAGTGACAGAATGAGACTCTGTCTCAAAAAAGAAACAAACAAACAAAAAATTAAATCCCACTTGCTTACCTGAAAAAAAAAAAAGCAGACATTTAGGGCTGGTTTGAGTTACTGATTTGACAATAATATTCACCTTTAGAAAGAGCCTAGTACATTTTTAAAGTTTAGAAATTTTGTGTGATTTCATTGGCCACTTTTTCTGGTAGTGTTGCCACAAATTGACTTCTTCGGGCACTTTAGAAAAACAGATTATTATATTTTTTTTCTTGATACATGAAAATTATGGTTCTCATTTTTTTTTGCAAGTTGTGCCCTTTTTTGGAAATTCAGAAAGGCTGATATTTGGTGTGAGTTTGTATAATTTTCTCCATCATACCATGTATGCTGTTTAAATGTTTACCTTAGAAAAGTATGAAATATGATATGACCTTTGATATAGACAACAACGCAGAAGATAATTCATTCTGTTACCAAAGATATTTTAAGAGTTTAATGTTATCTTGATTTCTTTCTAGTAATTTAAGTAGTAATTCAAATAGACATAATACAGTGTGACTTAATGCTTTAAAGAAAAATACGTGAAAAGTTCTGTACTTGAAATAGCAAAATTTTAAGAAAATAATTCAGACTCTTGTATTTATTAGGAAGAAGTTATCAGACTTAATGTTTCAGAACATACTTTGAATAACCAAAATTTATTAATTTACTTAACCTAGTTTTAAAATTTTTTCTATGTGATGTGATTGTACAGTTTTTCTGCATGCCATGTGTTTCATTCTTTTATGTCTGGCACATAAGTAATTAAAGGTTAAGTCAATTGTCAGATTTAACTCAACCTGCTTGAGTTAATTTACTTGATTTTTCTGGTACTTACAGGTACAACAAATGGGTGAATTGGTGTGCCATTATGATAACATGACTTGGAAAATGGAAATTCAGGCAGTGTGGGACAAGAACAAGGATATTTATTTGTCCAGTGAGAATAAAAGTGGTCTAGGATTTATTGAGAGTTTGTTGTAATTCGAGCTTGAGTGATAATTTTATAGGATGTTATGGAGATAACAGTGTTGGTGGAAGGGTTTGACATTCCACATTTGACATTCTCTTATCATATTTTTTGGTTTGTCTCTGTCTCCCTAATGAAATGAAATAGGAAACAGCTAGAGAGTGGTGGGATATGAGTAGTTGTGCATTTGGATAGATTGACTAGCATGCTCAAGATGCCAGCCATATCTACCTTTGGTAGAGTGAGAGCCAAGGTATTCCTGTGGATTGTTTTTCGTAACTAAATCTGTAACTACTGAGTATAGAGTCCCTGCTATATACGTGACTAACCAAGGAGTGAAATATGATTGGTTCAAATATTTTGTTATATTTTGACTGTAGGGGAATGGTAAAATGTCACCAAGTATAAGTTACTCTTCTGCTTTATACTTTGTTTGCAATTAAATGTATTTTTCTTAAAGAGAATATAAAAGCAAAGGAAAAACCATTTGTAATGCTTTTGCTTAGGTCCAACCTTAATTTTTATATGACAGTTTCCAATTGATTGTCAGATTTTCTGTCTCATTTCAATTGAGTAATTGTTCCATCTGTCATTTAACATGACACAGACTGTTTCTTAGTAATTGTTTTGAAAACTCTTTAGTGATTTTTAAAAACCTTTACAGAGTGTTGATTATTTAAATGATAGCAGAATATGTATATATGAAGTAATTTCAGAGGCCGGACAAGGTGGCTCATGCCTGTAATCCCAGCACTTTGGGAGGCCGAAGTGGGTGGATATCACCTGAGGTAATGAGTTCAAGACCAGCCTGGACAACACGGTGAAACCCTATCTCTACTAAAAATACAAAAAATTAGCTGGGTATGGTGGCACATGCCTGTAATCCCAGCTACTTGGGAGGATGAGGCAAGAGAATCGCTTGAACCCAGGAGACAGAGGTTGCAGTGAGCCGAGATTGTGCCTTTGCACTCCAGCCTGGGCAATAAGAGCGAAACTCCGTCTCAAAAAAAAAAAAAAAAAAAAAAAAGGGATTTCATACAGAAAGATTAAGGTTCTCATACTATCATACAACATCTAATAATTTAATATAGAAGAATTGGAAAAGTATACAGCCTTATTTGATTTTGAAAATTAAGTGCAATCATCTATTACCTTATAGCTGGCAGAAATCAGTGCTTATTCTTTCTAACTTTGGGTTTATAATCCTTACCCTTTGTGATGTAGTAAGAATATAAAGTACTGGGAAGACCATTAGTCTAGTATTGGTCCATGAAGGATTTCATTACTGTCATCATTCTGGGTTTTCTTTTCTGAAAGTGACGTTCTTCCTGTGGCCTTCTTGGCAATTGAGAGGACCGCTGTTTTCAAGAGAACTGGGAGTGGCTTCCTATCTAAATAGGGACTAGCTGTGGTTAGAAGGGGAAGTGGGAAGTGGCTGGATCGCTGCCTCTACTTTTTCCTATTAAACGCTTTTTCCTCTCAACTCCATTACCAGGCCTAGGACCTTAAATTCTGGATATAATGGACCATATCCTGGAATATTGTTTTGTTATGGCAACTTTGGTGACAGAATTTCTTATAACAATGAAACATTATGTGATATTGTGAAATGTATATTTGGTCTTTATTCCGTTTCCCCGGCCAAAAAAAACCTCCTAAAATTCTAGGACTCTCACTGGTGATTAGAGCATCTTTTGTATGCTAATGAGGTGACTGGAGGCTGGGGACCCCTAGATAGCTTCAGGATGGGGACTGGTCACCTGAAAGACTGAGGAGAGGCGTGATTAGAAGGTTGGGGCTTTCATCACTCACCCCCTCACCCCCCTCCATCCCACCCCACCCCCCACGTCTCTGTGGAGGGGGGAGAGGCTGAAAGTTAACGTCATCAACGTCATCAACAATGGCCAGTGATTTAATCAACTATGCCTATGTAATGAAGCTTCCACGAAACCTAGAAGTACTGGGTTGAGACAGCTTTGGGATAGCTGAACACATGGAAGTTCCTGAAGGACTCTGCTCAGCCCCTCTTCTCCCACACCTTGCTCTGTGTATCTTTTTATTTGGTTGTTCATCTGTATCTTTTGTAATATCCTTTATAATAAATAAGTAAACGTATGTAAAGTGTTTCCCTGAGTTCCGTGAGCCACTCTTGCAAATTAGTCTAACCAAGGAGGGGGTTGTGGAAATCCCAGTTTATTGCCAATCAATCAGAAATGGCATCTGAAGTCTGGGACAGTCATGTGGGCCTGAGCCCTGGACTTGTGGAATCTGACACTATCTCTAGGTAGGTGGAATTAGAATTGAGTTAAATTGTAAGACACCCAGGCTGGGCCCGGTGGCTCACGCCTGTAATCCCAGCACTTTGGGAGGCCGAGGTGGGCAGATCACCTGAGGTCAGGAGTTCGAGACCAGCCTCAACATGGAGAAACCCCGTCTCTACTAAAAATACAAAATTAGCCCGTCATGGTGGTGCATGCCTGTAATTCCAGCTACTCAGGAGGCTGAGGCAGGAGAATTGCTTGAACCTGGAAGGCGGAGGTTGCCATGAGCCGAGATCACGCCGTTGCACTCCAGTCTGGGCAACAAGAGCAAAACTCCGTCTCAAAAAAAAAACAAAAAAAATGGTAAGACACCCAGCTTGTGCGCTTCTGTCTCTAGGTAGATAGAAGTGAGTTAAATTGTAAGACACCAGCTTGTGCACTGCTTGCTTGGTGTGTGGAGGAAATAACCCCACACATCTGGTGTTAGAAATATTGTGTTGAGTGGTGAGAGTAGGCCAAAACACTTTGGGGTTTTGTTTTTTCTATCCTCAGACTCCTCTTACCGTTTGGTAGCTGTGTCACCCTTTATGAATGAATAAATGAATGTACATAACGACTTCCTAGTGACAAGACGATTGCTAATTAAGATGTAATATGATACAAGAGTAGGGAACATTTAAGAAAGTAACATTTAACTTGTTCTCTGAGAAATTCCTGGAGAGTCTTATTAAAATACCCTAGAACAGGGCAGGGCGCGGTGGCTCATGCCTGTAATCCCAGCACTTTGGGAAGCCAAGGTGGGCGGATCACCTGAAGTCAGGAGTTTGAGATAAGCCTGGCCAACATGGTGAAACCCCGTCTCTACTAAAAATACAAAATAGCCGGCTGTGGTGGTGCATACCTGTAATCCCAGCTACTCGGGAGGCTGAGACAGGAGAATCACTTGAACCTGGGAGACGAAGGTTGCAGTGAGCCTAGATCGCACCATTGCACTCCAGCCTGGGCAACAAGAGTGAAACTCTGTCTCAAAACAACAACAATAACAACAACAAAAAACACCCGAGAACAACATGAAGATTGTCATGTTTTGGCCATTAGTGTTCCACATCATGAGAATGCAGAATTAAACTGGAAAGTTAATGTAATTCAGTCATTGTTATAACCTGTTAAATTAACATGTTACATTTTGTTTAATTTTGAAAAATTAACTCGTTAATATAGTTCAAGATTTAAGGGGTATACATTTAATCTCCCTATATTTCTCTCCCTTTAGCCTCTTCTCTAGAGGCAATCAATAGTCTCAGTTTAAATATACTTTTAACATTTATTATTTAAAGGACTTCTTTGGTGTGTATGAATAATTAAAGTTGATAACATGGATTCTAGAGTCAGACATTTTAGATTTTCATCTACTCAACAGTTACTGAGCACCTACCAGGTAGTTTCTTGGCACTGGAAATACAGCACTGAACAAATCACAGCCTTCTTGGAAATTACATTATAGTGCGTGGAGACAGGTGCTAACTAAATATTTATTTACTATACAATGTGGTGATTAGTGGTAGGAAGGAAGATAGTGCTGGGTAAAGGGAGAGAGTGATAGTAGAGGTGCTGTTTTAATTTTATTTTTTTGAGACAAGAGTCTTGCTCTGTTGTCCAGGCTGGAGTGTGGTGGTGTGATCTCGGCTTACTGCAACCTCTACCTCCCGCGTTCAAACAATTCTCCTGCCTCAGCCCCCTGAGTAGCTGGGATGACAGACGTGTGCCACCACGTCCCGCTATTTTTTTTTTTGTATTGTTAGTAGAGATAGGGTTTCGCCATATTGGCCAGGCTCATCTCCAACTCCTGCCCTTAGGTGATCTACCTAGCTTGGCTTCCCACAGTGCTGGGATTACAGGCCTGCGTCACCACGCCCAGCAGATGTGCTGTTTTAGATTGGGTGGCTGGGGAAAGCCTCTGATGGGGTAACGTTTGAGCAGAGAATTACTGAAAGAGTCAAACTTTTGGCTTTTGAGATAAAAACATTTCAGGAAGAGGACCATCAAGGGCAAAAGTCTGGAGACTGTATTTACAGTAGAGGTGTATATCCTTCCAGAATGGCAGAAGAGGCTAGACTGGCTGGAGAAGAAGGCTGAAGGAGAATGGTAGGGGATAATATATAAGAGGAAAAAGAAAGTAAAAGAATTGTGTGGGAGTAGTGATGGGGATTGCTGATGACTGGTTATGTAGGATTTGTATATCATAAGGAAGTAGGATTTTATTCTGAGTGGGATGGGAATCTTTTGGAGAGTTTATAGGGTTCAGTCTAGCTGATTTGTGGACAATAAACTCTTGGGGACAAGGGTGAAAGCAGAGAGATTAGTTATGAGTCTGAAATAGCCATAGAGTATACAACACTGTACTAGATACAGTGAGCTTTATCAAATTTAGTTAGTATTATTTCTTCCCTAGATTTGACTTTTACCCCTTGAGGAATGGAGGTAAGAAGTAAAAATGAATTCATAATGAACATTTATATTTGTAAATGATAACTTTAGGAATTACAGTTAAACTCTGGAGGGATTCAAATTTGTACAGATCCCTTATTTCAAGAAATATGGTAAAATTCCCCAAAGAAACTCCAATACCTTTTATAGTTATATTATAGCATACAATAATTTTTTTTCTTAGGCCTTCCAAAAAAGGCTGTGTTGCACAGTTTTGACAAATTAAATATTGGGTACTATTTTTTCCTCCCCATTTTGACTAGATGACATTTTGAATTTGAAACTTCTTTGGTTTCTCCAATGTATATCAAAGTGCTAGAAAGTATTTAAAAGGCAAAATCCTTAGACTTTAAGCAACCAAGTTGCTAGTGATGAAAATAAATGGAATATAAAAATGTCAACTTGGAAAATTTAAACTGACAGAATAATATGTTTGAATTTACTGGCAAACCTGCTGCATCTGGTATTGCAGAAAGGAGTGGAATGTGGGAAATCTGAAATCTGAGGATCTCAGAACTCCTAATAACTAACTGGGTGAATGAAGGCCCTTGAGTCAAAAATGAAATCACATATAAGAGAGACAAAGAGACTAGACATGGTAAAGATGTAGAAAATGGAAAACCAAGGTGGACACTGAAAAGTACACTATAAATGGTAATGGGGCCGGGCGTGGTGGCTCACAACAGTAATCCCAGCACTTTGTGGGGGCAGGTGGATCACTTGCAGTCAGGAGTTCGAGACCAGCCTGGCCAACATGACATAACCCCGTGTCTACTAAAAATACAAAAATTAGCCAAGCATGGTGGCATGCACCTGTGGTCCCAGCTACTTGGGAGGCTGAGGCCTAAGAATTGCTTGAACCTGGGAGGTGGAGGTTGCAATGAGCCTAGGTTGCACCATTGCACTCCAGCCTGAGTGACAGAACGAGACTCTGTAAATAAATAAATAGTATTGGAAGCAGAAGAGAAATGGGAAATGAAAGTTAAATGGAAAGTCCGGCATATTGACAAAACTTTAAATAAATATTTGCTGGATCCAGTCAGGTTTAAGAAAGAAGTTGAGGCCGGGCACAGTGTCTGAAGTCAGGAGTTTGAGACCAGCCTGGCCAACATGGTGAAACCCCGTCTCTACTAAAAATACAAAAAAATTAGCTGGGCATGGTGGTGGGCGCCTGTAATCCCAGCTATTTGGGAGGCTGAGGAAGGAGAATCGCTTGAACTCAGGAGGCGGAGATTTCAGTGAGCCAAGATCACGCCATTGCACTCTAGCCTGGGCAAGAAGAGCGAAACTCCCTCTCAAAACAACAACAACAACAAAAAAGAAGTTGAAATGGCTGATAAACCCAAACACACACGCTCAAAAAGAATTGTGAAATAAATTCCAAGGCTAGTATACATTACTCATTAAGTAGTTGTAGCCCAGAAGAGGGCATTGCCAATTTTTTTTTTAAGACAGCGTCTCCCTCTGTCACCCAGGCTGGAGTGCAGTGATGCCATCTCGGCTCACTGTAACCTCTGCCTCCCAGGTTCAAGCGATTCTCCTGCCTCAGCCTCCCGAGTAGCTGGGATTATAGACACGCCCCACCATACCCAGCAAATTTTTGTATTTTTAGTAGGGACAGGGTTTCGTCATGTTGTCCAGGCTGGTCTTGAACTCCTGGCCTTAAGTGATCTCCCCGCCCGGGCCTCCCAGAGTGCTGGGATTACAGGGTGAGCCACTGCGCCCGGCCCATTGCTAATTTTCTCTACTCTCAATTTCTATTAATTTGGTTTGCTTGTCTAGGCTTCCTAAAATAGGACTTATAAAAGTAGCTATTAAGTATTTCAAGTTAATGGTTTAGAAGGTAATTTTTTAAATTAAAAAAATAGTATTACAGGAGTAACTTTATCCAGGGAAAGCATTGTATATTCTTATTAATAAATTCTCATTATATATCTTCATGGGTTTTTATTATTGCTATAATCTTTATGTACAGCTACCTCTTTTTAGTCAAAAACAATATAATGCTACTTTTAACTCAAACTTACATACTTTTAATTTCTGTTTAAAATAAGAAAATGTAATATGGCATACCACACTTTGGGTCATGGAATCATAAGATGTTTGAGCTGAAATAAGTTTTTTCCTTTGTGGACACATTTAGTTTTATTATAACAAAGTGACTTATACAAAGCAACTTGTACACTTTTAACTTTTAAAACTGAGCATCATCTTTCCTTTCCAGTGAAACAAAAAAATTTTTTTTAAAAAAAACAGGGTGAAAATTACAATAGAGAATGTCAATTCCACATAAGATACTACAGGTTTTGCTGATTCTCCCATTGAGTGGCAGGGCTCAAGTCATCATTAGGAGAGAATTTATTTTAAAAGTATTACCTTAAACTGCAAGGATGTCTGTCAGACACCTCAATTTAACATGCCAAAAGAGAAGCCATGTTGTCAAAATGCCCGCTTAACCCATCCAAACATCTCAAATCCACCCTTTGCTGACCTTCTCTAACCCCATTTTTTAAAGTTTTCTTTCCCCCTTTTTAAACAAGAGAAAGTAGACAGATGCATATTGGTAAATGCTAACTGTCCATATTCACGTAGAGACACAGTGTACTGTCTGAGTCCAGTATACAGAGAAAGGAGAAAAGAAGCTAGAATTCTGTGTACTACTACACAGGGGCCTAGCACCCTCCAGCTTCCAGCAGAGTGAAGGGAGCAGGTTTTTCTTTTTTTCCGACAGAGCTAGGTGGTGGTGATTCCATACAGTTTTTGTTCAGACAGGAAGGGATAAAAATGAATTTGGAACAGAAAGGGGTAGAGACTCTTTTACCATAATACTCTGCTCAAGGTATTTACCTCCCAAATAAGTTGAGAATCATGGTGTATAGAAAAGAGACCTCAAGAACAGGGCAAGTGAGCCACAAGAGGGGGAAAAAAAAGACTGCAACTTACTCCCAGGGACTGGAGAAAATTTTAAAAAGGAAGGTTGAATCCATCAGTGTTCTATTAGTCATCTTCTCCTTCACCCTACTGTCCTTCCTTCCCTTTATCATCATCATCATCTTCTTCCTCATCCCCTTCTTCATCAATATCTTCTAATCCTTCCTCTTCCTCCTCCTCCTCCTCCTCATCTTCTCCTCCTTCTTCATCCATATCAGTCGGTAACCAAGTAGTACTGTAATGGGATGGGACAAATGTCATCTTTGATGAACTTTCCTAACATATGAGCACCTGCATCAGAATGGTCAGTAAACCAGATAAAGAAGCTCTCTGGTGCCTCATGCTGCCTCTTCCTGCTGGCTTTATTCTGTGTTTGACTTGAATGTTTCATCGCATCCTTTCCAGCTTTCCATTTGATTTCAGTGGACTTTGAAGATGGAATACCACTCTCATTCAAATGAAATTCGTTGAAGATAACTTTATTTTTAAAGGAAGGATTTTCATCAAAATAAAAGTCTATTCTGTAACCTGACTTAGTATCTTCAAATTCTGTCACTTCAACTTTGGTCAGATAATGCAGTGCGTCTTTGTCCTCCTCCCTAAGCAGTGCAGACACTTGAGGATGGTTGACAAACGTTGTAACCCCAAAACTTGGAACTTTGGCGATCAATTCTCACCTCTTCTGAAAAAGTGGCTGACAGAGTTTATTTTCTGTTCTGCTTTCAGAATCTCCTCCCTTAGTTCATTAAGCCTGTCTATTTCATTTTGTACTTCATCAATATGTTCAGTTGCTTCCTGCTGTTCTTTTTCTCTCTTCGGCAAGTCTAGAGAGGCTGATGATGTCTCTTCCAGTCTCAGAACAGGAGGTGGTCTTGGTTTCTTCTTTTGAGGTGGGCGTGGAGACTAGCATTTAGGGGCCATGCTGCTAGGAAAGTCCAAGAACCAGACCACAAGTCTCCTTGCTCATCAGGAAGAAGCTCAGAAAACTCTGAAATAATTTTAGAGTGATCTTTTCCCCTGCTCCTTAATTTTACAGATGAAGAAATGGAAACACAGTAAAATTCCCGTATCTAGTTATGGCAGAGAAAAGACCAGAACTTTGGTCTTCTGGCTTCTGGTTTAGTGCTCTACAACATTTTAACTTACGTTTGTATTATAATTTTTTTTTAATCATTTCAGTTGTACATGAACAAAAACAGGAATTATCTTTTTTTGTTAGATTGTTGCTTTGTGATTAATTGACCTGAATTGAGTGCTTTCTGCATACATAGAAAGATGCACTCTTTTTGTTGAGAAGGTTAACAGCCTTGTGATTGTCTTCCTTTAAGTGAAAATCAACCTGTACTTTCTAGGGATACATATTTATCTAAACTTTCTAATGTTTTTGTTGTTGTTGTTGTTGTTATAAATTTAAGTGGTACAAGTACAGTTTTGTTATGTCGTGGTGAAGTCTGAGCTTTTAGTGGAACCATCACCTGAATAATGTAAGTTGTACGCATTAAGTAATTTCTCATCCCTCACCTCCCGCCCCACCCACTGAGTCTCCAGTGTCCTATTCTACACTCTGTGTCCATGTGTACACATTATTTAGCTTCCACTTGTGAGAACATGCAGTTCTCTATTTGGGAGGCTGAGTAGGAGATCATTTGAGCCCAGGAGATCGAGGCTGCAGTGAGCCGTGATCTTGCCACTGCACTCTGGCCTGGGTGACAGAGTGAGACACTGTCTCAAAAACAAAAACAAAAAACTTAGCTATTTGTTAAATCAAGAGCCCCAGTGATTCTTACCAGCAATACTATGACAATCCACTTCCAGTTTTCTGTACCTCAAAAAAAATGCTGATATCCTAAAATATTCCTAGTATCCTAAAATATTCCATAAATCAGATATCCTACAAAGCCAAACTGGTCCTTCTTGTTAAAATTAATAAGATTCTATAAGCTGTTAACCAAAAAAGTTTCCACTAACACTGCATACTTAACTCTCCTAAATAAATTTAAATATGCAAAATGTTAATTCAAATCAAAATAATAATAAACACAACCATAAAGCTAGCAATTAAGATTAAAAGGTTTATGAGTGTCTATTAAAGGATAAATGGATAAAGAAAATGTGATATCTGTATACAATGGAATACTATTCAGCTATAAAAATGAATGAAATCATGTCTTTTTGTGGCAACGTGGATGGAACTGGAAGCCATTATCTTAAGTGAAACAGCTCAGAAACAGAAAGTCAAATATGCTGGAAGATCTTCTCTGATTACTTTAATTTTCTAAGCCAGGTCATTGGCTTAGTAAGAAAGGAAGCTATTAGGAGTTTGAAAAGAGAGGAGAGCATATAATTGTCTAGAAAGTGGGAAAGTGAATGGACTAGAGAAATACAGTATGATCACCAGGCAGTGTTAAGGGCTCATTTGAGGCTAAAGGTTCTGAGTTAAAAGTGAGGCCAGTCAGCTTGGTTTTGTGCTTTTTTTTCTCCAGCCACCTTCACTTTAGGAGTAGGAGAATAGTTGAATTTACCCAGCTTGTGGTTCTGCAAAGTGAGTATGTCCAAGTGAGAGAGGAGCAAGTGATTATAATGATGGACCATGGAACTTAAGCTGGTAAGGAGGGAAGAGAGGACTTCACAGGGTGAGAAACAGTGAAAAGATAGTTTGAAGATAGGCTGGGTGCGGTGGCTCACGCCTGTAATTCCCAGCACTTTGGGAGGCTGAGGCAGGCGGGTCATGAGGTCAGGAGATCAAGACCATCCTGGCCAACATGGTGAAACCCTGTCTCTACTAAAAATACAAAAAAAAAAAAAAAAAAAAAAATAGCCGGGCCTGGTGACACGTGACTATAGTCCCGGCTACTCAGGAGGTTGAGGCAGGATAATTGCTTGAACCTGGGAGGCAGAAGTTGCAGTGAGCCGAGATCATGCCATTGCATTCCAGCCGGGGCAATAGAGTGAGACTCTGTCTCAAAAATAAAAATAAAATAAAATAAAAATTAAAAAAAGATAGTTCAAAGATAGCGGTCAGTAGATGGGAGATCTGGTGGGGTCACAAGATTATATGAATTCGTGTATTAGAAAGAATGAGCTGGAAATATAAAACATGGTATTCAAAAAGAGTTGCATGAAATTGAGATTATTGACAGGGTGCATTAGAGTGTGCTGAGTTAGGGTTACATTTAGCTCTTTGCTTTTCACAGCAGCACCATGATATAGATAGTGTAAGCATCATTAAGCATGTTTCATAAATGAGAAAACTGAAGCTCAGCGAGGTTGGGCAGTTTTCCCAAGGTCACAAAGCTGCTGATAGGCTAGTTATTTAGGACTCAGATCCCATTACTCTGATTCTCAATACTCACTCCTCTACCATACTATATCAGTTTTCTGAAAGTTAGTAACTTATTTCCCTATCTTTGCACCTAGATTGCAATCTCAAGTTGAAACTTTTGACAAATATACATTACCAAAATTATTTTCCTCTTCAGAAATCTTCAGACTCTAATCTTAGGGCAATGTTGGAGGGGTTTACTGCCACTATTTTTACCTAGCTGATCTTATTGAAAACACACATATATTAGAGGCTTAAATATGATAGTTTTGTTTAAACTCCGTTTCATAATGGGGCTTAAGGTGGGTGGAAGATGGAACAAGAAGGAATGTACTGTTCTTTCAGCAGCATGCCTGGACAGACAGCTGTACTGTTAGAATGTGTCCAAATCCATGTGTGTTCTTTTTGGTGGCAGTTTGCACCATTGCAAGTCTAAAGGATAGTTGGTTATTGGATGTTGTCCATTTGGGATATGATTCTCTTCTTTCCCCCAATGAAATAATTATCACGCTTTTTGCATTTTTGCACATTTAGCTTTGTGGTAGGGGGCGGACTTGGAAGAATTCTTTAAATGTGAAGGAAGAATGGGGGAATTATTATTAAGTATACTCTGAACTGATCTTTATCATTTTAAATGACAGAATAGAAAAATGTTTCACCTAAATTTCAGATGGTTTTTTTCTTTTAAAAATTATTTTAAATTGTGATAAAATAAACACAACATAAAATTTACTTTGTTATCAGATGTTTTAATATCCTCTATTATTTTGTTGGTATAATGTTCTGTTTAAAATATGAATAGTTCCCTGGAGGTGACCCTTATGCACCTTGGCCACGGGAACTCTCTTTCTTCTCTGTTACTTTTCTGTTTCCTACCTGCTACTGGTACTGGACCTTTTTATTCCACTAGTGAAGTCTGATGATAGAACATGGGGGTAGAGAGGTGGTAGGCCTTAGCAGCAGAGTCTCATTCAGTATCTGTGAAACATGGGACATATCAGCTCCTTCCTCTCCTCTAGAACCTTCGTGGCAGCTCCTCAGAGGGAACGTATAAGAAAGCCTGAGTCAGGGTATATACAACTCTGATCTTATTGCTTCCTTGCTTACCAGCTTTTATTGATTTCTTACCATCTTCAGAGTGAGGTCCCAACTCCTTAACAGAGCATCCAAAGCTTTCATAATTTGGTGCATTCCCAATCTCATACATGCTCCTGAGGCTGTAGCCATACTAAAGTACAGGTGGGCCTGTAAATATAGCCTGTCCTTGGCATACAGTAGGTGGTCCAGAAGTATTTCCCCCCTTTTTTTTTTTGTTTTTTTAAGACAGGGTCTCACTCTGTCACCCAGGCTGGAGTGCAGTACCCAGGCTGGAGTGCATGGCTCACTGCAGCCTCAACCTCCCTAGGCTCAAGTGATCCTCCCACCTCAGCCTCCCAGGTAGCTTGGATGACAGGCGTGTGCCACCAACACCTGGCTAATTTTTTTTTTTTTTTGTATTTTTAGTAGAGACAGGGTTTCGCCATGTTGTGCAGGCTGGTCTTGAACCCCTGACCTCAAGTCATCCCCCTGCCTCGCCCTTCCAAAGTCCTGGGATTACAAGCATGAGCCACTATGCCCAGCCAAGACATATTTCTTGAATGAAAGAATATAGTATTAATATATATCACAGTTGTACTATTTTACATGCTAACTTGCTTTTATTCAGTGGCTAACTCTTGAGTTTCCTTTAAGACTCAGGCCAAGAGTCCTCTTTCAAGAGGGCTTCTCTGCGTTTTGTGTATCCTAGTAGACACTCTTGCTCTATGATACCAAAAACATTCAGGCCATATCTCTGTATTATAATAGCTGATTTACTTTTTTGTTTTTCCCGTATTAGTACATGAGGTTCTTGAGGGCCAGGGACCATGTCTTATTTTTACCTTAGTACCCCCTAACTCTGGGCCTGTTCTTCCTAGGTACTTTCTATTACAAAAAAAAAACCCTTTAAGATAGCTGTTGCTCTTGTTTCCTAATATTTACATTATATAACATTATATATTGAATATCTCGGCTTTTAAATTTTATTTTTTTGCCTTTTCAAGGTCAAAATTGCTTAGACACTTGACTTGTGAAATAATCAGTATTCCAATGAGTATAAATCATGACAGTCATAATTAGTATAATGTGATTGCCTATTATGGGATTGGGACGTTGGGTAGGAAGCTTAGAATTGCAGAGTTAATCCTCATGTGGAGGAATTATCTGAGCACTTTAAATAATTGGACAACATTATATAAGCCTTACCCTTTTAGGTCTGAGTTTTGCACATTTTAAACTGGTGACTCATTAAATTGTATTCCTGCTTAGGATGTAACTGTTGTTAATGTAGTTGTGTTTCCTAATTTCCACTGTTTTATCAATGCTCCTTTTCTTTTATACTCTGATGTCAAAAGTTATGTAATCTGGGTATTCCTCAGATTTAATGACTTGGTCAGTGGGTATTAACATTATTTGTTCCTATAAGAAGGCTTTATTTTAGATGTTCTTCCTTTTCTTGAGACAGGGTCTTGCTCTGTTGCCCAGGCTGGAGTGCAGTGGTGTGATCATGGCTCCTCAACTCACTGCAACCTCCACATCCCGGGTTCAAGCAATTCTCCTACTTCAGCCTCCCGAGTAGCTGGGATTACAGGCACCCCCCCCAGCCCACCACACTCAGCTAATTTTTGTATTTTTAGTAGAGGCGGGGTTTCACCATGTTGGCCAGACTTGTCTTGAACTCCTGGCCTCAAGTGATCCACCTGCCTTGGCCTCCCAAAGTGCTGGAATTACAGGCATGAGCCACCATGCCCGCCCGATGTTCTTACTTTTTAAAGTCCAGATCTTGATACTTTTGCCATAAGTTTTTATTCTCTCTGTTCCTAATTTTAGTTATAAGGTCATTTAGTTGAAACAGTGGACGAGGAAACTATAAGCTTACTAAAAATGCCTTGGGTTTCTGGAGCATGAATCTGCATACTCTAAAGATTTCTTACACAAATAATTTTTTTTTTTTTTTTTTTGAGGCAGAGTCTTGCTCTGTCACCCAGTCTGGAATGCAGTGGCGGGATCTCGGCTCACTGCCACCTCTGCCTTCTGGGTTCAAGCAAGCAATCCTCTTACCTTAGCCTCTCAAGTAGCTGGGACTGCAGGTGCATGCCACCACACCCAGCTAATTGTTGTATTTTTAGTGCAGACAGGGTTTCACCATGTTGACCAGGCTGGTCTGGAACTCTTTACGTCAAGTGATCTATCCGCCTCAGCCTCCCAAAGTGCTGGGATTACAGGCATGAGCTACTGTACCTGGTCACTACAAGCTTTAATATAGTTGTTACTTTCAGTAGAATTTTGGCATGTTGGAACTTGAACCTTTTATTTCCAAAATTTGTGTATTCCATTTTATGTAATTATATCCCTGCAGAAATATTAGTATAGGCATATTTACATAGCACCTTAAATACATAGCAGAATGTTTTATACATACAATGAGTAGGGAGACCAGAGTCTTGGATCCCGTATTGTGGGTATTCTATTAGAAGTCTGTGATGCCCAAATGGACCATAATTCATTACGGAAAAGAAATTTTAATAGCAATTTTTCCCTTGGTTACTGATGACTGAGGTATGAGAAGTTCTTATTCTCCAACCAAAAAGCTACTTTTATACTGGTTTCATAACCTCTTAATACATAGTCTAACTTTGCAGAAAAGGACTGTCCACTTTTTATTCTTAAATATTTTAAAAGTTGATTTTACCACCTGTGGTTTCCCAGATAGTCCCTGAAATACTAGATTTACAAAAGAGGTAACTGTTTTACCACCTCCAATTAAATGAATTAATTGTTATCAAATTAAATGAATTAATTGTGGTTAAATCCCAGGTTCCTTAATCTACTGTTTCTTGAAGTTTTGTTGGATAAGGAAGGAAACAGTAGTAACAACTGACTGCCCTTCTGAATTCTGCTGTTAGTCCTAGGGCAAGATGCTCCCAGAAACAATCTCCCTGAGGATGACTGTAGTTGGAGGGGGATGGTATGCCACGACTATTCTTGGAACTTGACTTGGCTGTTTCTGTGCCTCTTTGGCAGAGGCCAGAAGGGCTGGGTTGAATCTCGGGGCATCTTTGGAATAATCAGGATGCTTAGTATAGCAGCCTGGCTTGCAACTAGGGTTCAGTGGTCTTGACAGTGTTTGTTGGCTTGTTTTTTTGTTTATTTCTCACATTGTTTTTAATCCCTGTTCTTCTTGTCAGAAATAGGAACCTGCTCCTCACTTGCTCATCTCTCCTAGGCTAGGGTGTTAAATTAAGTCTTTCTCTTCTATTGATTCATTCACTCTCTTAAGTGTTGGACATCAAAAGCAAGGTTTTATTTCAAAAAAGAAGTGTACCTCTTTATAGTTTTCTTAGGATAAGAAAATGTAACAACACTTGGCCGTGTGTGTTGGCTCATGCCTATAATCCCAGCACTTTGGGAGGCCGAGGTGGGCAGATCACCTGAGATCAGGAGTTCGAGACCAGCCTGACCAACATGGCAAAACCCCATCTCTACTAAAAATACAAAAATTAGCCAAGCATGGTGGCGGGCACCTGTAATCCCAGCTACTTGGGAGGCTGAGGCAGGAGAATTGCTTGAACCTGTGAAGCGGAGGTTGCAGTGAGCCAAGATGGCACCTCTGCCCTCCAGCCTGGGTGACAGAATGAGAATCTGTCTGGAAAAAAAAAAGAATATGTAACAACACTAAAAACAAATGCTGACTGCTGCTAATAAAAGCCATATTATTTTTGTTTTCTTGAATAGCACTTGAATATGCCAGATATTTGCCTTCAGCTCCCAAAGTGAGATAATCTTAAATAGAACTTTATAACAGCCTTTTATGCATATAGTTAAAAAGGAGTGATTGATTTTGATCAATTTCTTAGAAACTTTTTAAACATTTTTTGTGGGTACATAGTGTATATATTTATGGGGTATATAGGATATTTTAATACAGGAATACAATGTATAATAGAGTATCCTGTTAAACATTGGGAAAATGGGGTATCTATCACCTCAAGCATTTATTCTTTGTGTTGAAAACAATCCAGTTATACTCTTTTAGTTATTTCAAAATGTATGGTTAAATTATTATTAACTAGAGTCACCCTGTTGTGCTATCAAATACTAGATCTTATTTATTCTATTTTTCTGTACCCATTAACCATCCCCACCCTCCCACCGCCCTCACTAACGAACTTGTGACTGTAGAGACTGTGGTAAGAATGTGTCTACTTGGCCAGGTATGGTGTCTCACACTTGTAATCCCAGCACTTTGGGAGGCCGAGGCAGGCGGGTCACTTGAGGTCAGGAGTTGAGACTAGCCTGGCCAACATGGTGAAAACCCGTGTCTACTAAAAATACAAAAATTAGCCGGGCGTGGTGGCACACACCTGTAATCCCAGCTACTTGGGAGGCTGAGGCAGGAGAATTGCTTGAGCCCGGGAGACAGAGGTTGTAGTGAGCCAAGATCGTACCACTGTATTCCAGCCTGGCCGACAGAAGGAGCCCTCGTACACCCCTCCTCAAAAAAAAAAAAAAAAAGAAGAATGTGTCTACTTGTCTAGCAGTCTAGCATGCAGTCTTCTTTGTTAATTTGCTTCATCATTCCCTTTCATCAGCCTTTAGTCTCACTGCCTAGGGCATGAGCTCACATCCTCATTTGTTAGACTTACAAGACAGTGACATGCCAGACAGTAGTAAAACCTCCCTAGGATATCTGTCTGCTAAGAGACTAAAATTAAGAGCTAGATATTTTCTCCCTTAAGGACATCCATTTAAGGACAGTGGTTCCCCCACTATCCTACCCCGAAAGTAGCTCATTTATTTCATTTAGGTAACTTCAGACTTGTCTGTTGTAATATTCTAATTAAGTCTTCAGATGTTAACTAAGCTTTTATTATTGTGAAACATTCTTGGCAATGGAAGTCTGGTCTCTGCCAGTTCCAAGTGACTGGTGGTGGCTTTTCTGTTCTGGGCAGGGCAGGGAACAGAGGACCCATTCAAGGGGACCAGGGAAAAGGGTAAAGGAGCTAGCTGAACAACTGTCAGCCTGGTCTAACATCTTGCCTCTCTTTATTTTCTCTCTCTGGCATTGACATCCTATTGCTATTGTGGCTATGTTTGGTACCTTACCCATTTCTGCTAAAAACATAACTAACTCATCTTTTCTCCTGGTTTCGAAATAAAAAGTGCTCTAAGAAATTTCAGCTGGGCATAGTGGCTCATGCCTGTAATCCTAGTACTTTGGGAGGATGAAGCAAAAGGATTGCTTGAGGCCAGGAGTTCAGGATCAGCCTGGGCAACATAGCAAGACCTAGTCTGTATTTTAAAATACTATTTTTTTAAAAAAACTAAGAATTCCATGGGGGAAAGACACTAAAAGATCAGGGGATAAGCACCCTTTTATATTTCTCTACTTTCTCCTTTTTGCTTAGAACCAATAGAATTATTATTATTATTATTATTATTTTTTTTATTTTATTTTTTTTTTTTTGAGACAGAGTCTCTGCTCTGTCACCCAGGCTGGAGTGCAGTGGCACGATCTGGCCTCACTGCAACCTCCACCTCCCAGGTTCAAGTGATTCTCCTGCGTCAGCCTTCTGAGTACCTGGGATTACAGGTGCGTGCCAACACTTTGAGGTCTCAAACTCCTGACCTCAAGTGATCAGCCCACCTCAACCTCCCAAAGGGCTGGGATTATAGGTGTAAGCCACTGTGCTCAGCCCCAGTAGAAAATTTGAGGAGTATAAAAAAGTTGTAGAAGGTTTTAAGACTGCGCCTGGGCTGAAGTAATATGAAGTAGTAGTCATTCATATATACATACATACATATATATGTATATATATGTATACACACACATATATATATTTCAAAGTATTAGCCTCCCGAGTAGCTGGGGTTACAGGCATGTGCCACCACGCCCGGCTAATTTTTTGTAGTTTTAGTAGAGATGGAGTTTCTCCATGTTGGTCAGGCTGGTCTCGAACTCCCGACCTCAGGTGGTCTGCCTGCCTTGGCCTCCCAAAGTGCTGGGATTACAGGTGTGAGCCACCAGGCCCCAGCCTTACCAGTATATTTGAAACCTTTTTTTTTTTTTTATTGGAGACAGAGTCTTGCTCTTTCGCCCAGGCTGGAGTGCAGTGGCACGATCTCGGCTCACTGCAGCCTCCACCTCTTGGGTTCAAGTGATTCTTCTGCCTCAGCCTCCTGAGTAGCTGGGACTACATGCACACACCACCACGCCCAGCTACTTTTTGTATTTTTAGTAGAGACAGAGTTTCACCATGTTGGTGAGGATGGTCTTGATCTCCTGACCTTGTGATCCGCCCACCTCGGCCTCCCAAAATGCTGGGATTAAAGGCGTGAGCCACCGCACCCGGCCAGAAACCATTTTCTTTTTCTTGCAAGTAACAATATCATACTTCAGGGTTTTCTTGAGAAGGTAGGTGGCATTGTAATTATTCCTTTAAAAAATTTTTATGTTTTGCTTTTATATAGTCACATCCAGTCAGTGTTCAAATCTCATTCTTTTTCAGCTTTTTAAATTAATATCCAGGTAAGATCTACACATCACAATGATACATTTAATAATTGATATAATACTTAATAATATGTCCAATGGAATTGATCCGTTATCTTAAGTCTCTTTTGATCTGTAGATTCTCTGCCTAAAATAATTAGCTTGGTATTGTTTGGGGCAAAGTAAATTATTATTCTAAAAACCTATTAAAAGCCTTTCTGGCTGGGCATGGTGGCTCTCACTTGTAATCCCAGCACTTTGGGAGGCCAAGGTGGGCGGATCACGAGGTCAGGAGATCGAGACTATCCTGGCCAACATGGTGAAACCCCCTCTCTACCAAAAATACAGGCGTGGCGGCACGTGCCTGTAATCCCAGCTGCTAGAGAGGCTGAGGCAGGAGAATTGCTTGAACCAGGGAGATGGAGGTTGCAGTGAGCTGAGATCGTGCCATTGCACTCCAGCCTGGTGACAGAGCAAGATTCCGTCTCAAAAAAAAAAAAAAAAAAAAAAATTACAGCCTTTCTAACTTTAATGTTTGTGGCTATGTTATTCTAATTGTATGAGCTATTTCCTAAAACATACTTTCAAAATACTTCTTGATAGTTTTGGAAGAATGTATGTGGAATGAAGACTTTTCTGTTAACTTACGTTTTTTTTCTGTTGTTGTTTTTTTTTTTTTGAGGCCGAGTTTCACTCTTGTCGCCCAGGCTGGAGTGCAATGGCACGATCTCCGCTCACTGCAACCTCCACCTCCCGGCTTCCAGCGATTCTCCTGCCTAAGCCTCCTGGGTAGCTGGGACTACAGGCGCCCACTACCAAGCCCAGCTAATTTTTGTATTTTTAGTAAAGACAGTGTTTTGACATATTGGCCAGGCTAGTCTCGAACTCCTGGCCTCAAGTGATCCATCCGCCTCAGCCTCTCAAAGTGCTGGGATTACAAGCGTGAGCCACTGTGCCTGGCCGAACTTATGATTTTTAATAGTTTATAAATACTCAGGGCTTACTGTATCTATGTTTTACAGTGCAAAGTACCACATAATATTCTGGGTGGACATTTGTCTAACCCTGTTAATTTAGTATCTTAAGAGATTTGCCACTTTTAGGCCATATGTATTTATAAGAGGGATAGAATAGGCTTTCTTGCATAATTTGAGGAATATCAGCAGTGTCTCCTTGCCTTCTTGTTAATGCCTAAAATTCTCTTTTCGAGGGAAATTGCTTTTATTTTAACTCTGTATCCTATGAAGATATAAATATTTCTATGGTCAGGGAGATTGAGAACCATTTTTTCTATATTAACATCTTAGTACAAGTTATTTATCAGATTATCTTTACATTCTAAGGCTCTAGAGCAGAGACCTTGCCCTGGATGAATAAACACCCTCAACCTTTAGCTCCTGTGTAGGTAAAATAAATTGAATTCATTCTCTTTCTCCTGTTACCACTCAGCAATCAAAGATAAAGTCACTTCAGTCTTTAGATTGAAAAAGACTGACTTAGAACAATGTGCATGCACATACACATTTGCGTATGTGTATATACAGAGAGTGGTAGAGGTATCATGAAGGGTTAATAGATAGTAGGACAAATTCAGCAAGAGATCAGTAAAGGAGGGTGCCTGCCAATCAAGGCCTCCTTTATAATCTTCCCTAGGACAAGACCTAATAAGGAATTTCCTTTTCTTTAAGTGTAGCATATACCAACTTTTAATTCTAGTCTTTGCTATTTGAAAATGCTGATAATCTGTTATTTAAGATGTTTAAAGTGAATTTATTTGCTTTGTACTTTGCCATGAATTATTTTGGGCTCTAGCTCTGTGACTACCTTCAGTAAGGACAGATGTATTTATTTGTGGTATACATTGGGATTTTTTCCATTTTTTCCCCCTTTTGTTCTTGGGGAAATATTCTAATAAATAAGAAACGCCTTTGACCAATGGTTAAATGGTGGTTAGTTTTGAGTTTTTTCTCCCATCAATGATTTTATTCTTTTTCAAAAATGAAGAAATAAATTAGGCTAGAGTTTCCTGGATACATGAAAACATGGACATGAAAAGTCAGGCTAGTCATGGTGGCTCATGTCTGTAATCCCAGCACTGGGAGGCCAAGGTGGGAGGATTGCTTGAGGCAAAGGGTTTGGACAACAGAGTGAGACCCCATCTCTACAAAAACATAAAATAGTTAGCTGGGCATGGTGGCAAGTGCCTATAGTCCCAACTACTTGGGAGGCTGGGGCGGGAGGATTGCTGGAGCCTTGGAGTTTGAGGCTGCAGTAAGCCATGATCATGCCACTGTACTCCAACCTGAGCTATGATGGTGCCACTGCACTGAAGCTGGGTGACAGTGAGACCCTGTGTCTTTAAAAGTCATTCTTTGAGGTTTCACAGAGTTCCTTACAGAATTTTATTTATATTTTTTAATACCTACATGTAGCATAATTAATTACATACTATAATTTATTTCATAACAGTGTAAAATGAACTTGTTCTAGCGAAATCTCTAATGTAGATATTAAGCTCCTTGAAAGGAGAGTCTCTGTGTCTTTTGGTTTTGTATTCCCATTAGTATCTAGCTAACAGTAAAATCCTACTATAAGTGGGGTATAAAATCTGGCATATTGTTATTAATAGGTTAGTAAAATCATCAGTGTGATTTTGCACAGACGGCCAATAGTTATAAAGGCAATCACCAGTCATATCAGAACTGCAGCCTCCTGGTAAGAATAGTTGCTCAGAGTTTTTTCAGTGAATGAGGATTTCTGTTTTTATTAATTATGCTAATACAGATTATTTAAGTTCCCACTTTTCATTTAATTCTAAATACAACTACGTTGGGGATTATTATTATTTTTTTAAGAAAGGTATTATTGCCAGATGAGGTGGCTCACGCCTGTAATCCCAACATTTTGGTCAGGAGTTTGAGAGTAGCCTGGCCAACATGGTGAAACCCTGTCTCTACTAAAAAATACAAAAATTAGGCTGAGCGCAGTGGCTCCTGCCTGTAATCCCAGCATTTTGGGAGGCCGAGGCGGGCAGATCACCTGAGGTCAGGAGTTTGAGACCAGACTGGCCAACATGGTGAAACCCTGTCTCTACTAAAAATACAAAAATTAGCCAGGCATGGTGGCAGGTGCCTGTAATCCCAGCTACTCGGGAGGCTGAAGCAGGAGAATTGCTTGAACCCTGGAGGTGGAGGTTGCGGTGACCTGAGATCGTGCCACTGCACTCCAGCTGGGTGACAGAGCGAGACTCCCTCTCAAAATAAATAAATAAATACAAATACAAAAATTAGCTGGGCATGGTGACGTGGGCCTGTAATCCGAGCTACTCGGGAAGCTGAGGCAGGGGAATCGCTTTAACACGGGAGGCAGAGGTTGCAGTGAGCCTAGATTGCGCTACTGCACTCCAGCCTGGGTGACAGAATAAGAGTCTGACTCAAAAAAAAAAAAGCATTCTTTAATGTTTGGTCACAATGACTAAAATAATCTTCCTTTGTTACCAGGTTGCCATAGTTTGATTATGTCCCCCAAAGCTTGCATGTTGGAAACGTAATTGCTATTGAAAAAGTAGTAGGAGGTGGGATCTTTTTAAGAGGTAATTAGGTCATGAGGGCTCCACCCTCATGAATGGATTAATCTCATTATCATGGGGGAGTGGGTTAGTTATTTCAGAAGTTGGCTCCAGATAAAAGGATGAGTACTGTTGAGTATGCTTTCTCACCATATGATGCCTCCTGCCATGGGATGACCTTCACCAGATGTTGGTGCTATGCCCTTGGACTCCTAGTCTCTAGAACTGTGAGCCAAATAAACATGTTTTGTTGTTGTCGTTGTTGTTGTTGTTTTTTGAGACAGAATCTCTCTGTCACCCAGGCTGGAGTGCAGTGTGGTGATGATAGCTCACTGCAGCCTTAAAATCCTGGACTCAAGCTCCTGCCACTTCAGCCTCCCGAGTAGCTGGGACTATAGGCACATGTAACTCTGCCCAGCCAATTTTTTAATGTTTTATAGAGATCTCACTTTTTTGTTGTTCAGGCTGGTCTTAAACTTCTGGCCTCAACTCAGCCTCCCAAAGTATTGGGATTACAAGCATGAGTCATTGTGTCAGCCCTACATTCTTTAAAAATTACCCAATCTGTGGCATTATGTTATTGCAGTGAAAATGGATAAAGACATAGGCTTTTCTATAGAGTTGGATAGAATTAAAATTTTGTTCTTAAATAATTCAACAAGAACTACCTCAGGTTATTTCCTGTATTTGACTTTCCCCACTTATGTTTCTCATACCTGTTTAATGTCTCTTAGTCTTTTTTTTTTTTTATTTTGAGATGGGGTCTTGCTCTGTCGCCCAGGCTGGAGTGCAGTGGTTCAATCTTGGCTCACTGCAAGCTCTGCCTCCCGGGTTCATGCTATTCTCCTGCCTCAGCCTCCCGAGTAGCTGGGACTACAGGTGCCCGCCACCACGCCCAGCTAATTTTTTGTATTTTTTGTAGAGACCGGGTTTCACTGTGTTAGCCAGGATGGTCTCGATCTCCTGACCTTGTGATCTGCCCGCCTCGGCCTCCCAAAGTGCTGGCATTACAGGCGTGAGCCACCGCACCCGGCCAGTCTCTTAGTCTTCAACTGTTATTGTTTCTCATAGTGGTGGTATGCCTGGTGAAAGACTATTAAAACCCCATTTTTGGGCAAAAGGGTTTACTCCTGTTTGTGTTACACTGATATTTCATTTCTATTTTATGATTTTCATTTCTAACTCTCAACTCTCTGAAAGAATTAGGCAAGCAGAAAATGGGAGAAAATTCTAATTCTGGGGTCTTTTAACACTCTCCAATATTACTAACCATTCTGTCTAAAGATGAAGGTAGTGTCCAGATGAAATTAGACTATATCATCCTCTGTGGATATTGTGGAGAAATGCAAGTCTTGACTGCAAGGCACTGTGAGTTGCTTATCGGATATTTTTGGCATTATTTATATTAGTAAATGAACTAGAATTTCATTGAAAATTTAAAGCCTTAGAAATTGGACTACGAAGTCATGCTAGTTAGTGTCATATAGCAGTGTCCTTATTCCTTTTTTGTTCACATACTTCCTTAAAAAATTTCTGAAAGCTGTGTATGTGGGAAGAGGATGTGACTCTAAAGGGATAGCACGAGGGTCATGTATCTACTCTGTGTCCTGTACAAGCAGGTGGTGAGTCCATAAATCTGTGCATGTATTAAAATTCATAGAACTGTACACAAAAAGAAAATAGCTATCTACTCTGTTGCACATGCTTTGCAAGAGCATCTAAGAGCTTTGGGTGACATCTAAAACCTTTTTCACTACAAGTTTTAAAAAGTGCTAATTCTATCATTTTTGTTGTGTTATAAATACAGTCAGTCCTTCACATCTCCAGGTTCTGCATCTTGGTTGGATTCAGCCAAGCACAGATTGAGAATATTTGAGGGACAAAAAACAATAAAAAATATACAACGGAAAAAAAAAATAACAAATACAGTATAACAACTATTTATGTAGAATTTACATTGTATTAGATATTATCAGTAATCTAGAGATGACTAAAAGTATATCAGAAGATGTGCATAGGTTATGTGCAAATACCATGCTATTTTATATAAAGGACTTAAAGATCTGTGGATTTTGGTATCTGCTAGGGGTCCCTGTGGAAACCGTGGGACAACTGTAATGTCATTTTAAAATGGAACTGCATCAGCATTATTTTAAATGTATCCAGGAACCTAATATTGCAGGAATTTGTTACTTACCATTATCTATTTAAAAATATACATGAACAAGCTCTTCTTTAACAGCTGAATTTGTAACTTATCTCTGTTTTTATTTGGATTTGTATTTCTCTTTTAATTTGTTGTTGTTGTTGTTTGTTTGTTTTTGAGATGGAGTCTTGCTGTGTCACCCAGGCTGGAGTGCAGTGGCACGATCTCGGCTCATTGCAACCTCTGCCTCCCGGGTTAAAGTTTCTCCTGCCTCAGTCTCCTGAGTAGCTGGGATTACTGGCGCCTGCCACCACACCCCGCAGAGTTTTGTATTTTTTAGTAGAGACTGAGTTTTGCCATGTTGGCCAGGCTGGTCTTGAACTCTTGGCCTCAAGTGATCTTCCCACCTTGGTGCCCAGCCTGTATTTCTGTTTTTAAAAAAATGTTTAATTGCTACATATTTTTACATTTATTGGGTATATGTGATTATTTGTTACATGCATAGAATGAGTAATGGTTAAGTCAGAGTATTTGGGGTGTCCATCACCTTGGGTATTTATCATTTCTATGTGTTGGGAACATTTCAGATCCTCTTTTCTAGCTACCTAGAAATGTAAAATACGTTGTTTCTAACTATAGTCACTCCACTCTGTCAATGAACATTAGAACTTACTTCACTCTGTTAATGAACATTAGAATTTTTAATCTTCTTACAGTTAAGTTTATACCCATTAATCTCTCTTCATTCCCACCTCCCACTCTTTTCAGCCATCTATAATTTTATACTCTCGCTCCATGAGATCAACTGTCACATAAAAGCGAGAACATGTGGTATTTGTCTTTTTGTGCCTGGTTTATTTCACTTAACATAATGACCCTCAGTTCCATCCGTGTTGCTGCAGATGACATGATTTCATTCTTTTTTTATGGCCAAATAGATTTCCCTTGTGTATATGTGGTATATACACCACATTTTCTCTATCCATTTGTTGATTTATAGACACTTAGGTTAATTCCATATCTTTCCTATTGTGTATAATGCTGAAACAAACGTGAATGCAGGTAGTCTTTTGATATACTAATTTCTTTTCCTTTGGATTAATACCTAGTAGTGGGATTGCAGGATCGTGTGGTAGTTCTATTTTTAATTTTTTGAGAAATCTCCAACTGTTTTTCATAGTAGCTGTACTAATTTACATTCCCACCAACAGCATATGAGATTTCCCTTTTCTCTGCATTCTTACCAGCATCTGTTATTTTTTGTCTTTTTAATAGCAGCCATTCCAAGTGGGGTAACATAATATCTCATTGTGGTTTTGATTTGCATTTCCCTGATGGTTAGTGATACAGAACATTTTTTCTTTTTTTTTTTTTTTTTTGAGATGAAGTCTTGTTCTGTCACCAAGGCTGGAGTGCAGCGATGTGATCTCGGCTCCCTGCAACCTCTGCCTTCCAGGTTCAAGCGATTCTCCTCCCTCAGCCTCCAGAGTAGCTGGGATTACAGGCAGGCACCATCATGCCCAGCTAATTTTTGTATTTTTAGTAGAGACGGGGTTTCACCATGTTGGTCAGGCTGGTCTCGAACTCCTGCCCTCGTGATCCACCCACCTTGGCCTCCCAAAGTGCTGGGATTACAGGCGTGAGCCACCGCGCCCTGCCAGGAACATTTTTTCATATACCTGTTAGCTATTTGAGAAATGTCTATCCATGTCCTTTTTCCACTTGTTAAATGAGTTTGATTTTCTTTTTTTTTTTTTTTTTAGTATTGAGTTGAATTCTTTGTATATTCTGAGTATTAGTTCCTTATAAGATGAATAGTTTGCAAATATTTTCTCCCATTAAACAGGTTGTCACTTAACTCTTGATTGTTCCCTTTGCTGTGCAGAAGCTTTTTTTGGCTTAATATAGCTCCATTTGTCTGTTTTTGTTTTTGCTATCTGTGTTTTTGAGGTCTTAGCCATAAAATCTTTGCCTAGATCAATGTCCTGAAGCATTTTTCCTATGTTTTCTTCTAGTTGTTTTCTAGCGTCAGGTCTGACGTTTAAAAGTCTTGAATCTGGGCCAGGTGTGGTGGCTCATGCCTGTAATCCCAGCACTTAGGGAGGCCGAGGCGGGCAGATCACCTGAGGTCAGGAGTTCGAGACCAATCTGGCCAACATGGTAAAACCCCGTCTCTACTGTGAATACAAAAAATTAGCTGGGCGTGGTAGCATGTGCCTGTAATCCCAGCTACTTGGGAGGCTGAGACAGGAGAATCGCCGGAACCTAGGAGGCAGAGGTTGCAGTGAGCCAAGGTCGCGCCACTACACTCCAGCCTGGGCAACAAGAGCGAAACTCCGTCTGGAAAAAAAAAAAATAAAGTCTTGTGTCTGGCTGGGATTATATACTGAGGTAGAACATCATGATTTAGCTATTATCTCAATGATCTAGTGTGTGTTTTTGTTATTTCCCTGGCATAACTGTCCCCTCCCCCATAATCCAGAAAAGTAAAAGTATGTATTTATCTAGAAGAAGCACTCTTGTAAATTGTTACTGTTATGTTAATGGCTTCTCAATGCCAACAAAATAAATCTGAACTTCGTAGTGTGACATTCAAGGCCATCTAAGATCTGGTCCTTGCTTACCTCCTCTACTTTAATATTCTTAGCACATCATTTCTATGCACACATACCCTCTGCACAAAAAGCAAATGGAAAATCTGGGGCTGTACTAGTTTTTTTTTTTAATTTCCAAAACGTATTATGGAGTTTTGTTGTCATCAGTCACCCTCTACCTGGAATGCCTTCTTCCTCATTCACTTTACCTGCTTCAAATGGTTGATATAAAAATGACTTGCTAGTGCCTTTAAACTGGAGGTGGTACATGGGGACACAGATCTCATCCTTCCAGTTTATTGGTATATACCTGGTTCCTGTTACAGTAGTTGGCACATAGCAGGTGTTTACTAAATATTTGAGTAATTAATACATTGATAAATTATAGTTATGCATTTATAACTTTTACATGCTGTGTCACAATGTCTGCATCATTCACCTCACTTCATCTCATCATGTAGCTATTTTATCATCTCACATTATCACTGGAAGAAGGGTGAGTACAGCACAAGATACATTTGAGACATAGATCACATTCACCTAACTTCTACTACAATATAAATTGTAATTATTATATTTATTCTATTTTATTGTTCATCTCTTGCCTTACCTAATTTATGAATTAAACTTTATCATAGGCTTATTTGTGTAGGAAAAAAGCATAGTATATATAGGGTTTGGTACTATCCAAGGTTTCAGGAATCCACTGGCGGTCTTGGAATGTATCTCATGAGAGCAAGGTGAGACTACTCTACACAGATACATTCATATATATTTCATGCATAGAAACTATAGTGTATGAGTAAGCAGTTGTTGCATGCTTCCATAGTCTCAAGGGAAACAGCTGACTGCTTGGGTTACAAAGGATTGTATTGTAGATCTTGAGGAATGATCTAGTTTTATTTGCAAGTCCCTCCTCAGGAATGTCAGCTCTGAACTTGAGGTCATAGTACCAGGTGCTAGCAACATTGAGTTTGGGAATTCTATTAGGGAAAGAGGATTGGCACATTCCTTTCATCCCTTAGATATTTCATTATCTTTTGCCTAAATAACATAGGCAATGGTGTTTTTCTGAAGATGCAAAGATCTTGGAATGCTGAATTCCACATATTTTATGTGTTTAGGAAGGACCTTACTTTCACCTAAACTTTTGTTACAATTCTGAGCAGAAGGTAATTATATCTAAAATAAGTGTGGAAATTTAAAATTCAAGTGAAGCTGCAAAATTCTCATCTGTAGTTATTCAATAATAACTATGTGTCCTATGATATGACATTCATGGCATGACTTTTTATTATTTACATATAACTGGCATGAAAATGTGCTTCAACACATTTTCTGCTTTTTTTCTCTTAATTTAAAAAATCGTCACACAGTAAAATGGATTTTGTTGGTTTATTGTACGGTTCTGTGAATTTTAACACATGTAAATTCGCATAACCCCACAAACAGCGGAACAGTTTCATCACCCCAAAAGACTGTCTCATGCAATCCCTCTGTAGTCACATATTCCCCCCCTTTAATCCCTGGCAGCCACTGATGTGTTCTCCACCACTAGAGTTTTGTCTTTCAGCAGTGTCATAGAGCTAGAATCATATAGTATGAGATCTTTTGAGATTGGCTTCTGTGGGAGACTCAGCAAAATGCCTTTGAGATTCATCCAACTTGTGTCTATCAATACTTCATTCCTTTGTATTGTTGAGTGGTATTCCATAGTATGGATGTGTACCACACCTTGTTTATCCCTTCATTCACTGAAGGACATTTAAGTTGCTTTCAGTTTGGGACAATTTTCTTTTCTTTTTTTGTTTTTTTGAGACGGAGTCTCACTCTGTCATCCAGACTGGAGTGCGGTGGCGCGATCACAGCTCACTGCAACCTCCGCCTCCTGGGTTCAAGCGATTCTCCTGCCTCAGCCTCTCAAGTCACTGGGATTACAGGTACCTGCCACAATGCCCAGCTAATTTTTGTATTTTTAGTAGAGACAGGGTTTCACCATGTTAGCCAGGCTGTTCTCGAACTCCTGACCGCAAGTGATCCACCCGCCTCATCCTCCCAAAGTGCTGGGGTTACAGGTGTTAGCCACTGCGCCTGGCCCAGTTTGGGACAATTTTCAATAGAGCTGCCATAAACATTTGTGTTCAGGTTTTTGTGTGAACTTAAGTTTCCATTTTTCCAGTGTAAATACTCAAGAATGGGATTGCCAGGTCCTATGGTAAGTGTTTGACTTTATAACAAACTGCCCAACTGCTTTCCAGAGTGGCTACACCATTTTGTGTTCCCCTCAGCAACATGTAAGAGTTCCAGTTGGTCTGCTTGCTTGTCAGCACTTGATGTCAGTATTTTCTGTCTTAGCCATTCCAATAGGCATATAGTGGTGTCTCATTGTGGTTTTAATTTGTATTTTCTTAATGGCTGTTGAACATCTTTTCATGTGCTTATTTGCTATTTGTATAACCTTTTTGGTGAAATGTCTGTTCAAGTTCTCTTTTGGTTTTTAAATGGGTTGTTAGAGCCTCAACTCATTTTTGCTTGGGCTTTGTACCAACAGTAATGTTTCTTGTTCCCATTGCTTTTCTTATTTTCTTTCCTTTCCACCACACCCCATAGGACTCTCTTTGATATTTTTTTCTTATTAAAAAGACAATGTTGCAGGACTTCAGAGACATACTGTTGGCTAGGTTTTAAATGTGGGTTCTGCTATAATTCACCTTGTGATCTCAGACAAGTTAATTACTTGATAGGATTATTGTGAGAATTAGATAATTTTAAATGATGTATATGAAGTGCTTGATACATAGCTGTATTTAAACCTTTCTTTTTCCTCTCAGTTCTTATCTCAAGAGTCCATTCCCTATAATACTAGTCTTCTGAGATGCTTAGTGAAAAGAATATCTGTGAGAAAAGAAATCTGAGATACATTACATGCTCTAGCTATTTTTTGGGGTTTTTTAAATTTATTTTTTAATTTTTTTTAAAAACAGAGTCTCGCTCTGTTGCCCAGGCTGGAATGCAGTGGCTTGATCTCGGCTCACTGCAACCTTTGCCTCCTGGGTTCAAGCAATTCTCCTGCCTCAGTCTCCCAGGTAGCTGCGGTTACAGACGTGTACCACCATGCCCGGCTAATTTTTGTATTTTTAGTAGAGAAGGGGTTTCGCCATATTGGCCCAGCTGGTCTTGAGTTCCTGACTTCAGGTGATCTGCCTGCCTTGGCCTCCCGAAGTGCTAGGATTACAGGTGTGAGCCACCTCTAGCTATCTTTTGGATGGTTTCTAGGAACGTGAATATATTAATGGCTTTTATAAGTTAGCCATTTCTTTATTGTTGGACTTGTTATATTCAGCATTTTCCAATCTTATTTGACTATGGAACACTTGACTTGTGACATCTATTTAGCCTACTTTTATGAAACACACTTTGGGAAATATTGACTCATTCAGCATGTGTGTTAGTCCATTTTGCGTTGCTATAACAGAATACTTGAGACTGGGTAATTATAATGAACAGAAATTCATTTCTCAGAGTTCTGGAGGCTGGGAGGTCCAAGATCAACGGGCCGGCATCTGTCTTGCTGCATCATGGCAGAAGACATCACCTGGTGGAAGGGCAAAGAGAGTGAGAAAGAGAGCACGAGGGGTTGAACTCTCAGCCTCAAGCTATTTTATATTGACATTAATCCATTTATGAGGGTAGAGCCGTCATGTCCTAAACACCTCCCATTAGGCCCCATCTCCCAGCACTGTTGCATTGAGGATCAAGTTTCTAACATACAAACTTTGGGGGACACATTCAAACCACAGCAGCATGTTACCTCAGTATGGCACCTGATAAGTACTCGTTATTTCTTTATTGAGAGAGGGTCTCGCTGTGTCATCCAGGCTGGAGTACATTAGCACAGTCTCAGCTGACTGCAGCCTTGATCTCTCAGCCTGAAGCAATCCTCCTGTCTCAGCCTCTAGAGTAGTTTGGACTACAGGCACGCGCCACCACGCCTAGCTGATTTTATTCATTTTTTGTAGAGATGAGGTCTCACTATGTTGCCCAGGCTGATCATAAACTCCAGAGATTTTACCACCTTGGTCTCCCAAAGTGCCAGAATTACAGGTGTGAGCCGCCACACCTGGCCAAGTACTCATTATTTATCAAACATATTCATGCATGGTATCATTTAGTTTTTAAATCTGTTTTTCCTTTTTTTTTTTTTTCTTTTGAGGTAGGGTATCCCTGTGTTGTCCAGGCTAGTCTTGAACTCCTGAGTTCAAGTGATCCTCCTACCTGAGCCTCCCAAGAAGCTGGAATTACAGATGGGCACTATTGTGCCAGGCTTAAATCTTGAAAATTAGCATTATAAAAATACTGTAATTCATACCTTGAGAGGGGTATGTAGCTTATCAAGTCTTTTGCTTTTTTTAAAGAAAAAATGTTCTCTGTTAATGACCCTTTATCCCTATTTGTATAGGAAGTTCTAGGCAGTTTGGTCCCTAGACTACTAGCATTGGTATCACCTCTGAATGATATTAGAAATGCAGGCTGGGCATGGTGGCTCACACCTATAATCCCAGCACTTTGGGAGGCCGAGGTGGGAGGATTGCTTGAGGCCAGGTGTTTGAGACCAGCCTTTGCAACAGAGACCCTGTCTCTACAAAAAATGAAAAAACTAGCCAGGTGTGGTGGCTTGTGCTTGTAGTGGTATCTCATTGTGGTTTTAATTTGTATTTTCTTAATGGCTGTTGAACATCTTTTCATGTCCCCCACTGCCTCGCCACACAGAATTATTTGGCTCCAAATGTCAATAGTGTCATGGTTGAAAAACCCTGGCTTAAATGATTACATTTGGAAAATTATGAATTGTCATATATGGTACATAATGTTTGTCTTATTATTAAGAATATAACTAAGATATTTTTAAAAGACTCATATCTCAGTATTTCAAAGCATGAATTTTTATCATAAAATATATAAGGAAGATGAAGGAAATTGGAGCAAATCTGTGTAATCTTGGACAAGTTATTTACCTGATAGGATTATTACGAGAATTAGATAATGTAGATATGTACTAATTGTATACATACTAATCTAATAATTATATATTTATATTTGTTCCAAAAGTTTGGAATTTCAGCTTAAGTGGTATTTTGATATATAGGAATGATGTAGAAGTATATACTTTTACAAAATGTTTTATTTTTTATTTTAAAATTTATTTTATTTTTAGAGATGGGGTCTCACTATGTTGCCCAGGCTGGTCTTGAACTCCTGGCCTCAGGTGATCCTCCTGCCTCAGCCTCGTGAATAATTGGGATTGCAGATGTAAGCCACCACCCCCGGCTGAAGTAGATACTTAATATTTATGAGTATTAATAGTTATATGAATATTATAGAAGTTATATAAGTATGGTATACAAGTTATATAAAATACAAGTTATGTATGTTTTTGTTTTGGTTCTTGAGGTGGAGTCTCACTCTGTCACCCAGGCTGGCGTGCAGTGGCGCCATCTTGGCTCACTGCAACTTCCACCTTCCGGGTTCAAGCAATTCTCCTGCCTCAGCCTTCCCTGTAGCTGGGACTACAGGTGCATGCCGTCATACCCAGCTAATTTTTGCATTTTTAATAGAGACAGGGTTTCACCACGTTGGCCAGGCCAGTCTTGAACTCCTGACCTCAGTTGATACGCCCACCTTGGCCTCCCAAAGTGCTGGGATTACAGGCATGAGGCACCACACCCAGCCTTTATGTTTTATATAGGTTATATATACAAGTTATATATATAAGCATTATACAAGTATTTTTATAAGACATTATTTTGTATTAATATAAGCAGTTTCAGAAAAGCCTGTACTTCATTACATCATTTAAACCCGTATTTGAGAGATTAATAAAATTCTGTATTAGTCTATATTGGTCAAGTATAAATCAGTGTAGCAGCCCATGGCTATTAATCAAAATTTTAGGAAGTCTTCAAGGTAATGACAGTTGCAAAAACAACCAAAAACGACACATTTTGAAGTGACAGGCTACCATATTTTCTAGCTCTTTCTTAAACAGATGTATCTCTTAAATTCATGGTCAGAAAATCAACAAATCAGCTGAACCAGAAATCCCATCATAAACAGCTGTTGCCGATAGTTTATGGAATGATGTCAGTATATTTGAGCCAATATGTTGAGTAGGACTACTTATTCCTTCACCAGCAAGCTGTGATAATCTTCATGTGTTCTGTGACTATTTTACTATGTGTTACCTTGCTTGTGGAGCAGTGGTGTAGACCCTCTTTATGAATTGGAAAACTGATTGACCTTAGACTACAGGTTCTAAGGATTACAGATTAAAGAGGTTATCTGTACTTACAGCATGTATTTTATTCACATTAAGTTGAATTTAGGTTACATCCAAGTTATACTGTTCACTTTTAGATGAGGAAACTGAAGAAATGCTGTTAACTTGATCACAGATGTAGTAAGTGGTAGAATTAGTATTCAGACCCAGGGAATCTGGCTCTGGCATCTATGCTCTTGACCACCATGCTCTACTGCTGATTTATACTCATAATATAACAGCTGCCATGCAGCTATTATTATAATTAAATTAATTTCATATTGCCTCACACTTCACATGTGTTAGGTACTCAATAAATGGGAGATGATATTATATTCTCATTAAGTACAACTAGAAAGTTCTACAAGGCATGACTCTTTTCTGTTAATATGCTGTATTATATATTGATTTCCATATGTTGAACTAACCTTGCACTCTAGGGACAAATCATAGTTGGTATAGTAAAATAATCTTATTATCCTGCTAGATTTGGTTTGCTAGTATTAAATAATTTATTGAGGACTTTTGCATCTATATTCATAAGGAATGTTCTTTTTGTGTGTGTGCGCTACCCATGTCTGGCTTTATGTTTTCTTAAATTCATTCTTCACCATCCACTCCCTCATCATGGAAAAGGACTTACGTTAGTCACTGGTTTCTAGCCTTAGGTCAGAGGCCAGTTTCACTACGTAAGTGCAGAAAGACAATCAGGTGGTTGTGGGGGTCCCTTAAACTTTCTGGTTGTGATAGTCCAAGAAAATTGATCTCTGAACCAGGAGGCAGAATTCCAAATCCTATTCCAGAATTGTATCTCTACATCTTACCACATGGTCTGTTCATCTGTGAAATGGGATAATATAATATTTTTAGCAGAGTTAACATGAGGGTTCATTATAATATATGTAAAGCACCTGGTTTATATAACCAAGTATTCAACACCTGTTATGTATTATTTCTCTCCCATTCTCTATCTTCTAAATTGCTCTTGGATATTGTGATGCTCAAAAGTCCAGAATTTAATTTTTCCTGTTGTGGAGTTAGTATTTCATTGCTTTTCTCTACCTTTTGCCTATTCTTTCCTGTCCCCAATCCTAGTCCTCACAATCTGGCTCAGCATTCAGGAAGAAATTTGATGTCTGATTTGTATTCTTTCCTTGACTCTCCTATGGTCTCCTTTTATTTGTGAACACCGTATTCCACCCTTCTGCCATCAAGATAGAATCAGTGGAAATCTAGCAAAACTGAAAAGGAAAATGGAAATGAACCATTCTTTCGAGACGGTTTAAATACACAAAGTCATTCCTTTCTTAGCCTGGGCCCAGCTATCCTGGTGAAGAAACTCTACTAGCTCCTATGCTTAAAGATTCTGTAATTTGGGCCAGGTGCAGTGGCTCATGCCTGTTATCCTAGCACTTTGGGAGGCTGACGCAGGAGGATCGCTTGAGGCCAGGAGTATGAGGCTGCAGTAAGCCGTGATTGCACCATTGCACTCCAGCCTGGGCAACAGAGCGAGACTCTGTCTCAAAAAAAAAAAAAAAGATTCTGTAATTTGTCTTTTGGATAACTTTAAAGGGCCTTTCTTTCCTCACTCCCTCCTACCTGATCAATGGACTAGTGCACTAGAAAGACATTACAGGCTAAGTATCCCTTATTTGAAATGCTTGGGACCAAAAGTGTTTCGAATTTTGGATGTTTTTCAGATTTTGGAATATTTGCATACCAGTTCAGTATTCCTAAGTTTTTTTTTTTTTGAGACAGTCTCCCTCTGTTACCCAGTCTGGAGTACAGTGGCATGATCTTGGCTCACTGCAACCTCCGCCTCCCGGGTTCAAGTGATTTTCCTGCCTCAGCCTACCGAGTAGCTGAGATTATAGGCACACGCCATCGGGCCCAGCTAATTTTTTGTATTTTTAGTGGAGACCAGGGTTTCACCATGTTGGCCAGGCTGGTCTCGAACTCCTGACCTCATGTGATCTGCTTGCCTCAGCCTCCCAAAGTTCTGGGATTATAGGTGTGACTGTGCCCAGACCGTATCCCTAATTTGAATATCCAAAATCCTAAATGCTCCAGTGAACATTTTCCTTGAGTGTCATGTCAGTCCACAGAAAGTTTCAGATTTTGGAGCATTTTAGGTTGTTGGATTAAGAATACTCAACCTGTATTGGTAGTGGTGGTGGAGTTAAAGCAGAGTTGTTGCTGCTGCATGATTTTTACCTCTCATAAATAAAGCCAGCGATAACAATGAGCTTTATTGTGAGTCATTCACTGTTTGATACTGACAGAGCATCTATTAAAAATTAATTTAATAGAGTTTTATTTATTTATTTATTTATTTATTTATTTATTTATTTATTTATTTATTTTGAGACAGACTCTCACTCACTCTGTTGCCCAAGTGGGAATGCAGTGGCGCCATCTCAGCTCACTGCAGCCTCTGTTTCCCTGGTTCACGCAATTCTCCTGCGTCACCTTTCCAAGTGACCGGGACTACAGGTGCCACCACCACGCCAAGCTAATTTTTTGTATGTTTTTAATAGAGACGGGGTTTCGTCAAGTTGACCAGGATGGTCTTTGAACTCCTGGCCTCAAGTGATCCATCCTTCTTGGCCTCCCAAAGTGCTGGGATTACAGGTGTGAGCCACCATGCCAGGCCTAGTAAAGTTTTATTAACTAAGGTATGTAATGAAAAATTTCCAGTGCTTTTGTAACTTCCATGATAGTCTTGTTTGAAGCTGGAGAAAAATGATGTTCAGCAGTGAAAGCACAGGGACTGAATCCTGAGCATGCTTTTATAAATTATTTGAGCAACAACAAAACTATATTAGTGTGTCCTAAACCAAAATTTTGTAATTTCAAGTATGGTTTTTCTCCTTCTTACTTCTAACACATTCTATATGGAGGATCAGAATTCTATTGCTTTGGGTAGCCAGTAGCTGCTGAAATAAGGGTAGTGAATAGGTGCTTTGTTTCTCTTGGTTAAGGCAGTTTGAGTTCAGCCAGTAGGAAATAGCTTGCAGCCAGTACCCAAATATATGTAGGGAGTGTATATACATATAGACATACCTCTTCATAAATATTGGAGAACTAGCTCCGCAGGTCTGAAACAAGAAGAACCTGTTTTTTTGTTGTTTTGTTTTGTTTTTTATTTTTAACATCATATGAAAAGCTTGTTATGTTAGTACATTATCTACAGTACAGTGACAGGTGTCCTAAAAGAGTAAGGTTAGGGAAACTTTATAAGAAATATTTCCTAATGAATACCCACACATACATTGTCTTTTTTGGTGAGATGTTTGTGAGGTGAGCCATATATTAGGGAAGATTTTTGTTCAGCTCATCCTTTTTTTGAGGAAAAACCAAAGGGAAGGACACTGTGTATTCAATTTTTGGTCCAAATAAGGTTGTTCCAAGAAGAGATGGAAATTGTCCAGTCATACTAGAGAAAAAGTTATTTTTTTTGGATGGATTCTAAGTTCTGGCATGAGCTGTATAATTTTTTTTTTTTTTTTTTAATTGAGATGGAGTCTTGCTCTGTCTCCCAGACTGGAGTGTAGTGGCCCGATCTCGGCTCATTGCAACCTCTGCCACCTAGGTTCAAGCGATTCTTGTGCCTCAGCCTCCTGAGTAGCTGGGACTAAAGGCATATGCCACCACGCCTGGCTAATTTTTTTGTATTTTTAATAGAGACGGGTTTCACCATGTTGGCCATGCTGGTCTCAAACTCTTGATCTCAGGTAGTCCGCCTGCCTCGGCCTCCCAAAGTGCTGGGATTACAGGTGTGAGCCACCGCGCCTGGCCGAGCTGTATAAATTTTAAAAACTGTTCTCTGAGTCATTGTGCATTCACTTTGGAAAAATTTGTGATTACCCTGTTGCTGGGAGTAAATGGCAGACATTTCCAGTTTCCTTTGATGAAATGGATTGTTTGGTAAGCACATGCATATCGTTCCGATTAGTCTGTTAGGTTTAACTCTTAAATATCATCACGTGTATAGGCAGATGAATCAAGATCAGCCGACTTTGGGGCCTGGCTGTTTTCAAAGTCTTCACCAGAAGATAAGAAAAGGACTTTTCCAGTTCTTTTTGTACCACTCTCTATTGCATTAGAGAGGCAGCCTGGTATAGTGAAAAGAGCATGGGCTTTGGAATTAGAAAAGACCTAGTGTTTTGAATCCTGGTTACACCAACTAGCTTTGGGACTTGAACAAGTTAATTGACATTTCCAAGTATTTGTAAGTTATGATAATAATGCCTGTCTTTCAGGGCTGTAGGTAATGATGTTATAAATTACAGTATATCAGAAGTACTTGGGGCTGCTATGTGCAAGGTACAGTGATTAAATACAGAGGAAAATCCGTGATCATACTGTCAAATGCTAACAGCTGTTTAAAGATGAGTCTTTCCCAAATGTGAATACCGTAATAATTATCTCAGAACACCTATACCTTCAATAAGAAGGCAAATAATAATCTAATAAATAATGAGAAGGGATGCTATTAGGGAGATGATATTAAGAGGTTCTTTTGGCCAGAACACAAGAATCCCTGTGTTCTACCATAGGTCAGTCCTTCAGCCAGTATTCTGTTTCAAGGATGAAATCTGCACATGGTACTAAGTAAGGCAGGATTACACTTTCTATCATCAGCAGTAGGTTTGGCCTCAAGCCCCGGTGAAGAAACATAATTGGTTAGGACCGAATTAGAGATCTTACCTTTCTAGTTGCATGAAAGGGCCATACTTTTAATAAGAGGCAGGAGGAAAACACAGTAGACACAATATGTGGCTCAGTCAGAGTTTCCGAATATAATAAATTATAGCAAGTCCTCTATTTCCTTGAGGATAGAGTCGAAAGACAAGATCCTGTTTGATCCTTGTGAGAAGAATGAAGAGCTGGGTGAGGAGAGAGGAGACGTGGAACATGTATTTCATAAAGACCGACACATAATTAAGTGTAACATTTAAAAATCACAAACTCATTGGAATAAATTTCTGAAGTATTTGAACTTTGAAAACTTAGCTATTTGACTTGGGGAACTTGTGGGGATTATTTATACTTTTGGGCAGTTGGTTTTTGGCCATAATGTGATAAATGAATGTTGTAGCAGTTCAGGCAAGGAAATAATGAGGAGCTGAATTAAGATAATGGTACCAAATGAAGAGGAACGGATGGGTTTGAGAGATATTTAAGAGGTATGATTCATAGGATATACTCATAGAGTGAATTAGGGAAGAAAGAGGACTCTAGAATGATCATGATGTTTCTGGGTTGGATGCCTGGATATGCCATTAGCAACAACAAAACATACACATGTACATGTACATGAAACAGAAGAGAAACAAACCAGGAGTAGGAACAAAATGGATTTTTGTTGCCTTTAGGATATCCAAAGGTATCTACTTATCCATAGGCTATAGGAATCAGGCAATCTGTTAATCAGGAAAATGTTCTGGGCTGGTGACATTTGGGAGCTATGGTAGGTTGAAAAGTACCCCCTCAAAAGATATCCATGTCCTAATCCCTGGAACCTATGAATGTTACCTCTCATAGCAAAAATAAAGTTGCAGGTGGGGGGAATTTTTGGTCTTTATACATGTGATGGGGAGCTTATCCTGGATTATTGAGTTGGACCCTAAATGCCATCACGTGTAACAGAGGACGATTTCACACACACATAGGAGAAGGCAATGTGAACCTGGAACAGAGACAGATTTGAAGATCCTGGCCTTGACGATGGGTTGGATTACAAGCCAAAGAATGTTGGCAGCCACTAGAAGCTGGAAGGGGCAAGGAATGGATTCTCCTTGGAGTCTCCCGCTGACACCTTTATTTTGTCCCAGTGTTGCTCATTTCAGACTTCCGGCCTCCCAAACTATGAGAGAATGCATTTCTGTTGGGTTAAGCCATCTAGTATATGGTTATAGCAGCTGCAGGAAACTAATACAGGAGCCAATAGCCTAGAGTTTATAACTGAAAGAATTGTATGTGAATGACTTCACCTAGGGAGGATGTACGAAATGAACAGGAAAGAGTAATGAGGTTAGAAATTTCTGTTATCCGGCACCATCCAGAAATGTATTATTTTGGTTTAGAAAGTATTTCAGAAATTGAGTATAAAATCTTACAATTATTGCCACTCTTTTCATTGATAAAAATGTTTTTGAATGCTAATAACTTCCTTTTTTTTTCTGTAAAATGTTGAGCCATGTTTATTACTTCTGAATTTGTGTCCTTAATGGAAATACCCCACTTACATTCTAGTCTTGTTCTTGCAACTCTTTCTTTGATATCTGGGTGTTACTTTATATTCATTTTGCTCCAAACCAGAGATTTAATATTTGTTTCCTTTCCGATATCCTTTATTTCCAGATAATTATCAAATCCCTTCTCCAAAAGATTTCTTGAATCTGTCTGTTCTCCATTCTGTGGCCAGGCCCTTATCATCTCACTTTAGTTTTCTGCAGCAGACTTTTAGTTATTCTCTGCAACTTCAGGTGGTCTATGAGAAGTCTTATAGATCAGTATTCTTTAAGTAGCACATTGTGCTGCTACTACTCACAAACCTAGAATGATTCCTTGTTGCTTACTGTGATAAGTCTGAATTCTTTTGTCTGAATGTCAAGAACATGTCATTTGGCCCACATATATTTCACCTTATTTTATTTACTTACACACAAACACAAACGCACACATGCACATGCACACACACAGTCATCTCTCTAATCAGGCCAAATTCATCATGCAAAAAACTCAGTGAGCTGGATTAAGGAAAGTACCACCTGAGCTCCTCTTCAGGGAGTTGGTTTCTGAAGGTTCACAGGAAATGTAACAAGATGAAGAAATGGTTTACTAAAAATACTCTCAGAGAAGGTATTTTATGTAGCTTTGGGAAATATTTTCATAAGCAGTTTGGGCTAGTGTGTGAGACCACCAAAGGACATGCCAAACTGACACTTGAGGTCAGTAATTCTGATTAACTGCAGGGCTTTTAGCTGAATCAAGACTCCAAGTTAGGGACAAAGGTGAATTCTTCAGGACCAGAGCAGAGGTATAATGTAAACTTCAGGCTTCTCCCTGAGTAAATGTTGAACACACATTTGGTACTGGTTTGAAGAAGTGTTAATTATTAGCCTACCCAGGTTTCCACATCTTGATCTGGCCTTGAATTTGGACTACCTTTCCCCGCCATGTCTTTGTTTATATTGTTTTTTTCTGCTTAGAAAAATGTGCTCTTCCTTTATCTGTAATAGAAGACTTTGAATCCAGTAGGTTGATACCTATGGTTACATAATCAGAAAAGGCTCCTACTCTACCAGGAGCAAATGCATCCTGTTTGAACCTTTAAGTATATGGTTTAGATAGGTATAGAGCATGCATTTTCAACAGGGGTGATAACAACTTAGATAGTTACAATGGTTTGTGATCCTCCAAAGCTCAATGCTACGGTAAAGAATTTTATCATTTCAGCATTTAATTTCTCTTGTTAGGGAGAAATTGAATTAAATTAAATCAATGAATTATAGTTACTTAAATTTAATTTTATTCCATAGAGTAATGGTTATGAAAAAAAAGTTGAGAAATACTGATGTAGAAAAAGAGAAAAATGCTGTTACAGCTTTTACTTTTTGTGGCAAGAAGTCTCATACGTACTGGATTTTTAAAATGAGTTAATCCTTTTTTTGTCAATTATTAGCAAAGCACTCTGCTGACTTCATTGGAAGCATTGATTCTGTACCTACAGAAACTTGAGAAAAAAAGACATAAAAACAGGATGTATAAATTATATTAAATATAGTATAGAGGATGTCCCATATTAGTATAACAATTGCTATTTTAGGCAATGGGTGCTTTGAGCTTAGGCAAAGGAAGAGATTACTTAATCTGAAATGACCAGAGGTCAGGTTCAAGGAGAATCTAGGAACTTAAACTATACCTTGAAAGAAATATAGGATTTGAATACACAGAGGGGGAGGATAAGCATAGTTCTGATTAAAACGCCATCTTGATTTTTTGTGAATGTGAGTGTATGAGAGGTAGGGAACTATCCTCTTTAACTATAGTCATACCTTGGAGATATTGCAAGTTTGGTTTCATGCCACTGCAATGAAGTGAGTATCACCATAAAATGAGTCAAACAATTTTTTTTTTGTTTCCCAGTGCATATAAAAGTCGTGTTCATGCTATACTGTGGTCTACTAAGTGTGTAATTAGCATTATGTCTATTAAAAAAGGACATGCCTTAATTAAAAAATACTTCATTGCTAAAAAATGCTGATGATCATCTGAGACTTCAGCAAATCATTTTTTTGGTGGAAGGCCTGGCCCCAACATTGATGGCTGCTGAGATCAGGGTGGTGGTTGCTGGAAGTTGGGAAGTTGGGAAGTTGGGGTGGCTGTGGCAATTTCTTAAAATAAGACAACAATGAAGTTTACCAAATCCGTTGACACTTTCTTTCATGAAAGATTTCTCTGTAGAATGCAGTGCTTTTTGACAGCATTTTACCTACAGTAGAACTTCTTTGAAAATTAGAGTCAATCCTCTCAAATCCTGCTGCTGCAAACTAAGTTTATGTAATAGTCCAAATTCTTTGTCATAATTAAACAGTATTCCCAGCATCTTTACCAGGAATAGATTCCATCTCATGAGACCACTTTCTTTGCCCACTCATAAGAAGCCACTCCTCATCCGTTCAGGTTTTGTCATGAGATTGCAACAATTCAGTCACATCTTCAGACTCCACTTGTAATTCTAGTTCTCTTGCTGTTTCCACCACATCTGCAATTACTTTCTCCCCTGGAGTCTTGAACTCCTCAAAGTTATGCATGAAGATTGGAATCAACTTATTCCAAACTCTTGTTAGTGTTGCTATTTTGACCTCTTCCCATGAATGATGAATGCTCTTAATGGCATCTAGAATGGTAGATCCTTTCTAAAAGGTTGTCAATTGATTTTAACAGATCCATCAGAGAACTGACTGTGGCAGCTATTACTGTATAAAATGTTTTGTTTCATTTTTGAGACGGGGTCTTGCTTTGCTGCCCAGGCTGGAGTACAGTGTACCATGGCTCACTGCAGTTTTGACCTCCTGGGCTCAAGTGATCCACCTCAGCCTCCCTAATAGTTGGGACTACAGGTGTGCGCCACCATGCCTGGATAATTAGAAAAAAAAAATTTTTTTTTTAGAGATGGGGTCTCACTATGTTGCCCAAGCTGGTCTTGAACTCCTGGCCTAAAGCAGCCCTCCCACCCTGGCCTCCCAAAGTACTGGGATTGCAGGCATGAGACACCATGCCCGGCCCAAAATGTTTTTCCTAAGTAATGAGACTTGAAATTACTCATTGATTTATGGGCTGCAGAATGGATGTTGTGTTCACAGGCATGAAAACAACATATCATTAAATGTACCAAGTGACCAAGTGCATTATCAATGAGCAGTAATATTTGGAAAGGAATCTTTTTTATTCTGAGCTGTAGGTCTCAACAGTGGGCTTAAAATATTCACTAAACCATGCTGTACATAGATGTGCTCTTATTCAGGCTTTGTTGTTCCATTTATAGAGCATAAGTGGAATAGATTTAGTGTAACTCTTAAAGGTCCTAGGATTTTCAAAATGGCAAATGAGCGTTGGCTTCAATTTAAAGTCAACAGCAACATTCACCCCTAACCAGAGAATCAACCTGTCCTTTGAAGCTAGACATTCTCCTCTCTAGCTATGAAAGTCCTAGATGTCATCTTATTCCAATTGAAGGGTGTTTCATCTACACTGAAAATCTGTTGTTTAGTGTGGCCACATTCATCGGTGATCTTAGCTAGATTTTCTTACTTGCTGCAGCTTCTAAATCAGCACTTGCTGCTTCACCTTGTACTTTTATGTTAAGGACATGGCTTCTTTTCCTTAAATCTCATGAACCAACCTCTGCTACCTTCAAACTTTTCTTCTGCAGCTTCCTTACCTCTCTCTGCCTTCACAGAATTGAAGAGAGTTGGGGCCTTGCTCTGGATTAGGCTTTGGTTTAAGGGAATGTTATGGCTGGTTTGCAGACCACTCAAATTTTCTCCATATCAGCAGTAAGGCTGTTGTTTCACTTTCCTATCATGTTTGTGTTTACTAGAGTAGCACTTTTAATTTTCTTCAGGAACTTTTACTTTGCATTCACAACTTGGCTAACTTGTACGAGAGACGTAGTTTTTTAGCCTATCTCAACTTTTGACATTCTTGCCCACTGAACTTATTTCTACTTTTTGGTTTAAAGTTAGAGACATGCAACTCTTCCTTTCACTTGAACACTTAGAGGCCATTATAAATTGGTCTAATTTCTTTTTTTTTTTTTCCTTTTTTTTTTTTTCAAGACGGAGTCTTGCTCTGTTGCCTAGGCTGGAGTGCAGTGGCATGATCTCGGCGTACTGCAACCTCTGCCTCCCAGGTTCAAGCAATTCTACTGCCTCAGCCTCCTGAGTAGCTGGGATTACAGGTATGCACCACCACACCCAGCTAATTTTTGTATTTTTAGTAGAAACGGGGTTTCACCATGTTGGCGAGGCTGGTCTCGAACTCCTGACCATGTGATCTGTCCACCTCGGCCTCACAAAGTGCTGAGATTACAGGCGTGAGCCACTGTGCCCAGTTTTGGCCTAATTTCAGTATTGTTGTGTCTCAAGGAATAGGCTTGAGGAGAGGGAGTGAGACAGGGAAACAGCTGATCAGTGGAGTGGTCATGATTAATTTTGCTGTCTCCTATGGCGCAGTTTGTGGCGCCCCAAAACAATGACAGTAGTGACATCAAAGATCACTGATCACAGATCACCATAATAGATATGATAACAATTAAAAAGTTTGAAATATTGTGAGAATTACCACAAGGTGACACAGAAACATGAAGTGAGCACTTGATGGAAAAATGGTGCTAGCCAGGTGCGGTGGTTCACACCCGTAATACCAACATTTTGGGAGGCTGAAGTGGGCAGATCGCTTTGAGCTCAGGAGTTTGAGAGCAGCCTGGGCAACATGGTGAAACCACTTCTCTACAAAAAAATACAAAAATTAGCCGGGGGTGATGGCACACACGTGTGGTCCCAGCTACTCAGGAGGCTAAGGCTGGAGGATTGCTTGAACCTGAGAGGTGGAGGTTGCAGTGAGCTGAGATCATGCCACTGCACTCCAGCCTGGGCAATAGAGTGAGACTTTGTCTCAAAAAAAAAAAAAAAAAGAAAAGAAAAGTGGTGCTGATAGACTTGCTCAATGTAGGGTTGCCACAAACCTTCAATTTGTGAAAAACACAGCGTCTGCAAAGCACAGTAAAGCAAAGAATAATAAAACAACATGTACTTATACTATTATTGACTAACCTAAAGAGAGTTAATCTTGCAAAAGCTGAGGTCTCTCTATTGCTTTTTTAAAAAAAGTTTATAGATTTGGAGGGTACAAGTGCAGTTCTTCCATGGATATATTGCCTAGTGGTGAAGTCTGGGCTTCCAGTGTAACCATCACCTGAATAGCATACATGACATGGGACCCAATAGGTAGTATTCCACCTTTTGGAGTCTCCAGAATATATTATTCCATTCGGTATGTCCATGTGTACCATTGTTTAGCTCCCGCTTACAATGAGAACATAGGGTTTTTGGCTTTCTGTTTTTAAGTCATTTCACTTAGGATAACGACCTCCAGTTCCAACCATGTTGCTGCAAAATACATGATTTTATTCTTCTTTATGGCTAAGTAGTATTCCATGGTATATCTATACCACATTTTAAAAACTCCAGTCATCCATTGATGGACACTTAGGTTGATTCCATGATTTTGCTATTGTGAATAGTGCTACAATAAATATATGGAGTGCAAGTGTCTTTTTGATAGAATGATTTCTTTTCCTTTGGGTAGATACCCAGTAGTGGGATTGCTGGATTGAAGTATAGTTCTACTTGTAGTTCTTTGAGAAATTTCTATACTGTTTTTCGTAGAGGTTGTGCTAACTTACATTTCCACCAACAGTGAATAAGTGTTCCCTTTTCTCTGCATCCTTGCCAACATCAGTTGGTTTTTTTTTTTTTTTTTTTTTTTTTTTGCATTTCTCTGATGATTAGTGATTGGACCATTTATTCATATGTTTGTTAGCCACCTATGTGTCATCTTTGGAAAATGTCTGTTCATGTTCTTAGCCTACTTTTTAAATTTTTTTTTTTTAAAGACAGGGTCTGGCTCTGTCATGTGGGCTGGAGTGCAGTGCTGTGATCTTGGCTCACTACAGCCTCAACCTCCCAGGCTCAGGCCATCTCTGGGCTGATAAGAGTCTATAGTTGTCACCAGTAAAGGAGAATTTGTATCCTGTCTTTAGGTAGAAAAGCAAGAGGATATGGAGAGCTTTTCCCCTATTCATTGCTTTAGGCTCAAAAATAATTTTTATGTCAGAGACATATTTTGGGGTGATATATCTTTTTCCTTTCCTTTTTCCTCATGGCAGAAGGCAAAGGAGAAACAGGCACCTTCCTCACAGGGTGGCAGGATGGAGTGAGTACAAGGAGAGGAAATGCCAGACGCTTATAAAATCATCAGATCTTGTGAGACTCACCATCACGAGAACAGCATGGGGGAAAATGCCTCCATGATCCGATTATCTCCGCCTGATCCTGCCCTTGACACGTAGGGATTTATGGGGATTACAATTCAAGATGAGATTTTGGGTAGGGACACAGCCAAACCATATCACTTGGGACTCAACCTCAAGATATCTCATTATATATATGCACATATTCTAAAATCTGAAAAAATTTTAAACCTGAAACACTTCAGGTCTCAAGTGTTTTGGATAAGGTATACTCAACCTGTGCTACTGCTGCTTCTCAGTGAATTACATGGCCATCTACCCAGTTACAGTTAAGCCTAAAACCTGGCAGCCGTTCTTTATTTTCTCCTTCTCTCTTATGTTGTATCCAAGTAATCTGCAAGCCCTGTTGATTCCCTCTTCAAACCATATCGTTAAGTTCTTCCACTTTTCTTTGTCTCCACTGCCACCATCCTATTCTAAGCCAACATGATCCCATTGCTGAACTACTGCATAGTTTTCTGCTTCTAATTTGGTTCTCAATGTAATTCATTTTTTTTCATGTAATAATGGTCTTTTAAAAAATGGAAATCAGCAGCCTGGCCAACATGGCAAAACCCCATCTCTACTAAAAATACAAAAATTAGCCAGGCATGGTGGTGCACACCTTGTAATCCCAGCTACCCAGGAGGCTGAGGCAGGAGAATCGCTTGAACCTGGGAGGTGGAGGTTGTAGTGAGCCAAGATCACGCCACTGCACCCCAGCCTGGGAGACAGAGCAAGACCCTGTCTCAAAAAAAAAAAAAAAATGGAGATCAGACCATATGGCCATCCTGCTTAAAACTGTTCACTGGATTTCCATTGCACTTGGAATAGAATCCTAAATCCCTAAGCACTTGATTTGGCCAGCCCCTGTCTACCTTACTTTGTTTCATGCTCATCTTTTGACTTCCGTAACAGTAGCCACACTTCTTATTTCCTGTACATACCAGGTTCTTTTCCTACCTCAGAGTTTTTGCATTGAACTTGCTACATTGTCTACTCAGAATGCCCCCGCTCCTCCTCATCTTTGCTTAGATTCTTCTTTTGCTTCTGGCCTTAGTTTGTCACGTTCATTAAAGTAATGCACTTTTCCACCTCAGCCTATTAAAGAGATTTGCAAAAACTGAAAATGCTACTCTTATCTTCTTAATTCTTTTTTGAAAATAGTTTTCTTTTTGGTAAAAATATGTTATTAACATAATGGGTTTATTGTTATTTTAGAATTAATAGGTATTCAAATTTCTCATTAAAATTTCAGGTTTAATTTCAAATATAGTAAATACTGATAGCTATAACATAAACAAAAGGCCTTTGGAGACCTTAGTAATTTTAATTTTTAATTATGACAAAGTATCAGAATTTACTATTTTAACTATTCGTAGATGTACAGTTTAGTAGGATTAAATATATTCATAATGTTGTATAGCCATCCATTTGCAGAACTAGACTTCCAGAACTAGAAAAATTCTAAATATTTCATGTAAGTAGAATTATATAATATTTGCCTTGATGTGTCTGGCTTATTTCACTTAGCATCATATTTTCAAGGCCCATCTACATTGTAGCATATATCAACATTTCATTCTTTTTATGGCTAAATAATACTTCATTATATGTATAGACCACCTTTTGTTTATCCATTTATCTCCTCTTTATTCCAAATTATGCTATAAGTAATTGAAAATGTAACTACTAATTATTGGTAATTTAAATAGAAGATTTATTGATTAAATAGTAAACCATATGGTATAGAGTCTACATATGGATAGAATGTGGATGATGAAGATCCTTTCCCATACCTTTTTTTCTATAATCCGGAGAATGAGATATTCAATCTGGTATTTGAAATTCTTAGTCATAATTGTGGTAACCTTTAGTCATCTAACTCTTTTATTTGTCCCTTGATGTTGAAAGTACTGGCTTTATAAAGGATAATTTTATTGAAAACATAAGCTTTGTTATTTTAAATAGTTAATAATTACCTACATTAAAGTTATTCTTTCTCTAATAAGGTTAAGTTACCATTTTATTTTTCAATTTTCTCTAAGGCTGTTTCAGTCCTGTCATCCTATTATCTTACCCTGTTACTTATATTGACCTAGAACAGGGGCTGGTACATAGTAGGTGCTTAATAAATATTTATTGAGTGAATGAGTGTTCTCAGATACACAGTTAAACAAACACTCTTTTTTTTGTTTTTTTTGAGATGGAGTCTCGCTCTGTCGCCCAGGCTGGAGTGCAGTGGCGCGATCTTGGCTCACTGCAAGCTGCACCTCCTGGGTTCATGCCTTTCTCCTGCCTCAGCCTCCCGAGTAGCTGGGACTACAGGCGCCCGCCACCATGCCGGGCTAATTTTTTGTATTTTTTGTAGAGGTGGGGTTTCACTGTGTTAGCCAGGAGGATGGTCTCGATCTCCTGACCTTGTGATACACCCACCTCTGCCTCCCAAAGTGCTGGGATTACAGGCGTGAGCCACCGCCCCTGGCCTACAAACGCTCTTTAATATTATTTTTGTAGATCATACATTAAAGTCATGTATTATTTGTAGGTTTTACTAGTTTAATTCTCATAAAGTACTATCATTTTCAGGTTTTTAAATTTTCTTTAACTTTGTTCCTGTTTATTAACAAAGATTGGGCTTTTTGCTTTAAAAACTTTTAACACTCAGGCTGGGCATGGTGGCTCATGCCTGTAATCCTAGCACTTTGGGAGGCTGAGGCAGGTGGATCACGAGGTCAGGAGTTTGAGACCAGCCTGGCCAACATAGTGAAACCCCGTCTCTTCTAAAAATACAAAAAATTAGCTGGGCGTGGTGGCGGGCGCCTGTAATCGCAGTCACCTGGGAGGCTGAGGCAGGATAATCACTTGAACCCGTGAGGTAGAGGTTGCAGTGAGCCGAGATCGCGCCACTGCCTTCCAGCCTGGGCGACAGAGCGAGACTCCGTCTCAAAAAATAAATAAGTAAATAAAAATAAATAAGTAAATAAACTTTTAACACTCAAAAGTTTTCAACACTATATTGCCATGTTTTTAACCTTTATTAAGCTATAGAGCCAGATTGTTAGCAAAGGCAGTTATTTCTTGGCTTCTGTGCTCATGAATCAGATCACAGCTATTTCTTTGACTTTGGCTTTGTGGTTTCTTGAACTATTTAAGTGATGTAAAAGATGAGTCTTGTTAGGCGTTTCCTTTCTTTTAAAAGTGTATTTCGTGTTTTATTGTAAACAGATTTTCTCCAAGGAAACTTTTCTCTCTAGTCTCACCTCATCATCTCCCTATAAAATAGAGATATATTAACTTCTACATTGTTTTATTATTAGGCTATTTGTTATACATATATATGTTGGTTTTTATTTTACTTACATTTTAAAAGTGTTCTCAGAGATTTTGAAGTAACTCCATTCTGACTCAGTCTTTTGCGGATTGCTGGAAATTTTCCTTTAGGTCACTCTCCACCCACTTTGGGAATTGTGAATGCTCACCATTTTATTGGTTCCCTCTGGCCACTGAGTACATGAGTAAATGTCACATGCATGTGGTATTGCTTGTCAGAGAATGGAATTCTAAGACTTCCTCTTTACACAGAACAGTTTAACTTTTGTGCTTCTGGGCAGAGGTATGGTCCTTGGGACAGTTCTCCTTCCACCTAATAGTTATGGCAGAGATCAGGACACTTCACTTTGCTGCCTGTGCACTGAGGCCTCAGAATCTGCTCTACCCGACTTAACAGGTATGGTTCAGAGTTGATAGTTTCAGGGAGGCTTGATAACCACATTAATCAAGTGTGAATGAAGATTTCAAAAAATTCATCTTATCTGCTACTGTTTTTGTCTTCATTCTTGGTCAGTGAAAGTTTGTGTGCTTTCTTGGGGGAATATCTCATAGTAGGATCTCAATAAATACTGAATGGAAGAATGTATGGATAATATGTAGTATTTTGTAATAATAAGATATAGATGGCTTGATGTGAAGAACTTAAGCTATATTGAAAACTGTTGAATAATTTACCTTACATAATTTTTAAAAGAAGTTATTAAAACTTATTAGCTTCTTAGAGAATATACAGTCAGATAAAGTAGAATTCTGGCAAGATAATGTTTATAAAATACTTGAAAATGCCTAAACTAAAAATTTGTAATATTAATTTCTCCTATTACTACCTGACAAATTTCTAATTAAACTGATAAAAGTTACTGAATGACTAACTGGTGAAAAGTATTTTTAATAAAATTAAACATGAAGCTTAGGAATTTTCTCAATTTCAGTTTTATTATTTTGGGTTTTAACTTTTTCAATCATGATAATTTACTTTGTACAAGTGGCTATTCTGTTTTGCTTTATTTTTGTTGTAGCCTGCAACTGTAGCAATAGAAAAAAAATGCCTTTTTTAAATTGTGATAATATATTTCTGTTATCTAGGTTCTTTACATGTGAGTGAAAATCAGTCTTCTCTTATCCCATCTTAAATCTCTGATCTACCTCTATAGCAGTGAATAATGGAAGATAAGTTAACTTGATATCTAAGTTACCTAATTTATAGTAGTCATTTCATTTTGTTCAAAAATAAACCATTCCCAGCCCACACACTTGCATTTGGGCGTATACAGTACATCTGAATCATCCAGACATGTCTGTCTTAACCAATGAGGAAAGTGACATAGACTATAGCTACTGGGTAACACTGACATTTACTTGCTCTTCCCACAGGCTTTTGTTTTCTTTTGTTTTTGCCTTTATCCCTTATCTTGTTCCCCCTCATTTAGTTCCCTTACTCTTTATGATTCAAAATATGTTCGTTCTTAGCTTCAGAAAAATGTTAGGGTGTTTTTCTCTTTGAAAAAGTTTTCCTTTTGTTTGGTGCTAATGGGTAGAATGGTGTTTAAGTGGATATCCTGTGCAGACAGATTGTGCAGGAAATTGACCCTAAGTTCTTTGAGAACAAAAGAGGAGTGGGAAGAAAGAAGAAAGGAAGGAAATAAGATCTTTTGACTCAACCAAAAAGACCGTAAAACCAGAGACGGGAAGAAGGGGAATGGGGAATAAGAAGGATTGTTTTCTAAGTTGTGGTTCTTTTAGTACTTTGGCCTCAAAAATTACTTTTATCCTATAGTTATTACTTTACATATTTCAGAAATATAATATTGTTTGGCCTGCATATATCTTCTAAATTTACATAAAATCGTGCTGTAGATCTCATTCTGTTTTCTCCTTTTGTCAGATAACACAACTTTCAGGAAGTTGACTTGTCTTTAAGAGTCCTCTTTTGGGTTCAGAGTTTCCCCTTATTATAAACATGTCCTTGCGTATTGACAGTCTGTCACTCTACTGTCATCAGTGCAGAATTCCTATTAATCTAATTTTTTTTTTTCTTAAAGACAGGGTTTTGTTCTATTGTCTAGATTGGAGTACAATGGTGTGATCTTGGCTCACTGCAGGCTCAACCTCCCAGGCTCAGACAATCCTACCTCAGCTTCCTGGGTAGCTGGGACTACAGTTGTGTGCCACTATGCCCAGCCAATACTTAATTTTTTTTTTTTTTTTTTTTTTGAGACAGAGTCTTGCTTTGTCACCCAAGTTGGAGTGCAGCAGTCTGATCTCAGTTCACTGCAACCTCTGCCTCCCGGGTTCAAGCAATTCTCCTGCCTCAGCCTCCCGAGTAGTTGGGATTACAGGCACCCGCCACCACACCCAGTCAGGGTTTTGCCATGTTGGCCAGACTGGTCTCGAACTCCTGACCTCAGGTGATCCACCTCGGCCTCCCAAAGTGCTGGGATTACAGACGCTAGCCACCACACCTGATGAAGTCTCATGATGTTGCCCAGGCTGGTCTTGAACTCCTGGCCTCAAGTGATCCTCCCGCCTTGGCTTCTCAAAGTGCTGAGATTATAGGCATGAGCTACTGTGCCTGGCCTGCGTTCATCCAGTTTAAATGTTTATCTAATTTTAAGTCTGAAACCTTGCCAGACTCTAGAGTTTTGTTTTATATTCTTTCCTCTCATAGCATCCTCTGTGAGTAAGGATGTATACATAGTTCATTCATTCAGCAAATCTTTTTTGAGAGCCTCTTATATGTAGACACTGTTCTGGAGTCACTGTTCAGTGAACAAAACAGACAACAATCCTGGTCCTCATAAAACTTACATTTTAGCAAGGAGACTTAGATACATGAATATAATAATAAATAAGTAAATTATACACTATGTTTGGTGGTAATAAGAGCTATGGAGATAAAATAAATCAGGAAAGGAGTCAGTGGGGGATGTGAGAGTGTTATCAAGAATAGATGTACTTTAAAATGGAATAATCAGAGAATGACATACTGAGAAGGTAACATTTGGTGAAATGTCATGGGGAAGAGTGTTTTAGGCAAAAGGAAAAGCCAGCGCAAAGGTCCTGAGGCAGAAGTGTGCCTGCTTTGTTCAAGCAATAGCATTGATGTCAGTGGCCAGAATAAGGTAGAGGAATAGCAGCAGGAGATGCTGGGCAAGACCAATTGTGAAGGACCTTGCAGGGCCTTTAAGGATTTTAGCTTTTACTCTAAAATGGGGAACCTTTGAAGAGTCTTGAACAGAGGAGTAGCAATCTGACTTATGCTCTGAAAGATGGCTGGTATGTTGAGAATAAACAGTAGGGAACAAGCACGGAAGCATGGAAATCAGGAGTCTAGTGAAATAGTCTACATCAGTGGTCCCAACCTTTTTGGCACCAGGGACCAGTTTCATGGAAGTCAATTTTTTCACAGACTGGGTGGGGAGCGGTGGTTTCACATGAAACTGTTCCACCTCAGATCATCAGGCATTAGATTATCATAAGGAGCATTCAACCTAGATCCCTTGCTTGAGCAGTTCACAGTAGGTTTCAGCTCCTGTGAGAATCAAATGCCTCCACTAATCTGACGGGAGGTGGAGCTCAAGCGGTAATGCTCGCTGGCCCGCTGCTCACCTGCTGCTGTGTGGCCCAGTTCCTAACAGGCCACAGACCTGTCTGTGGCCCAGGGGTTGGGGTCCCCTTACCTAGATGATGGTGGTCATGAAGTGGTACTGAATGAGAAGTGGTTAGATTCTGGATATATTTTTGAAGGCAGTGCCAATGGAATTTCTGAGTGAATTGGATGTTGTTTGTGAGAGCAAGAAGGGAGCTGTGTCCGGAATTGGTGGGTTCTTGGTCTCACTGACTTCAAGAATGAAGCCGCAGACCCTCGCGGTGAGTGCTACAGCTCTTAAGGTGGCGTGTCTGGAGTTTGTTCCTTCTGATGTTCAGATGTGTTCGGAGTTTCTTCCTTCTGGTGAGTTCGTGGTCTCGCTGGCTCAGGAGTGAAGCTGCAGACCTTTGCAGTGAGTGTTACAGCTCTTAAGGTAGCGCGTTTGGAGTTGTTCGTTCCTCCCGGTGGGCTCGTGGTCTTGCTGGCTTCAGGAGTGAAGCTGCAGATCTTTGCGGTGAGTGTTACGGCTCATAAAAGCAGTGTGGACCCAAAGAGTGAGCAGTAGCAAGATTTATTGCAAAGAGCGAAAGAACAAAGCTTCCACAGTGTGGAAGGGGACCCGAGTGGGTTGCCACTGCTGGGTGGGTGGCCTGCCCCGCGGGAAGGCAGCTAAGGCCCAGCGAGAAATTGAGCGCAGCACCGGTGGGCTGGCACTGCTGGGGGACCCAGTAGATCCTCCACAGCCGCTGGCCCAGGTGCTAAGTCCCTCATTGCCCGGGGCTGACAGGGCTGGCTGGCTGCTCCGAGTGTGAGTGCGGGGCCCGCCAAGCCCACGCCCACCCGGAACTCCAGCTGGCCCGCAAGCGCGGCAGGCAGCCCCGGTTCCTGCTGGCGCCTCTCCCTCCACACCTCCCTGCAAGCTTGAGGGAGTGGGCTCCGGCCTTGGCCAGCCCAGAAAGGGGCTCCCACAGTGCAGCGGTGCGCTGAAGGGCTCCTCAAGTGCCACCAAAGTGGGAGCCCAGGCAGAGGAGGCACCGAGAGCGAGCGAGGGCTGTGAGGACTGCCAGCACACTGTCACCTCTCAGAGCCATGAAGGATTCCATGGTTTTTGGCCTCAACATTTGAAAAGATGGAATTGCCATTAACTGAAATGGGGAATTCAGTGAGAGAAACAAATTTGGAGGGAAGGATGGATGATAGTTTTGCATATTGAGTCCCAATGGTGTTATTAGTGATTTCTCATCTTTATATTCTGAAGCCCAGCACAGTGCCTTGCATGTGGTATTCACTCAAATTACTAGGGATTTCTTTTTCCCCAATAAACATTTAAAATAATTAAACAGGCTGGGCGCGGTGGCTCGTGCTTGTAATCGCAGTACTTTGGGAGGCCAAGGCAGGTGGATCGCTTGAGCTCAGGAGTTTGAGACCAGCCTGGACAACACGGCAAGACCTTGTCTCAATAATAATAATTAAACAATATCTGACAGCCACTGGAAAACTCTCCTAAACTGGCAGCATTTTGGAGCTTGAAAAGATCCCTGGGTCATTCTCTGGAGCTGTAATCAAAGTAACTGAGTTATCAGCATGATTAATATCCAGGCAGGGGGCAGGTTTCATAGTGAGGTTTAATGCTGTGTGCTTAAAACACCCCAGCTGTTTTCAGAAATACAAGAAATCTTAAGTTGCACTGTAGATTCCCTGAGCGTCCATCCTGAGAGCTTGGGCTGTTGCAGATGCAGCAGGCGCTGACATGGGAGGAGCTGGCACCACCTGACAGCAGAGGGGTTCATGGAGGCATCAGTTTAATCAATCATCCTTCTTAAACTTGCTGTGGATGTAAGGCACCCGGTCCAGAATTGGCCTCCAGTCAGTGGCCCACAGCAGCTCCACAGTGCCCGTGGCGCCCCTTATGTCCACTGTGGAAATCCAGTTCTTGGCCAGCTCCTGATTGTGTGAGCCCAGGAAGCTGCTCAATATTGCATCACTGTCCTCACCCTCAGGGTGATCAAATTACTGTTTTGTAAACTTTAAAATTTAATATACTGAGTTTCACAAAGTAAGGTATAACTATATGACATTTGCTGGTTTTGTCCTGATAGGGGTTAAGAGTTGGCTTCTGCTTATTACTATTTCTAACTTGGTTGTTGATAGTACCAAAGTTCTTTTTACTGTTGAGTTTTTCTCTTATAATTTCAAACAAGGGGAACTTTTCCTGTACTACGAATAATTAAATAAACTGATAATCATTAAACAGAGTATTTATAAACATTGTAATGTGTTACCAGTGTCACTGGCAAAAATATATATATATATTTATAAGTGTGGATTATGTAGTGTTCAGTAATGGGTGCTAATAAATATGGATATTTTCTGTACTTTTTTTGGCATTTTTTTCATTTTAATAAAGGATTGGCATTTTGTAGCCAGTGGAAATTCTGCTAGAGTAGATAATTTTTGCATTAGAATAAAGACAAATACGATATATGAAACCGGTTTGAAGAATGTTTTTTACAATATGGATTTTTGTTGATTTGGTCATCCCAAATTGGCTATCTTGGTATAGAATACAGCTGTTCCCATTCACCATAATTCTGCATTTAAATAAGGAACAACATAACTACTTTAACTTTCCATGATATCAGAACTTTTTTTAAGTTTATCATAATGTAAAACAAAATTGAATTAACTGGAATTTTAAATATATATTCTTTTTGAGAGAAGGGAATATGAAACTCTGAAACTGGAGAATTACAGAGCCAACCTACAACAGGAATTTCTGTGTGTATATCATGTAGAAGTTATGAAGCCTTTTTTTTTTTTTTTTGAGACAGGGTCTCACTCTGTTGTCACCCAGGCTGGAGCACAGCGGCGATCTTGGCTCACTGCAACCTCCACCTCCCAGACTCAAGCAATTCTCGTGCCTCAGCCTCCGAAGTAGCTGGGATTATAGGCATGTGCCACCATGCCTGGCTAATTTTTGTATTTTTATTTTTATTTTTATTTATTTATTTATTTATTTATTTATTTATTTTTTATTGATCATTCTTGGGTGTTTCTCGCAGAGGGGGATTTGGCAGGGTCACAGGACAATAGTGGAGGGAAGGTCAGCAGATAAACAAGTGAACAAAGGTCTCTGGTTTTCCTAGGCAGAGGACCCTGCGGCCTTCCGCAGTGTTTGTGTCCCTGGGTACTTGAGATTAGGGAGTGGTGATGACTCTTAAGGAGCATGCTGCCTTCAAGCATCTGTTTAACAAAGCACATCTTGCACCGCCCTTAATCCATTCAACCCTGAGTGGATGCAGCACATGTTTCAGGGAGCACAGGGTTGGGGGTAAGGTCACCGATCAACAGGATCCCAAGGCAGAAGAATTTTTCTTAGTACAGAACAAAATGAAAAGTCTCCCATGTCTACCTCTTTCTACACAGACACGGCAACCATCCGATTTCTCAATCTTTTCCCCACCTTTCCCCCCTTTCTATTCCACAAAACCGCCATTGTCATCATGGCCCATTCTCAATGAGCTGTTGGGTACACCTCCCAGACGGGGTGGTGGCCGGGCAGAGGGGCTCCTCACTTCCCAGTAGGGGCAGCCGGGCAGAGGCGCCCCTCACCTCCCGGACGGGGTGGCTGGCCGGACGGGGGGCTGACCCCCCCCACCTCCCTCCTGGACGGGGCGGCTGGCCGGGCAGAGGGGCTCCTCACTTCCCAGTAGGGGCGGCCGGGCAGAGGTGCCCGTCACCTCCTGGACGGGGCGGCTGGCCGGATGGGGGGCTGACCCCCCCCACCTCCCTCCTGGACGGGGCGGCTGGCCGGGCAGAGGGGCTCCTCACTTCCCAGTAGGGGCGGCCGGGCAGAGGCGCCCCCTCACCTCCTGGACGGGGCGGCTGGCCAGGCTGGGGGCTGACCCCCCCACCTCCCTCCCTCCCGGACGGGGCGGCTGGCCGGGCGGGGGGCTGACCCCCCCACCTCCCTCCCGGACGGGGCAGCTGGCCGGGCAGAGGGGCTCCTCACTTCCCAGTAGGGGCGGCCGGGCAGAGGCACCCCTCACCTCCCGGATGGGGCGGCTGGCCAGGCGGGGGGCTGACCCCCTCACCTCCCTCCCGGATGGGGCGGCTGGCCGGGTGGGGGGCTGACCCCCCCACCTCCCTCCCGGACGAGGTGGCTGCCAGGAGGAGACGCTCCTCACTTCCCAGACGGGGTGGCTGCTGGGCGGAGGGGCTCCTCACTTCTCAGACGGGGCGGCTGCCGGGCGGAGGGGCTCCTCACTTCTCAGACGGGGCGGTTGCCAGGCGGAGGGTCTCCTCACTTCTCAGACGGGGCGGCCGGGCAGAGACGCTTCTCACATCCCGGACGGGGTGGCAGGGCAGAGGTGCTCCCCACATCTCAGACAATGGGCGGCCGGGCAGAGACGCTCCTCACTTCCCAGATGTGATGGCGGCCGGGAAGAGGCGCTCCTCACTTCCTAGATGGGATGGCGGCCCGGGCAGAGATGCTCCTCACTTTCCAGACTGGGCAGCCAGGCAGAGGGGCTCCTCACATCCCAGACGATGGGCGGCCAGGCGGAGATGCTCCTCACTTCCCAGACGGGGTGGCGGCCGGGCAGAGGCTGCAATCTCGGCACTTTGGGAGGCCAAGGCAGGCTGCTGGGAGGTGGAGGTTGTAGTGAGCCGAGATCACGCCACTGCACTCCAGCCTGGGCACCATTGAGCACTGAGTGAACGAGACTCCGTCTGCAATCCCGGCACCTCGGGAGGCCGAGGCTGGCGGATCACTCGCGGTTAGGAGCTGGAGACCAGCGCGGCCAACACAGCGAAACCCCGTCTCCACCAAAAAAATACGAAAACCAGTCAGGCGTGGCGGTGCGCGCCTGCACTCGCAGGCACTCAGCAAGCTGAGGCAGGAGAATCAGGCAGGGAGGTTGCAGTGAGCCGAGATGGCAGCAGTACCGTCCAGCTTCAGCTCGGCATCAGAGGGAGACCGTGGAAAGAGGGAGAGGGCGACCGTGGAGAGGGAGAGGGAGAGGGAGAGGCTGAGGCTGCAATTTTCACCTATGCTGGTTTATGACCTAGTTAGAGAAGACATCATAGGGCATTATTTAGGTAATAAAATACAGAGAGAAAAGAGCCACTGGCATTTCTAAATAACGTTCCTGTGTTTCCTACTGTAAGTATAGGAAAGTAGGTGTTCGCAGATGCAGAGAAAGGGCATCTCCAAGGCCTCGGAGGAAACTTTTGATTTTATAAATAACTTGATGGTGGAAGGCAAACGCCATCCCGGTTCCCAAGCAGGCTCCACGCAGCCTCCACGCAGCCTCCATGGCCGAGTCCATCTCCTCGCCCAATTTTTGTATTTTTAATAGAGATGGGGTTTTTCACTATGTTGATCAGGCTGGTCTCAAACTTCTGACCTCAGGTGATCCACCTGCCCAGTCTCCCAAAGTGCTGGGATTACAGGCCTGAGCCACCGTGCCTGGCTGAAGCCAATTTTTAAATACTGTTTAATGTGATTTTAAAATTAAGATACATGTTGTTTCCTGTCACTTATATGTTTGTGTAATTTGGGCATTTGTTTAGCTAACAGTTATTAAACACATACTATGTAACTTTTGGTAGGAGAAGAATACCATTCCAGATACAAGGAACATGTTATGATGTTTGGGGAACAAACATACGTAGAATGTATTATTAATATAGAGATAAAGATAGAGTATTAATGCAGCAACTGTGATGCTTTTGAGAGTACAGATGGGAGGTGCAGTAGCCCCCATTATCCAGTTTTGCTTTATACAGTTTCAGTTACTGGCACTCCACCCCAGTCAGAAAGTATTAAGATATTTTGAGGGAAAAAGAGAGATACCACATTCACATAAATTTTATTACAATATATTGTTATAATTGTTCATTGTATTATTGTTAATCTCTTTCTGAGCCTAATTTATAAATTAAATTGTATCATGGTTATGTATGTGTAGGAAAAACGTAGTATATAGTGGATTTGGTACTATCCTGATTGATTTTAAGCATCCACTGGGGGTCTTGGAACATATTCCTCATGGATAAGGGGGACTACTATATATTGGAGCTGAGTATTACAAGTAGAAATCAGCCAGTCAAAAGAAAAGTGGGGTGAGAACCCATTCCAGTTAGTCTGGACTGTGTGAACCAAGGCCAGAAGATGGGAAGCAGCATGGTGTATATTAAAGTTTACAATTTGAGGTATGGAGTAGGGAGAGGCGAAGCTGGAGAAGTAGGTAGAGACCTGATCATGAAAGGCCTTTGAATGCCATGAAAAGGAGACTTTAGCTTGATGTTAAACTATTGAAGAAGCTTAAGAAAAGTGACGTGGTCAATTTTTTTCTTAAATAGATCACTTTGCCAGCTGTGTGGAGGATGGATTTGAGGGAGACAAGACTGGAGGCAGTAGTCCAGGTGAGAGATGTTGAGATGTTGCAGATTTGAACTAAGGCATTGGCAGTAGAGATGGAGAACAGGGAATGGATTTGAAAATAAATGGAACCACAAATTCAAGGGTTTTTCCTTTCATATATGATAAAACTATTTTTATATTAAAAATAAGTTGGCCTGGCTGGGTGTGGTGGCTCACGTTTGTAATCCCAGCACTTTGGGAGGCCAAGGCGGGCAGATCACAAGGTCAGGAGTTCAAGACCAGCCTGGCCAACATGGTGAAACTTCGTCTCTACTGAAAATACAAAATTTAGCTGGGCTTGGTGGCGTGCACCTGTAATCCCACCTACTCGGGAGGCTGAGGCAGTAGAATTGCTTGAACCTAGGACGTGAAGGTTGCAGTGAGCAGAGATTGTGCCACTGCACTCCAGCCTGGGCAACAAAACAAGACTCCATCTCGGTGGTGGGAGAGGGGTGCGGACGGGGAATAAGTCAGCCGGGTGTGGTGGCTCACGCCTGTAATCCCAGCACTTTGGGAGGCTGAGGCGGGTGGATCACCTGAGGTCAGGAGTTCAAGACCAACCTGGCCAACATGGTAAAATCCTGTCTCTACTAAAAATACAGAAAAATTAGCTGGGTATGGTGGCAGGCGCCTGTAATCCCAGCTACTTGGGAGGCTGAGGCAGGAGAATCACGCTTGAACTCGGGAGGCAGAGGTTTCAGTAAGCCGAGATCACGCCATTGCACTCCAGCCTGGGCAACAAGAGCGAAACTCCATCTCAAAATAATAATGATAATAATAATAATAATCATAATAATCATAAGTGGAGGAAGAGAGACATAAAAGTGTTGTTATATGACATAGACATTTGGATAGTTTGCCTTTGTAGACAGGCACTAAAAATAGTCTGATCAAGAAAATTGATACTGGAAAAACTGTTTTTTGTATAATCGATCTGGGCTGTGAGAAGCAGGTGATCTTTAAGATGGTATAGGGATCACCTGTGCTATGTACTATGAATAAATTTAGAAACTGTAAAGGCTTAAGGAAAAAACAGGTCGTAAAAGGCTTGGACCACTTTGAGTAGAAACTCAATAAATGCCCGATGATAGTAATGTTTTCTAGGCTCTTCAATTAAGTTATTGATATTTACAAAAAATCACTGCTCAGGAAAACAAAATAGAGTTTAAAAGTCATTCAGGCCGGGTGCGGCCACATTTCTTTTGTTTTTTTAAAACGAAAAAAAGATTATTTTTTGCCATGTTGGCCAAAAAAAGATATTTTTCTAAAAGCACTTTTTAAATAATTTTTTCTATACTTAAATAGAGGGCCTGGATTTATACAGTATTACCTAATTCTGAAAAATAATCCCTGTTGTCTTTTCTACAGTTTGTTTTCTGTGGAGAGAGAAAGGAATAAGGGTAGTTTGAGTGGACTTGTAAGAAACTTACAATCATTTCTTCCTTAAAACTACAACCACTACTACAACAAAATATCCTCTATGTTTTATAAAGCTAGTAACCATTTCTCTTTGAGATTCTTTTTTCCATTTTGAGAAAACTGCGTTTCCTATTAGTTTATGTCTGATTTTGGTGAGTGCATATAAATCACGGCTAAACTCTCATTTTGTGGTCTTTTCTCTGACTACCTTGTTTTACATTTTCAACAAGTAAATTGCTTCCTCATGCTTAGGAGACACAGTGCCTATTTGCTAATTCTTCATAACACTTTATACTGTACAGTTCTTTCCTACTCTGGAGCCAGCAGCTGAAATACTGTGTATATAATGAATTCAAACAAATGTTTCGCTGTTGAACTCACCGTGAATTCCCTTCCCTTCTTATGTCTTTCAGAAGCTTTGCATCGTCCCTATGGTTGTGATGTTGAACCCCAGGCACTAAATGAGGCTATCAGGTGGAGCTCCAAGGAGAACTTGCTCGGAGCCACTGAGAGTGACCCTAATCTCTTCGTTGCACTTTATGATTTTGTAGCAAGTGGTGATAACACACTCAGCATCACTAAAGGTGAGGCTTCTATGTAGCATCCTTTCACTTTTCAGTTTTCATTAATGATTAAGAGATAAAGGGGCCTGGCCAGGCACAGTGGCTCACACCTATAATCTCAGCACTTTGGGAGGCCAAGGCGGGCAGGTCACCTGAGGTCAGGAGTTTGAGACCAACCTGGCCAACATGGTGAAACCCTGTCTCTAATAAAAATATGAAAAAAATTAGTCAGGCGTGGTAGCCCATGCCTGTAGTCCCAGCTACTCAGGAGGCTGAGGCATGAGAATCACTTGAACTCGGGAGGCAGAGGTTGCAGTGAGCTGAGATCACACCACTGCACTCCAGCCTGGGTGACAGAGTGAGACTCCATCTCAAAAAAGAAAAAAAAAAAAAAATTATCCTGAAATACATTTTTTTCCCCGGCAGTGGCTTTCATATGTTCAAAAGGTAAGAATAAGCTTAGGCAGACTAGCAATCCAGTTCATGTACACAAGGATAATCTCCCCATAATCCTATTTCTTTCTCATAAAAGTTACTTTTTTTTGCCTTTGCATGCGTGTGTGCGTACACACACACACACACACACACACACACACACACACACAAAATCAATAATGATTGATTTTATTTGGTCATGTTCTTAATGTTCCCTTTTATAAGAATTTCCCACGGAAATAAACTACCACTCTCTTGAGAATATTACTATAATGGAAATCAAATAAACCTTTCCTACCATTCCTTTCACTAATCTATATAAACACAAACAATAGACATTTATGTTGTCTAGGCCAGTGCTACTCAAAAATGGTCCACAACAAGGTAAGATGCTTATGCCAGAATGTGAAACACTGAACTACTATCTTCATGCAGAAAGCCTTGCTCCAAAAGGTAAAACTATTAGCTGAACTAAGTAATAAATAGTGTGCTTAGTGATATAGTTGGTTTACATTTAGTTGAAGTTCTTAATCTCACTGTGGACTAGTAATGAATGAACAGTCCTCAGATAGGCAGTCAAGTTCGCAGACATTCTGAGTAGCAGTGAGGTCTGGCAACATGGCTCATCTTAGCCACAGTTCAATTAGAATAGGTGTGACCAGGCACAGTGGCTCACGCCTGTAATCTAGCACTTTGGGAAGCCGAGGCTGGTGGATTGTCTGAGCTCAGGAGTTTGAGACCAGCCTGGGCAACACGGTGAAACCCCATCTCTACTAAAATACAAAAGACATTAGCCGTGTGTAGCGGCATGTGCCTGTAGTCCTAGCTACTCAGGAGGCTGAGGCAGGATAATTGCTTGAACTTGGGACGGGGAGGTTGCATTGAGCTGAGATGGTGCCACTGCACCCCAGCCTGGGCGACAGAGTGAGATGCCGTCTCTTAAAAAAACAAAAACAAAAGAATAGGTGTATAGTGAGTCTAACCTTCATGGTAGTTGCATGTGCTGGCCAATTGTACATAGGACAGAATTAAAAGTGAAAGTAAAAGTGCATCATCTCCTAGTGTCAGTTTTACTTCCTGCTTTTGGATAGTTTTGGGGACAGGATGATACATGTTATGTATGTGGGGGTTGTGTTTATGCAGTTGTAGGAACATTTTACGTAAAATTTGAGGATAGAACAAAAGACATCAAAGAATTTTTTTTTTTTTTTTTTTGAGACAGAGTCTCGCTCTGTCACCCAGGCTGGAGTGCAGTGGCACAGTCTCGGCTCACTGCAAGCTGTGCCTCCTGGGTTCAAGCGATTCTGCTGCCTCAGCCTCCTGAGTAGCTGGGATTACAGGCACGCACCACCACGCCGTGTTAATTTTTGTATTTTTAGTAGAGACAGGGTTTCACCCATGTTGGTCAGGATGGCCTCGAACTCCTGACCTGTGATCCACCTGCTTCAGCCTCCCAAAGTGCTGGGGTTACAGGCGTGAGCCACCACGCCCAGCCAGAAAGTTTATATTGTGTAGTAGTCTCTTTGGACTACAATATACTTGATTTTACCTTTATTGATTCTTCACTGGAGAAATTTGTGAAGTGATGACTCAGAAATTCTTTCATAGGTATGTTTTCCTGTTGTTTTTTCAAGATAGCCCAGTCATCAAGGAAACATTGATAAAGAAAGACTGTTGATTCCTCACTTATGGGTTATGACTGGCCTTTATCTTATGACCAACAGTGGTTTCTCTTAAAATCCACAGAATGCCAAATTTTTATATCAGGTTCTCACTAATTTAAAATGATGTCATACTAAAGCTATTTTATTATTTTAAAAGACAAGAAAATATATTTAAAAAATAAAGCAACACTTTAGTTTTTGATTGAAAATGATATTTTGCTTGAATTTTTTTTTTTTAAAGTTCTACCAGCCAAGCGCAGTGGCTCATCCCTGTATTCTCAGCACTTTGGGAGGTTGAGGCAGGAGGATTGCGTGAGCCTAGGAGTTCAAAACCAGCCTAGGCAATGTAGTGAGACCCCTGTCTCTACAAAAAATTTAAAAATTAGCCAGGGGCAGTGGCATGCACCTGTAGACCCAGGTACTTGGGGGGCTGAGGTCTGAGGATCACTTGAGCCTGAGAAGTTGAGGTTACAGTGAGCTGTGTTTGCACCGCTGCACTGCCGCGTGGCGACAGAGGGAGACCTGTTTCAAAACAAACAAAAAAGTTCTCCCTAGGGTTGCTCTGCCAGTTTGGCCAATATTTGAATCCATACTAGTCATCCCCCTATCAGTTTCCATGGTAGTCAAAACTTCCAGGGTAGAAAAATTTTCCTGATAACTGACAAAAAAAGAACAACAAACAAAAAATCCTGGGGTCTTTGACTGTATCTTAATTATGATAGCCTGTTATTACCAATTCTTTTCAAGGAAGCAACAATATTAAAAAATGTATATATAGATATATATACAAAGTACTAATATTCTTTATTTTTAGCTCATGTGGACTAACAGAGAAAAGCTACAGAGCAACAGGTTTTCTTCAGTTTTTCTAGCAGGATTCTTTTTTTTTTCTTCCTGTAAATATGATTGGCAAGTATTTGTGCACTTATGCATATCCACCGCTACACCAGACTTACTCTTATCTGTATATATGTATATTTTATGTACCCATAGGTGTATATATGTACATATACTCTTGTGTTTTTTCTCATTATCTCATATCCATGTGTCTAAGGTGAGATGGTGTCTGATACAAAGTTATTCTATGGAAACGTTTCTGAAGGCCACTAAAAAAGGACAGATGGTTACAAGGATAATTATTTTTAGTTCTCCTAAAAACTTTTGCCTGATACTTCTGGCCATGTGCTTTTTTTTTTTTTTTTAGCAGTCTCACTCTGTCTCCCAGGCTGGAGTACAGTGGTGCAATCTCGGCTCACTGCAACCTCAGCCTCCCGGGTTCAAGCAATTCTCCTGCCTCAGCCTCCCGAGTAGCTGGGATTACAGGCATGCAGACTATCACACCCGGCTAATTTTTTGTATTTTTGGTAGAGATGAGGTTTCACCATGTTGGCCAGGCTGGTTTTGAACTCCTGACCTTAGGTGATCCGCCCCTCTCAGCCTCCCAAAGTGCTGGGATTACAGGCATGAGACACCACGCTCAGCCATGGCCATGTGCTTTTGATTGACTTGGCTTCCTTCTACTTTTTGACACTGAAGAAGTAGATGTGAATGCTGTAGGAAGACTTGCATCTCTTAGAGATAAGAGCCTGAGGCACTACAAGGATTCTTTAGATTAGCATTTATTTATCACTAGTGATATCTCTTTCACTTTTTCTGTTTTGTCAAAGAAACCTAATTTGTGCTGCAAGTATCGGGGCAAGTTATATGTTGAAGTCTGAACTTGATGTTCACAATTTTAATAGAAAAATTAAGAACATTGAAGTTGACAGCAAAGATACACTGAGTGACTTGGGTTTTGGTTTCCAACTTCAGAGTGAGCTTGCCATTCCACACACTGATTTTAATGTGGAATGGAAAGGAGTGATTCATTCTTTGTGGGAACTAGGAAGGAAATAAGAAAGCTATAGCTATTTTTAAACTTGCATTCTGGAAGGGATTGTGTTTTGGGAGTCCTAACTGCCCATTCCCCTCACCCCACTAAACAGTTTTCTTGCTGAAAACTCTGTGGTCCGTGTTTTTTTTTGTTTGTTCATTTTTTGTTTTTGTTTTTGTTTTTTTACATCAGTGGTTTTGTTGCCTTGGTGCCAAGTGAAATTTAGAAGTCACTTTGTATCTCACATGTCTTATCCCTAATCCTTGATTGTTGTTAACATTGAATCATATATAAGATACATTCCTTGATAAACTTTTGAGGGAAAGTGAATTTTCTTCTTTTGAAGAGTGAGCACTGTGTCCTTTTCCAGCCATTTTAGTAACCTGTCTGGCATACATAGAATTTCTTAAGGATATTTTTTAAGTTGTATATAGACTTTTAAAACCCTGTAGTAAATGCCAGAAAACCATTTGTGACCATACTTCTGTGGTTAAGCTAAAAGCTAAAGAGAGCAATCAGGATATGATGAACAGCCAAGTTTGTTTTCATTATTTAAAAAAAAAATTTGGCATAAAAGTTCTAGATTCTTTTTTTTTTTTAATGAGTTTAAAGTTTGACAGTACACTGCTTCAGTTGAAATAAAGTCTTAACATCGTTTCTTTCATCCTGTGATGACCTTATGGCTAGGTGAAAAGCTACGAGTCCTTGGTTACAACCAGAATGGTGAGTGGAGTGAAGTTCGCTCTAAGAATGGGCAGGGCTGGGTGCCAAGCAACTACATCACCCCAGTGAACAGCCTGGAAAAACACTCCTGGTACCATGGACCTGTGTCACGCAGTGCAGCTGAGTATCTGCTCAGCAGTCTAATCAATGGCAGCTTCCTGGTGCGAGAAAGTGAGAGTAGCCCTGGGCAGCTGTCCATCTCGCTCAGGTACGAGGGACGTGTGTATCACTACAGGATCAATACCACTGCAGATGGCAAGGTAAGACTCCCTGGTCACCACCTTTAAGCATGGACTGGCTACTCTGTGAAATAATATTCAACGTGATTGAAGTGAAATAATAGATTTTATGTCTGACGTGAAATAAAATATTCACTAGCTTTGTGAGTTTGGGCTTTTTGGCATGTTAGAGCTTGTACTCTTGAAAAGGATATGGTAATAGAAATTTTTAAAAACAGTATTATATTAATATTTTAAAGATAAGCTAGATTTGAAGGTGAAGAATGAAGGGAACTGCTCTATAAGTTAGCTGTTCTTATAATCAGTACACAAATATACACCCAGTGCACTGGTATAGAGTTTATCAGTTAACATTGTATCATTGAAAATTAGAATAATATCTACCAGAAAGTTCACAGAGTAAGAATTTAGACTTTTGAGCTTGGTGTCGATCATTAATGTATATTAACTGAAACGGATCATTCAGTCATTGAACAGTTTGTATATTGGGAACACCAACCATGTTAGTTAGAATGGATGTGTTACAGTGTGTTTACACATTATAAACTACAGAGCATGAGCTTATGTCCGTTGGTTATCTGTTGAGCAGTAAATTTAGGTTGAATTATTTCTTCTATTCTCCTCTATGTGATAGGCAAGCTGTGGGGGAAGCACAGGCTTTGGAGCAAGCAGATCTGATTGTGACCTTACATAAGTCTCAATTTCCCTGTCTGTAATTAGATCCCACTTTATTGGGTTGTTGTAAGGATTAAATGAAGTAATTTCTGTAAAACATAATGACTGATACAAAGTAGAAAATAAGTAAATTTTTAATTTTCTTTCACTTTTGCACCAGCATACAGACATAGTATGTTTCCTCTTGACCAAACAGAACAGAATCAGATGTGTAATAATATAAGAGTGACTTAGCAGTTCTAGTTATTTACCTAATAGAAATGAGTGCATATGTGTGCCAGAAGACATGTATAGGAATGTTCATAGCAGCATTGCTTGTGATAGCCAAAAACTAGAAACACCCACAGATCTAACAACAGTAGAATGGATTAATAAATTGTGGTATATTCATAAAATGCAATTTCATTCAACAACAGAAGCGAACACAGTACTGCTACACACACCACCACCAGGTAAAACTATGGCCCTCCAGCCGTCTGCTTTTTTTTGTAAATAATATTTTATTAGAATACAGCCACACCCATTTGTTCATGTATTGTCTATGGTTTCTATTACTAGGCAGTGCTGAGTAGTTCACAGTTCTGACACACTATGGCCACAGCCTAAAATATTTATTATCTGGCCCTTATGAAGAGTTTGCTGGCCCCTACTCTAGATGAGTGTTAGCTGACTCAACAACTTCAGCAAAGTTGAAGGATTAGTATTAGCCAGGGGATGAGGATGTGGGGAGTGGGAAGGACTCCTAATAGATATGAGGTAATGAGAATGTTCTAGAGTTAGATAGTCATGATGGTTGGACAACTTTGAGAATATGCTAAAAACCATGAAATGGTATACCTTAAAATGATGAATTTTATGGTATCTGAAATATAATGCAATTTTTAAAAGTTGGGTGGAAAAAAGCAGACATAAAACAATACATATTGTGTGATTCTGTTTGTGTATAGTTCAGAAGCAGAGGCCAGGCATGGTGGCTCACACCCGTAATCCCAGCACTTTGGGAGGCCGAGGTGGGCCTCATCACTGGAGGTCAGGATGTCAGCCCCACAAACATGGTGAAACCCTGTCTCTACTACAAATACAAAAATTGGCCTGGCATGGTGGCACGCGACTGTAATCCCAGTTACTCAGGAGGCTGAGGCAGGAGAATTGGTTGAACCTGGGAGGTGGAGGTTGTAGTGAGCCAAGATCGTGCCACTGCACTCCAGCCTGGGCAACAGAGCGAGACTCTGTCTCAAAAAAAAAAAAAAAAAAAAAAGCAGAAGCTAATCTAAGATGTTAGAAGTCAGCATAGTGGCTATCTCTGCAAGGGCAAATAGCTGGAGAGCATAAGGGAGGCTTCTGGGGTGCTGATCATGTTATAATTCTTGGTGTGGGTGATGTTTACATGGGTGAGTTTACTTTGTAAAAATTATCAATTTTCTGTTTATGAATTGATACTTTATACACTAAAACAAAAGCTTCTTTTTTTTTTTTTCTTTTGAGATGGAGTCTTGCTGTGTCGCCCCGGCTGGAGTGCAGTGGCGCGATCTCGGCTTACTGCAAGTTCCGCCTCCCAGGTTCACGCCGTTCTCCTGCCTCAGCCTCCTCAATAGCTGGGACTACAGGCGCCCACCACCACGCCCGGCTAATTTTTTGTATTTTTAGTAGAGACGGTGTTTCACCATGATAGCCAGGATGGTCTCGATCTCCTGACCTCGTGATCCACCCGCCTTGGCCTCCCAAAGTGCTGGGATTACAGGCGTGAGCCACTGCGCCCGACCAAAAGCGTCTTTAAAAAAAATAAATAACAGGCTAGGCATGGTGGCCTATGCCTGTAATCCCAACACTTGGGGAGGCCAAGGAGGGTAGATCACTTGAGCCCAGGAGTTCAAGACCAGCTTGAGGAATATAGTGAAACCTCATCTCTACAAAAAATTTTAAAAATTAGCTGGGCATGGTGGCATATGTCTGTGGTCCTAGCTACTCGGGAAGCTGAGGCAGGAGGATCACCTGAACCTGGGAGGTCAAGGCTGCAGTGAGTCATGATTGTGTCACTGCACTCCAGGCCGGGCAACCGAGTGAGACCCTTATTTCTCAAAAATACATAAAAATTAAGGCTCCCTTGGGAGAGAAGTCCAGAGAATTCCCTCTTACTTTACATTTCTTATTGCTTAGCAAATTAACAACTATTTTGTAAGCAATTCTGTGAAATCCAGTGTGGCTCTTTTCTTTTTTTTAGATGGAGTCTTGCTCTGTCACCCACTCTAGAATGCAGTGGCGTGATCTCAGCTCACTGCAACCTCCACCTCCCAGGTTCAAGCAATCCTCCCACCTCAGCCTCCCAAGTAGCTGGGACTGCAGGCACGCACCACCAAGCCTGGCTAATTTTTGTATTTTTAGTAGAGAGGAGGTTTCACCATGATGGCCAAGCTGGTCTCAACTCTTGACCTCAAGTGACCTGCCCACCTCAGCCTCCCAAAGTGCTGGGATTGCAGGTGTGAGCCACTGCTCCTGGCCACCGGTAAATTGTGGCTCTTTCTTTAATGGCCTAGACACTCAACTGCACGTCATAATTAAAATTATGAGATATTTGAATACTCTTACCAAAAAAATCTAAATCAGTGGTTTTCAAGTTATGTTTTTTACAAGATTAAGGTGATATTTTGTAAATTTCTACAAGAGGCCAAGTCCTTGCTTGCCTACTTTGATCAGGGTATCTCTTCTTTACGTATCTTCTGTAGTTGAGTCCATAGTCTTGTGGCTTAAAAATATTTGAAGACTGGCCGGGCGTGGTAGTTCACACCTGTAATCCCAGCAATTTGGGAGACTGAGGCAGGCAGATCACTTGAGGTTAGGAGTTCCTGACCAGCCTGGCTAACATGGTGAAACCCCATCTCTACTAAAAATACAAAGAAAAAAATTAGCCAGGCGTGATGGCGCATGCCTGTAATCCCAGGTACTTGGGAGGCTGAGGCAGGAGAATCACTTGAACCCAGGAGGCGGAGGTTGCAGTGAGCTGAGGTCATGACACTGCACTCCAGCCTGGGCAACAGAGTGAGACTCTGTCTCAAAAAAAAGAAAAAAAGAAAAAGAAATATATATTTGAAAAAATACATAATTTGAGTATATATATATTTGAAAATATATATATATTTGAAGACCAATGAGCTTGATTATCCAGAGAGAGATCTTGGAAGGTTTTTCCCAAGACTAATTTAGGAAGAATAGGAAAGGCAGATTAAATAAGATTAAACTGAAGTTCTGTGTTTACCCTTGCAATCATCATTTAACTTTTTTATTTACCTCAATTAAGATAAACTCTTGCTGGGTATACTGGCCCAGTCTGTAATCTCAGCACCTTGGGAGGCCCAGGCAGGAGGATTGCTTGAGGCTGGCGTTTGAGACCTGCCTGGGCAATAGTGAGACCCTGTCTGCAGAATATTTTTTTTTTTTTTTTTTTTTTTAAAGATAGCCTTCTATCTATATCTTCAGGCCAGTGAAATATGGGCTTTAAAAAAGAATTCCTAGGCCGGGAGCGGTGGCTCATGCTTGTAATCCCAGCACTTTGGGAGGCTGAGGCCGGCAGATCACGAGGTCAGGAGATCAAGAACACGGTGAAACCCCATCTCTACTAAAAATACAAAAAATTAGCCGGGCATGGTGGCGGGCGCCTATAGTCCCACCTACTCAGAGAGGCTGAGGCAGGAGAATGGCGTGAACCCGGGAGGCGGAGCTTGCAGTGAGCCGAGATCGCGCCAGTGCACTCCAGCCTGGGTGACAGAACAAGACTCCATCTCAAAAAAAAAAAAAAAAAAAAAAAAAAAATTCTTAATCTCTTTTCAAGTTGTTTAGCTTTTCTCCTTTTCTTACCAGGTGTATGTGACTGCTGAGAGCCGCTTCAGCACCTTGGCAGAGCTTGTACACCATCACTCCACAGTGGCTGATGGGCTGGTGACAACATTACACTACCCAGCACCCAAGTGTAATAAGCCTACAGTCTATGGTGTGTCCCCCATCCACGACAAATGGGAAATGGAGCGAACAGATATTACCATGAAGCACAAACTTGGGGGCGGTCAGTATGGAGAGGTTTACGTTGGCGTCTGGAAGAAATACAGCCTTACAGTTGCTGTGAAAACATTGAAGGTGGGTTGCTGAGAATTACAGTTTTCAGGCATCTTTTTCTTTTGTGCTCAATCACTTGGAAATATCAGCATGCCCTTCTTTAACTTTGGAACACTTTCCACCCACTAGTGCCAAGCACATCAGCAAATTGAGATGATTAACCCTAGTGCCATTGCTGACAATGCAGAGGTAGATTATTCACTGCAATGCAGTGAAACCCACATGTGGGAAAGGTCTGTCTCTGGAGGCTGTTGATGTAGATCTTAGTGGGAGGTTAGAAGCAAATTAAAAGTTATAAAAGCAAAATAAGCTCTTTTGCTTCCTGAGAACGACCCCTGCTGGACAGAATTCTTGTCTGAGAGTCATGGGCCTCTTTCTTGTTCTGTCCTTTCTCTCCCTTGTTCTTGTTCCTCCTGTCTCTTTGCAGTTAGATCACTTCTTAATATTAACAGAAATCTTTTTCGTAGTACTACTATATGTCTCCTTTAAACATCCCAGTATCAAATTATAAGGTTTTCACTCACTTGATTCTCCCAGAGCCTCAGTAACTGTCTCTGGTGTATCACTTATAAGGGCTATTCTTTAGCTATTAAGTAGTAGTCAGTTCTGTTTCTTAAGCATATTCTGAGTGTGAAGCAATATATAAGGCCTTGCTCTCTAAGAAGATTATGATCTAAGCAAGAAGATAAGTATGTAAGCAGCTAAGTGCTCTGTCTCGTCATTCAAAGCCTGAGATATCTGGAGAAGTAAACTATGAGAGAACTGAACTATCCAATACAGGGCTCCTGTGTTTCAGTTGATTATAGGACACGATTGCTGAATTTTGCTCCTCCTGCTAATTTTTACTCCAGGGCATTTTTCTTTCTAAGTTGGACTTCTTAAAATAATAATTATTTCAGCTGGGCGTGGTGGCTCACACCTGTAATCCCAGCAATTTGGGGAGCTCAGGTGGGCGAATCACCTGAGGTCAGGAGAGCATCCTGGCCAACATTGCAAAACCCCGTCTCTACTAAAAATACAAAAAGTAGCCAGGCATGGTCGTGCATGCCTGTAATCCCAGCTACTTGGGAGGCTGAGCCAGGAGAATCGCTTGAGCCCAGGAAGCGGAGGTTGCAGTGAGATCACACCACTTCACCCCAACCTGGGTAACAGAGCGAGACCGTGTCTCAAAAAAATAAATTAAATTAAAATAATAATTATATCTTGTAATATGCTAAAATATTCAAAAGATAGTTTTTACTTTTAAAGCTGAAGCTTTATGATTGTGAGATGAATGAAATGATTTTAAGTTGAGGGTTTGTCCCTCTCGTTTTCTTCTTTCTTACCTTTCCCTTTTTCTAGGAAGATACCATGGAGGTAGAAGAATTCCTGAAAGAAGCTGCAGTAATGAAGGAAATCAAGCATCCTAATCTGGTACAACTTTTAGGTGAGGAACCTTGCCTGAACCATAGATTTCCTCCAAAAATGCTTGCCCTTTAACCCCTTGTTATCTCCAAATGCTTTTTTTTTTTCTTTTTAAATATAGAGACAGGGTCTCGCTCTGTTGTCCAGGCTGCTGTTGACGTGATACTTCCGCCTGGGCCTTTCAATATGTTGGGATTACAGGCATGAGCCACCATGCCCCGCCTTTTTTCCTCCCCCAAACCTTTCTTTTTAGTCACCATGGTGGAAGCTGCAGGTTTGAATCCACTTCAATAAATAGTTATTTTAATCAGTAGGTTCTGTGTTTAAAAATAGCCCAAGAAACAGTGGCCTGGATTGATTTTGGTGTATAAAACTGCTCAGTTTGTACTAATTGCCCCAGATTCAAAGTTCAGAAGTGTTCAAAATGGTACTGAACCAAAAACTCATGAAATGTTTTTGCAAAATAAAGAGACATTAAACAAAGGACTGTTGAAAAGAAGCAAATTAAAAACTGTGACCACACCCCTCAGTTTACCTTTACAAGCAGGAAATGCTTTATTATGTTAGATTGGCTTTTCACTGTTCAGGTCACAAAGAACTCTCTTACTAAGCCTTTTTCCTTTTTTAAAATAGGGCCAGGTTTTTTTTTTTTTCTTTTTTTTGGGGGGGTGTGGGGGGTGTTTTTTTTTGTTTGTTTTTTAAATACAGAGTCTTGCTCTGTCACCCTGGCTGGAGTGCAGTGGCATGATCCTGGCTCACTGCAACCTCCACCTCCCAGGTTCAAGCTATTCTCGTGCCTCAACGTGCATCACCACGCCCAGCTAATTTTTGTAGTAGAGACAGGGTTTTGCTATGTTGGACAGTCAAGTCTTGAACTGCTGGGCTCAGGCGATCTGCCTGCCTCAGCCTCCCAAAGTGCTAGGATTACAGGCATGAGCCACTGCACCCGGCCTCTTGTTGGTTTTTTATAAGGAATCTGCCATATATCAGTGAAATCCTTGACTATGGAAATGATGAAAATCATTTTGCAAAGCAGTATTGCAGGTGGGGCTCACATAGTCTTCAGCTTGTGCACAATTGCTATTACTTTTGAATAAGTATTGTTAGCCTGCAGTTGAGGAGGAGAATCATGGGCCATGTGCAAAACTCTAGACATGTTGGTTTTCTTGGCCCCTTATAGAATTAATACAGGTAACTCTGCTTTTGCTCAAATAGACAAATACTCAGAGGCATATGAATTCCCAGAGAACAATACAGTGAAAGCAAGGACTCCCTTATAAACCAGCTTCTTAGTTTTTGCTTATTAATTTCAGAGAACGTGGTGGTAAGAAGGGAAAAGATTATTGCCGAACTAGACCTGAAAAATTGTCAAATTATTCTTGGCCAAAGTGGTTTGGAGTGTTTGAATGTACACTAATAAAAACAAGCACTATTGTTCAACTTTTAGGTGTGTGTACTTTGGAGCCACCATTTTACATTGTGACTGAATACATGCCATACGGGAATTTGCTGGATTACCTCCGAGAATGCAACCGAGAAGAGGTGACTGCAGTTGTGCTGCTCTACATGGCCACTCAGATTTCTTCTGCAATGGAGTACTTAGAGAAGAAGAATTTCATCCATAGGTGTGTAAAACTTACCTCTGACCAACCATGAAGCCATCTTGCTTGACATGCAGATAAAAGGAAGAATGTGAGAACCTTCCCAGAAAATTTCAGATGATTCAAGAAAGTAATTTTGTATTTCACAGGGCCCATTATAATGTCACTTCTAACTTGTAAACCTACTGTACTCTGATTAAAGTATTAATAAGGGGCCTTTGCTATTCTCAAACCTGAGAACTCTCTTAAAAAAAAATTGCAATAGTGATGGGGTCTTGCTATGTTGACCAGGCTGGTCTCAAACTACTGGCCTCAAGTGATCTTCCCATCTTAGCCTTCCAAAGTGCTGGGATTATAGGTGTGAGCCACCATGCCTGGCCAGAGAGCTCTCTTTATTTTGCCAGCACTGTATCCAAGATCCTTTTTCACCATCTAGTGGCTTTTTTTTTTTTTCCTTCTTGAGACAGGCTGGCTCCATCGCCCAGGCTGGAATGCAGTGATGCGATCTTAGCTTACTGCACCCTCAGCCTCCTGGGCTCAAGCCATCCTCCCACCTCAGCCTCCTGAGTAGCTGGGATTACGGGAATATGCCACCATGCCCGGCTAAGTGTTTTTTTATGGTTTTTTTTTGTTTGTTTTGTTTTTTGTTTTTTTTTTGTAGACTGGGTTTCGCCATGTTGCCCCGGCTGGTCCTGAACTCTTGAGCTCAGGAGATACACCCACCTTGGCCTCCCAAAGTGCTAGGATTACAGGCGTGAGCCACCACACCTGGCCTAGTGGCTGAATTTTTAAAATAGTTTTCTGCATTAGTAAATAACTTAGTCTTGTAGAAAAGCATCTATTGCTCACCTATCCCAGTGTACTTATAAATAGGGACCCATTTTATAAAGCCTGCTTTATTCCGCATCTTGATGAGTGCTCTACAGTGACATATCATTAGTGGCTTTCTAAGGTGTTAGTGATTATCAGAAGATACTACCATATTTGTCAGCACTTACTTAACTCTGCCTATAACACAAAACCAAGAATAGAGTGTTCATGACCATTTTCCTCACCATCTGAATGGAATCACATTAGGGTTCTCTTTCCCACAGAGATCTTGCAGCTCGTAACTGCCTAGTGGGAGAAAACCATGTGGTAAAAGTGGCTGACTTTGGCTTAAGTAGATTGATGACTGGAGACACTTATACTGCTCATGCTGGAGCCAAATTTCCTATTAAGTGGACAGCACCAGAGAGTCTTGCCTACAATACCTTCTCAATTAAATCTGACGTCTGGGGTAAGGTTGAAAGGGACTTTTTTCTGTGTCATTTTATTTTTTTTTTTATAAATGCCTTGATTCTTTAGAGCTTCTCTTACGATGTTCAGTATCCTCTACCTTTACCTGCCATTCTTCTTCAGTTATTCAGCAAGCATTTGTTAAATACCTCCTATCTGCCAGGACTGTGTTAAGAACTTTGCATAAACAGAAGTATAGGCCTGGTGTGGTGGCTCACGTTTGTAATTACAGCACTTTGGGCCGAGATGGGTGGATCACTTGAGGTCAAGAGTTCGAGACCAGCCTGGCCAACATGGTGAACTCCCATCTCTACTAACTACAAAAATTAGCCAGGCGTGGTGGCATGCGCCAGTAATCCCAGCTATTCAAGAGGCTGAAGGCTGAGGCAGGGGAGTTGCTTGAGCCTGGAGGGCAGAGGTTGCAGTGAGCCAAGATGGCGCCACTGCACTCCAGCCTGGGCAATAGAGCGAGACTCTGTCTAAAAAGAAAAAAAAAAAAAAAAGTATAAAGAAGAAAGTTTAGGGCCAGGCACAGTGGCTCATGCCTGTAATCCCAGCACTTTGGGAGGCCGAGGCAGGTGGACAACCTGAGGTCAGGAGTTTGAGACCAGCCTGACCAACATGGAAAAACCCTGTGTCTACTAAAAATACAAAATTAGCTGGGTGTGGTGATGCATGCCTGTAATCCCAGCTACTTGGGAGGCTGAGGTAGGAGAATCACTTGAACCCGGGAGGTGGAGGTTGCGGTGAGCTGAGATCACACCATTGTACTCCAGCCTGGGCAACAAGAACAAAACTCTGTCTCAAACAAAAAAAAAAAAGAAAGAAGAAAGTTTTAAAAAAGAAGTCCCTGCCTTCAGAGAGCTCACAGTCTAGATCTCTTATTGCATTGGAGTGCTAATGATCCTCCCTCTGTAAAGCATCCTATTTCCACATTAGGTTTTTTGTTTTTATTTTTGAGACAGAGCCTTGCTCTGTTGTCCAGGCTGGAGTGCAGTGGCACAATCTCAGCTCACTGCAACCTCCCATCTCCCGGGTTCAAGCGATTCTCCTGCCTCAGCCTCCAGAGTTGCTGGGACTACAGGCATGCATCACCATGCCCGGCTAATTTTTGTCATAGTAGTAGAGATGAGGTTTTGCCATGTTGGCCAGGCTGGTCTCGAACTCCTGACCTCAAATGATCCACCTGCCTTGGCCTCCCAAAGTGTTGGGATTACAGGCATGAGCCACTGTGCTCAGCCTCACATTAGGTTTTATCACTCATTTGCAGAGTACTGTGACACAGAGCTTTTTTTTTTTTCGAGGGAAGTGTGATGAGGTTTCCTCTAGAATTTGTCCTAATTGATCTGGTTTCTACTGCTCTGAGAGGTAATATGATTTGGTTGAAGCTTAGTAGACTGAACAATCTGGAAATTTGGATTGTGGACCAATAGAAATAGTCATAGGATTCTAAGTCATTTTTTACTGGAAATCTCAAACTCAAATAACTGAGACAAAATCAAACAAATTTTTTTCTGCTCTGAATTTTATCTGATTTTAAATGAATCCATTTTTATTTTACTCCTCTTGTATTAGCTGACTTTAAAACTGTTATGCTTCTTAGATACAGTGGTTCTCCTTTATCCTCAGGAGAATACATTCTAAGACCCCCCCCTTGGATGCCTGAAACCAAGGATAGTGTCAAGCCCTGGATATATAATCTTTTTTTGATCTGATAACCGAGAGGTCTTCTCAGTGACTAAGGGGTGGGTAGCATCTACGGTGTGGATATGTTGAGTAAAAGGATGATTTATGTGCGAGGCGGGAAGGAGAAGCATGGCTTGAGAGTTCATCATGCAACTCAAGGCAGCATGCAATTTAAAACTTTAGAATTGTTTATTTCTGGAATTTTCTATTTAATATTTTTGGACCTTGGTTGACTGTGAGTAGCTGAAACTGTGGGAAGTGAAACCATGGATAAGGGGTGACTACTGTATATCAAAAACTTTTCTAAGAATAGTTGGATTATGCCTCAGACTTCTTAAATGGTCATAGTTTATTTTCCCTCATTACAGTAAAGGAAATCTAAATAAAAATTGGGAAATTTAAATAAAACTGTCTTGAGATTATCTGCAGCATTCCTGTTGCAAATATTTTAGAAGGACAAATCATGCTGTAAGAATTGATAAAAGAGTATATTATATATTAATGTTGTTGTAACAGTGTGTGAATGTTACCTAAAATATGAAAGAGAATCACCTAATTATGTAAAATAAATAATCGGAGAAGAAACACTAAGTGCTTTTTTTAATTCCTTATGCAGCTTTTGGGGTATTGTTGTGGGAAATTGCTACCTATGGAATGTCACCATATCCAGGTATTGACCTGTCTCAGGTCTATGACCTACTAGAAAAAGGATATCGAATGGAACAGCCTGAGGGATGCCCCCCTAAGGTTTATGAACTTATGAGAGCATGTGAGTATTTTTGCATGTTTTAATTTTGAAGGCATAAGCTAGCAGTTCAGAATAGTTAACAAAATTAGAAACATTTCTCCTCTCAGTGTTGTTAGATTGAATCCAGCCTCATGACATTTAAAGAGTTTATCATTGATCAGCCAGTTGTCATATCATATACCATTGAATCTTATTGGAATCCTAAGCATAGTTGTTATGGCCCAAATATTGACCCAGTTTCTCAGAGACATTTGCATATTTAATAAGATAAGAAATTGAGTTTAGAGATTAAGGTGGGGAGGGCCGTTTTCAACTAGATAAAAATGATTGCTAAAGACTATGAAGAATGCATAAAAATAACCTCTGTGTAGATAAACAGAAGCATCCGATTGCTTGCAGATGAAAAAGTAGGAAAGTGAATAGTGGATTAAATTGCAGGGTTTTGTTTGTTTGTTTATTTGTGTTGTTGTTTTTCAAACACTCTTGCTTTGTTGCCCAGGCTGGAGTGCAGTGACGTGATTTCGGCTCAGTGACGTGATTTCGGCTCACTGAAACCTCTACCTCATGGGTTCAAGTGATTCTCATGCCTCAGCCCCTCAGTAGCTGGAACCACAGGCACGCACACCATGCCCAGCTAATTTTTTTTTTTTTGAGACGGACTCTCACTATGTTGCCCATGCTGGAGTGCAGTGGCACAATCTTTGCAACCTCCGTCCCCCAGGTTCAAGCGATTCTCCTGCCTCAGCCTCCCAAGTTGCTGGGATTACAGGCACCTGCCACCACGCCTGGCTAATTTTTGTATTTTTGGTAGAGATGGGGTTTTGGCATGTTGGCCAGGCTGGTCTTGAACTCCTAACCTCAAGTGATGCGCCCGCCTTAGCCTCCCAAAGTGCTGGGATTACAGGCATGAGCCACCACGCCCGGCCTAATTTTTGTATTTTTATTTATTTATTTATTTATTTTTTGAGACGGAGTCTCGCTCTGTCGCCCAGGCTGGAGTGCAGTGGCGCGATCTCGGCTCACTGCAAGCTCCACCTCTCGGGTTGATGCCATTCTCCTGCCTCAGCCTCCTGAGTAGCTGGGACTATAGGCGCCGGCCGCCACCACGCCCGGCTAATTTTTTTTGCATTTTTTAGTAGAGACGGGGTTTCACCGTGTTAGCCAGGATGGTCTCCATCTCCTGACCTCGTGATCCGCCTGCCTCGGCCTCCCAAAGTGCTGGGATTACAGGCTTGAGCCACAGCACCCGGCCTGTACTTTTAGTAGAGACAAGGTTTCACCATGTTGGCCAGGCTGGTCTCGAACTCCTGGTCTCAAGTGATCTGCCCGACTCAGTCTCCCAAAATGCTGGGATTACAGATGTGGGCCACCAGGCCTGGTCCTAATTGCAGTTGTGTTTGAACATAAGTCTGTGTTGTTTCCTCATTGAACATTGACGTTCTCTGTTGCACTTTGTCAAAAATGAACTCTGAGATCCTCCTTTTTGATATCCTTTTATATTTCTGAATGTATACAGTTGATTATATGGTTAGGCTGAGTTTGAAGACAGGTTTTACTTCTTTTATTTTCAAGTGGAAGAAAACTTGCCATTTTCTAAAACATCTCCTTGTTTCTCCTCATCCTTTTATTAGAGGGAATAGGAGCTGAGGCTAAATCGAAGCACCAGCCTTAGAAAGTGGGTTAATGGCCAGGTGCAGTGGCTCACACCTGTAATTCTAGCAGTTTGGGAGGCCGAAGTGAGCAGATTGCTTGAGCTCAGGAGTTCAAAAGCAACCTGAGCAATGTGGCAAAATCCCATCTACATAAAAAATACAGTAGCTTGAGATCGCTGTGTGTGCTCACTTTGGCTGGGTGCAGTGGCTCAAGCCTGTAATCCCAGCGCTTTGGGAGGCTGAGGCGGGTGGATCACCTGAGGTCAGGGGTTCGAGACCAGCATGGCCAACATGGCGAAACCCCTGTCTACTAAAAATACAAAAATTAGCCGGACGTGGTGGCGTGCGCCTGTAGCCCCAGCAAATCGTGAGGCTGAGGCTGGAGAATCACTTGAACCCAGGAGGCAGAGGTTGCAGTGAACCGAGATCGCGCCACTGCACTCCAGCCTGGGTGACAGAGTTAGATTCCGTCTCAAAAAAAAAAAAAAAATTAGCTGGGCGTGGTGTTGCACACCCATAGTCCCAGCTACTTGGGGAGCTGAGGCAGGAGGATTGTTTGAACCCAGGAGGTCAAGGCTGCAGTGAGTTGAGATCATGCCAGCTGCACTCCAGCCTGGGTGACAAAGCAAGACCCTGTCTCAAAGAAAAAGAAAAAAGGAATTTAGAAAGTGGGTTCATTATACCTCTGAGTCTAGAGCTGAGAAGTGGCTATGTTGCTATCATTGTGAACATGCTGTAACTGTACTTTAATAAGTGTGCATCATGATGCATAGAACTCATTATTAGATACACCACTGGATATTGAATTTCTGCAAGGAGTTTTTAATATTTTTTCTTCTGTTACATAGGCTGGAAGTGGAGCCCTGCCGATAGGCCCTCTTTTGCTGAAACACACCAAGCTTTTGAAACCATGTTCCATGACTCCAGCATTTCTGAAGGTGAGAATCTGTTGGATTTACTGTTGGTGACTAATTCTGGGTAGTGGTGGTGGTGGTGATAATGGTAATTACATTTCAAAAATGATCAACTTTTGTGGAGTTTGAGACTCTGTTTCAACTTTTAACTACAAGGACATTGCATCAGAGTATAGTTTATAATAGTGAGAAATTATGAACAACTTATATATCTAGTGGACTGTAAATTATTACAACCATATAGCTGAATATTTAAAATGATATTCATATATATACTTTTTTTTTTTTGAGATGGAGTCTCACTCTATCACCCAGGCTGGAGTGCAGTGGTGCGATGTCAGCTCACTGCAACCTCCACCTCCCAAGTTCAAGCAATTCTTGTGCCTCAGCCTCCTGAGTAGCTGGGATTGCAGGCACCTGCTACCACACCTGGCTAATTTTTGTTATTTTTAGTAGAGATGGGGTTTCGCCATGTTGGCCAGACTGCTCTCGAACTCTTAACCTTAAGTGATCCACCCACTTCAGCCTCCCAAAGTGCTGGGATTACATGTGTGAGCCACAGCGCCCGGCCTTCTTGGATATATTGACATGGAAAGTAGTTAAAGGTTAACTTTAACTTAGTAAACGAGGATATCCATATGTCCAATAACCATGTTTAACATTACTCATCATAGAGAAATACAAAATAAAACCACACTGAGATACCAATCCACAGCCTACCAAAAAGGCTAAAATTAAAATCAGGCTTGGCAGGCACAGCAGCTCACACCTGCAATCCCAGCACTTTGGGAGGCTGAGGTAGGTGGATCAGTTGGGGTCAGCAGTTGGAGACTAGCGTGGCCAACATGGTGAAACCCCGTCTCTACTAAAAATACAAAAACTAGCCAGGCGTGATGGCAGGCGCCTGTAATCCCAGCTACTTGGGAGGCTGAGGCAGGAGAATCACTTGAACCCGGGAGACGGAAGTTGCAGTGAGCTGAGATCGCACCTCTGCACTTTAGCCTGGGCAACAGAGCAAGACTCCCTGTCAAAAAAAAAAAAAAAAAAAAAAGACTGAGCACTGTGGTTCACACCTGTAATCCCAGCACTTTGGGAGGCTGAGGCGGGTGGATCACAAGTTCCGGAGTTCGAGACCAGCCTGGCCAACATGGTGAAACCCCATCTCTACTGAAAATACAAAGAATAGCTGGGTGTGGTGGCGGGCTCCTGTAATCCCAGCTATTTGGGAGGCTGAGACAGGAGAATCGTTTGAACATCGGAGGCAGAGGTTGCAGTGTGCTGAGATCACGCCATTGCACTCCAGCCTGGGCAACAGGGTGAGACTCCATCTGCAAAAAAAAAAAAAAAAAAAAGCCAAAAATAATAACATCAAATTTTAGCAAGCATGCAGAGTAACCACAGCTTTCATGCAAAATAGTATCGCTATTTGGGGACAGGTTGGCAGGGCCTAATAAACCTGAATACACGTATACCCTGTGATCCACCAGTTCTCCTACATTGTGCCAATCAGACGTGCATAACATTGTGAACCAAAAGACACAGAGCAGGATGATGCTAGCAACGTATTCATAGTAACTCCAAACTGGAAACAACCTAAACATCCATCAAGAGGAGAACAGGTGGATTGTGGTATATTCACACGTTGGCATGCTACACAGCAATGAGAACCCCTGCCACATGCAGCAGCGTGGACGAATCTACACACATGATACTGGGCGAAAGAAGCCAGACAAAAGAGTACATACTTTATGATTCCGTGTATGTATTTTAGTACTCTACTTGCCAGTTCTTTCTCAGTTGTGTGCCTTTTCTGAAAAGAACTCCCTTTTTCTGCTATGAAATTGTTCTTTTTATTGGTCCCCTTGTCTTCCTCACAGAGGTAGCTGAGGAGCTTGGGAGAGCCGCCTCCTCGTCATCTGTTGTTCCATACCTGCCCCGGCTACCTATACTTCCTTCCAAGACTCGGACACTGAAGAAACAGGTGGAGAACAAGGAGAACATTGAAGGGGCACAAGATGCCACAGAAAATTCTGCTTCCAGTTTAGCACCAGGTATGGGTCCCTTAGCAGGTAGAATCAAAATAGAAACTGCCTTGTTTAAAGAAGCATGGGGTGTGAGGCTTTTATGTCCACTTTCATGCCCGTCCTCCCTGGGGAAAGCATGGCGTCTCTTTTACCCACCCATGAAGCCCTTGGCTATCCATCCAACATACAACTCTGGCTCCAGTTTCATCTCCGTACCCCTGGGTTCCCAAGTATGTATCATCTTTACAGTTCCATCAAAAACTTCGCTGAACCCGATAGAGGAGAAGAGGTTGCGCAGTGGTTTTTAAAGAAAGGATGAGTGTTGAGGTAATAACCAGCAGGTTATCTCCTCCCCCATTTTTTTTTTCTTTTTTTTTTTTTGAGACGGAGTCTCACTGTGTCGCCCAGGCTGGAGTACAGTGGTGCGATCTCGGCTCACTGCAAGCTCCGCCTTCTGGGTTCACGCCATTCTCCTGCCTCAGCTTTCCGAGTAGCTGGAACTACAGGCGCCCGCCACCATGCCCAGCTAATTTTTTGTAGTTTTAGTAGAGATGGGGTTTCATCGTGTTAGCCAGGATGGTCTTGATCTCCTGACCTCCTGATCCTCCTGCCTCAGCCCCCCAAAGTGCTGGGATTACAGGCGTGAGCCACCGTGCCCGGCCCCCTATCTTCCCCCATTTTTAACTTACATCACATTTGGAACACCAGTCACTGTGAAATGATAATGTATTTATTATTTGCTTCTGAGTCCTGCCAACACCTGACCTTTGATAAATGCTGACAAAACTCATAATGCAGCCTCGGTAACTCAAATGTAATAGATTCACTTCTTGTCTTTTAAGTTACTGATCGGCCATTTCTCATCAGGGTTCATCAGAGGTGCACAGGCCTCTAGTGGATCCCCAGCACTGCCTCGAAAGCAAAGAGACAAGTCACCCAGCAGCCTCTTGGAAGATGCCAAAGAGACATGCTTCACCAGGGATAGGAAGGGGGGCTTCTTCAGCTCCTTCATGAAGAAGAGAAATGCTCCTACACCCCCCAAACGCAGCAGCTCCTTCCGAGAAATGGAGAATCAGCCCCATAAGAAATACGAACTCACGGGTAACTTCTCATCTGTTGCTTCTCTACAGCATGCTGATGGGTTCTCTTTCACTCCTGCCCAGCAAGAGGCGAATCTGGTGCCACCCAAGTGCTATGGGGGGAGCTTTGCACAGAGGAACCTCTGTAATGACGACGGTGGTGGGGGTGGGGGCAGTGGCACTGCTGGGGGTGGGTGGTCTGGCATCACAGGCTTCTTTACACCACGCTTAATCAAAAAGACACTGGGCTTACGAGCAGGTAAACCCACAGCCAGTGATGACACTTCCAAGCCTTTTCCAAGGTCAAACTCTACATCTTCCATGTCCTCAGGGCTTCCAGAGCAGGATAGGATGGCAATGACCCTTCCCAGGAACTGCCAGAGGTCCAAACTCCAGCTGGAAAGGACAGTGTCCACCTCTTCTCAGCCAGAAGAGAATGTGGACAGGGCCAATGACATGCTTCCAAAAAAATCAGAGGAAAGTGCTGCTCCAAGCAGGGAGAGACCAAAAGCCAAGTTATTGCCCAGAGGAGCCACAGCTCTTCCTCTCAGAACACCCTCTGGGGATCTAGCCATTACAGAGAAGGACCCTCCAGGGGTGGGAGTGGCTGGAGTGGCAGCTGCCCCCAAGGGTAAAGAGAAGAATGGTGGGGCACGACTTGGGATGGCTGGAGTTCCAGAGGATGGAGAGCAGCCGGGCTGGCCTTCTCCAGCCAAGGCTGCCCCCGTCCTCCCAACCACTCACAACCACAAAGTGCCAGTCCTTATCTCACCCACTCTGAAACACACTCCAGCTGACGTGCAGCTCATTGGCACAGACTCTCAGGGGAATAAATTCAAGCTCTTATCTGAGCATCAGGTCACATCCTCTGGAGACAAGGACCGACCCCGACGGGTAAAACCAAAGTGTGCCCCACCCCCACCACCAGTGATGAGACTACTGCAGCATCCGTCCATCTGCTCAGACCCTACAGAAGAGCCAACTGCCCTAACTGCAGGACAGTCCACATCAGAAACACAGGAAGGAGGAAAGAAGGCAGCTCTGGGCGCAGTGCCCATCAGTGGGAAAGCTGGGAGGCCAGTGATGCCTCCACCTCAAGTGCCTCTGCCCACATCTTCCATCTCGCCAGCCAAAATGGCCAATGGCACAGCAGGTACTAAAGTGGCTCTGAGAAAAACCAAACAGGCCGCTGAGAAAATCTCAGCAGACAAAATCAGCAAAGAGGCCCTGCTGGAATGTGCTGACCTACTGTCCAGTGCACTCACGGAACCTGTGCCCAACAGCCAGCTGGTAGACACTGGACACCAGCTGCTTGACTACTGCTCAGGCTATGTGGACTGCATCCCTCAAACTCGCAACAAATTTGCCTTCCGAGAGGCTGTGAGCAAACTGGAACTCAGCCTGCAGGAGCTACAGGTTTCTTCAGCAGCTGCTGGTGTGCCCGGGACAAACCCTGTCCTTAATAACTTATTGTCATGTGTACAGGAAATCAGTGATGTGGTGCAGAGGTAGCCACTGTTAGCCTGGTGGGAAAATGCACACATTTCTGAGGGGAGAGGGAAAAGGACTTGTTTTCCTGTGTTCTTGTTTTCAGAAAATGAAAGACTCATACTTGAGTGTGTTTATGTGAAGTACCTCAGATCCCTGAGTTCTCACGTTTACAGTTTCATCTCAAAAATAAGAAGCAAACCACATAAGTATAGGAGAGGTAAATTAAGTGGGGGCAAGGCAGTAGTGGACAGGGTTGGAAACTGCACTGGAAAATAGGGAACATGTGTATGTCATAAGGAAGGCAATGCAGCCCATCCCTACCTGGAATGCTGGGAAGTGCTAGGCAGGGCTGCTCTCAGCAAGACTGCAGCAGCTGCACCCAGACCTGGGGCTCTGGTAGGTACTAATGGTGATTATGCTCCAATTTACCTAATGAATTTGGTGGGACAGCAGAAAAGAAAGCTGGGAATGTACCAAGAGAAATTTTTGTTCAGGGCTGTTGGAAGTAGCTGTTAGCCTTGCTTCCACAAGGCCATTGCTGCTGTAATAAGAACTGCAAATCAGAGTGCTACAACATAAAACTGGGAAATATGGCCCTATCTGAATGCCTCTGTCCTATTTTCCGCTGGTGTATCAGTTAGTGCAGGAAGTAAAGAATGCTGGAAAGTTGAATCAGAAATTGAAAACCTTCTAAAATCTTACACAGATTAGCAGAAGTCACTTCTCCCAGTCTGGTATATTATTTCATAATGGACCAGGATCGGCTTCCTGCCTGTTGGTGGCTATCTGTAAACCATAAGTACAGGGGTCTCCCTAGTGGTTCTTCTCTGTCTTTTGCTGGGCAGGCTGTCTTCCTTTATTCCTGGTAGCATTCAGAGCATTAACCAGTGTTGATTTTGAAAATAGTAGTCCCTACAGGTTCTCACAAAGGAATGAATCCTGTTCTGATACAGTTCCCCTGCATACTGACATACTGGCCAAGGACTTGAGCAGCTGTGTATTTTTCTTTATCAACTAAAATACCAGGGAGATGGTCTTTTCTTGAAACCCAGTGGCCTGTATGTGACTGAGAGGAAAAGCTGGCTTGGTCCTAATGGCTGTTTCTCTGTACCTTTCCCTTCCCTTACCACCTTAAGCCCAATCCAGGTAGAGAATAGGGAGAGGCATTCTCCTCTCTATGGATTTGAAGTGAATCACCCCCACATTATTCTCACATGCTTTTCTTCTCTCACATATTCCTCCCTACTCCCCCACCCAATCATTGTGCTTATTTGTACAGATCTTATTGGGAATATTCTTTATTTATTTTGTCATTTCACTTCTATTTTAAGAATGCATAATTGAAGGAGTAGTCATTTTCAGGGAGCACCAGGTAGACCCTGGGAACCTAATGACTTAATCCTTAAATATGTTTTGCCCTTGAAAAATAGGCCTTTTCCTTCCTTCCTTAGTTATAATTGTGGAAGCTAATTAGGATGGCATGGAAGTGAATCTAATGAGTTAGGTATTATTAATGTTCTTGGTATCGGGTCTAATTCCAGTTACTGCTTCATTCTCTTTTTAAAGCTTTATGAATACTTCCCCCATCCTCCCCAAGGAGAGCTCAATACACACATATTTTTATTTTATTCTCTCAAAGGAATATTAGCTTAGGAAGATAGGAATTCAACATTGAGCACTGAGTTTTCTTCTGGCTCTGTCATTGATACACTGTCAAACCACAGCCTCATCTCTTAATCTATTTAATTAAGGTAACAGTACATGTTCTCAAGGGTGTTGCAAGTAAGTGTGCAGCTATCCCTTGGAGAGCCTCTCTGGAAAGCTCTTTTAGTGCAGTGTTGTTATGCTGAATTGTTTTCCATTATCTTATTTGCTGAGTAGAAAATATTAATGAAATTAAGAATTGTTGAGATTATATGAATTGGGCTAGAATACTAAGGGGAAAACTATGTTTTGAATAGAGTTTGGCATTTTTGACCAAGAACAAAATTGAGTTTTCATTGGAAAGAAAGGAAACCTTGATTCTTACCATTGCTGCTCCAAAGGAGGCCCAGGTTAAGAGGATTAGAGGAGACACGCGGTGCTGGGCATTCCTGGCAGGTGTTGGGTGATCCCCGCAGTATGTCACCTGCAGTTGCAGCACAGGCAGCTAGTGATTGGGTTCATCTCCTCCTAGTGGTTGGAAGAGAACTCAGATGTAAAAACCAGCGGTCCTTCTCCCACCTTCTTTCCTGCCATTCTTGCTCATCATACATGTCCGTAAACTTGAAGAACTCGTTTTAGCAGCTAGCCTTTTAAGGTCGAGGATGGGAAAGCTAAAACTGTAGAATATTATTATGCTGCTTTTTAGGTTTATCCCTGTTGTTGTGGGATGCAAGTTAAGGGATTGTAATTGTTTTTCAGGGTTTTTTTGTTTTTTGTTTTTTAAGCAAGGGCTCTATTTTCCCTTGAGAGTTCTGGAACTAAGCCTTGGAGAAACACTACTGAGTGTATTTAGGCTCCCTGGTTTTCTTGCCCAACAACAATCTGAAGGGTAGGGGGTGGGGGCTGTGTCTTACTCAGGGGCAGCACCTAGCTGTCTTGCCTACAGTGGGTGCACGATATATAAATGGAATTGATTTTTGTCAACACTGTCAAGAGTGGCATTGACTATTGGAGCATACCCCGTCCACATGATGCTTGAACTATGTAACTTCAGGGGTTGAGGGCTCAAGGTTCAGGTTAAAGAGGCACTGTCAACTTACTATACAAGCATAATTTAGGTTTTTCCTTTTTCTACTTGAAAAGGACCAGCTTAAACACAAACCCTTATGTAAATTAAAAGGTTTGAATCCAAAGCAGAGAGAACTGCTTCTGGAAAAGTGTAGTTTAATTTTAACTATTCTAAAAGCAATGAGCAAAGGCCCTTGTCCAAGGCGTTGACAGTTTTCTAAAGTGGTTATGCTGTATATCTGGATGCATGCCTTTGGGCTGCCACTGCTTGATTCCTTTCATGTACAGATAATATTACTTCAGTTTAGATTTCCCACTTTAAAATGCAGTGATTTGTGTTGAATACATCTTGATTGTGCTTTACCTAAAGTATTTTCTTAAAAGGCTTTGTGTAAAATTTAAATGTATATATTTTCCTGTAGACTTCCATCATGATTTTCAGAGATTAGCCTTAAAAAATTTGGCCCTAAGAAATTCATTCAGTGTTTTTCTAGATGACCTCTGTACATAGAGGTCATTATAGTGGAGACCCTTTACCAGCAGCATTTTAAGATTTAAATTAGATAGAAAGTTTCTTAGGATTCAACTGAAAATTGGCTAGTAAAATATGTCCCAGGTAATAAAGCATGCTGACTTTGCTAAGGCACTGCCCATTTTTATTTAACTAAAGTCATGGAGATTTTGAGTTTAAAGGATGCAGTATAGATAGTGGTTTAGTGTTTAGGCTCTAATGCCAGTCTAAAAGGCAAGTCATTTAACCTTGGGAGCCTCAGTTTCCTCACTGTAAAACAGGGATAATAATAGTAACTACCTCAGGGTTGTTGTAAGGATTAAATGAGATGATATTTGTAAGATACTTAGCTCAAGTGCCTGGCACACAATGAGCACACTCTATAAATGTTCTACTACTACTATTATTAACACCTAGTCTAGGGATGCACAGCAGAATCCCCTAGGGTTAAAAAACAAAACAAAACAAACAAAAAAAACTGACGGAATAGCCCCACTCCAGATCAGAATTCCCAGTGGGCTGGGGTCTCGGCCAGTGTATTCTCCAGTAATCTCGCCAGGTGTTTGAAACACCCAGTGCTATCTGAAAACTATCAGTACCCCAACCCTTTGGTTTATAGATTAAGAAACTAGCAGAAGATGGTTAAATTACTTGCCTATTGTCTCAGAACGGTTAATTAGTGGCGGAGCCAAGGCTAGAATTCAAGTCTCTTGACTTTATGGTTGTGGGGTCTTTCCACCATACCTGCTGCCATGTGAGACACTGCAAAAAAGTGGCTCAGACCGACAATCAGCCTGTGTGGTGCTGCACACTTTCTAAAGCACATGCTCCTGACACTTTGACCTTAAGGGGCTTGAATGTGGAGTAATGGGAACACAAGCCAAGCAAGCACTCAGTAGAATTCAGTCATTTAAAAAATTCAATGGGGTCATTCTTTTGGACAGACCTCAGCAACACAGCAATGTGCACTTTGTAGTAAAGAAATACCAACTTGAGTTTTTAAAAAACCTAGTTAGTCCTACATTCCCTTTTCTTTAAAAAAACTTTATTGTTCACATTATTTTAATGACTATGAGATAATGTATATGACAGCACTTTGAGAAAATATCAACTGTAATATAACTATAAGGTTGTAGTATTGTCTGTTTAAAAGATAAGACAGTTGATTCAATGTGGATGGACCCTGTGGGGTACCTGAAAATGTAGATACGTAAGAATCACCTCTGTCATTTATCACATTTAGAAATATGAAACTGCTTAACAGGTATGAGCAGGTATAGCAAGTGTTTGCTAAAGTTGTAGTTCAGAGCTGAATTACTTCAGGAAACTAGGGACCAACTTTTTGGTTTAATTCCGATCTTTAAAAAGTAAGAATGTGTACTCACTCCAGAACACAGAAGCTCTTCCAAGGACCTTGACTCAAGAAGGATGAGGTCCTCTTACTCTTCTCCATTTATCCACTATATGCTTGGCCATTTATCCTAAATGTGGTGGGAACAGACTTGTTATCTGTTGATGTTGACAGTGTCTTTTTTAACCTATGTCCTGCATAGTTTTGTTAGGTTTACAGGGGGAGGTGGATGGCCATAAAACCAGTGCACTTTGGGAATTACTTTTCTAGGATTTCCTACCAGTTATAAATGACATTGACATTTGTCATCTTTTTTTTCTTTTTCTAAAAAGAATAGCTGAATTTAATTCACCTATTATAAAATACTCAAAAGTAAATTGCCTTGGTGGCCACTTCTGAATTATAGCTACATTTCATTATGACCCCTTCTGCTCCCTTCCATTTTGCTACTGATGTCATTCTTGTTATCAGGCTGTGCCCCTACCAGGAGTTCATATTGGGTTGACAGGGTTATCTATATTTTTGTTCTTGATTTTTGAGTTTCATCATCTTGCATTAAATTGTTCCACCTGGATTTGGGGTTCATCTCTGTGCCCTAAGGATCTGCTATGACCAATCCTCTTTTTGTAGGTGGGTCTCTGGCTTAAGTATTGATAGGCTTCAGCGGTTTGTGTCTCTGTCTTAGCTTGTATCAAGCCAGTAGTAGCTCACTTCCTTTGTAAATTCCTGCTTCAGTCTGGGATCCGTAGGAGTATGTGAGAACTTCTGAAACGTCTCCAACTCTTAACAGTCAAGATATCTATATCATTTGGATAGAGTTCTGGTTTTCCAACTACTAGACTTAAAGAAATTCTGGCCGGGTGCGGTGGCTCACGCCTGTAATCCCAGCACTTTGGGGGGCTGAGGCGGGTGGATCACGAGGTCAGGAGATTGAGACCATCCTGGCTAACACGGTGAAACCCCACCTCTACTAAAAATACAAAAACTTAGCTGGGCGTGGTGGCGGGCGCCTGTAGTCCCAGCTACTGGGGAGGCTGAGGCAGGAGAATGGCGTGAACCCAGGAGGCGGAGCTTGCAGTGAGCCCAGATCGCGCCACTGCACTCCAGCCTGGGTGACAGTGAGACTCCGTCTCAAAAAAAAAAAAAAAAAAAAAAAAAAAAAAAAAAAGAAATTCTAATGCAAAGCTTGCTTTTTTTTTCTTTTTTCCAGCAAGCCAGTAGTAATAGTTATTGTTACTTGCTCTGTTCAGCACAACTGTAGTTCACTTGAACTTCACTGTCATTCCCTACGCTCCTCTCTTACTGAGAAGCATGGGTGGGATTCAGGGCTGTGGGACAAGCTACAGCCTACTCTGGAGCACTCACCCCCATGACTCAGTCCAGCCTGTCTCTTGGGAAGTTTATTGCAATGTGCAGACGGATGAATTTCTGCTTTTCATGCCACCTCTCTGAGGTATGTATTCTATCTTGAGTATGTACAAGATGATACCTTTTGGCTGGGCACAGTGGCTCGTGCCTGTAATCCCAGCACTTTGGGAGACCAAGATGGGCGGATCACTTGAGGTCAGGAGTTTGAGACCAGCCTGGCCAACATGGTGAAACCCCGTCTCTACTAAAAATATAAAAATTAGCCGGGCGTAGTACATGCCTGTAATCCCAGCTACTCCCGAGGCTGAGGCAGAATTGCTTGAACCCAGGAGGCGGAGGTTGCAGTGAGCTGAGATCGCGCCGCTGCACTCCAGCCTAAGTGACAGAGTGAGACACGTTAAGAAGAAAAAAAAAAAAAAGGATACCTTCATTTCTGACTCAATATCCTAGATCCAAAGGACAGGAAATTAGGGAAGGCTTCACCCTGTGGGATCAAGATAAGAAGATCCCATACTTCTTCCCAGGTAAGGAGGCCTGTGGCAGGTCATGATTCAAAGCTGACTTGGAATGGCAGAAACTGCTGAGAGGCCACCCTTGGAGATTTGTGCCTTCAAAGATGGGTTTCATGAGTCTCAGAGAGGAAAAGACTTGTCAGCTGGGTTGATTTTGCATGATTATTGAACTAGAGCTGGTAGACACGAGCTTCTCAGATGGCAGTGGCCAGATCCTCCATCTGTGAGAATCCGCCACTTGAAGTGGTTTCCTGAGAGTGTTCACTTGGCAGTTGCTGCGTTTCTCAAGCCCACCTGGCGAGGTCTCGCCGGACCCTTCCCTCCAAGTGCACTTACTTCTTCATCCCCATGTACATCTCTAACTTTGAAATTGTTTACCTCTCCTACAAAAATCTTACCTTTTGACCTGAGCAGAGTAGCAAAGCCCTGTTCACTCTGAGGGAGCAGCTGGCGTGTTGAAGGGGAAAGGCCAGGCACAGCACTGTCCTCAGACCACACCATATTTGGAGCAGAATTGTGATACATGTCATCTGTGTCTATTCTGGAAGGTTCTTTGTTCATCACTGTACTCGCATCAGCAAATTTTCAGGGTCCTACCTGTCACTCCAGGCTACTGAGCTGAACCCTCAGAAGCTGAGGTCTCCGAGCATGCTAAGTAACCTTTTAGAAAAGCTGGAGGCAAACTGTCGAATGCTAGCAGGCTTTATGAAAGGAAACATAAGGAGTTTGTGTAGTCAGAACTTGCTTAAATTTGCTTCGGAATTAGGCACCATAAACTTTAGTTGGAGAATGGGACTTAAATTTTCACATATATGTATACTTAATTTTCAGCAATTATGACACAATAAAAAGAATATGCAAATTTATTGTTGTTTCAGAAGGTTTTGCAGGACTGGGAACGCTTTAGTGTCATCAACAGTAAACCTCAGATACTGTTCTGCACAGTTCAGAAGTACCATACCAGGTATTGTGAGTGGCAAGAACGCCAGGGGACAGAGATGCTTCTGGTAGATGAGGGCCAGAGAAACCAGCTCTCCTCCATTTTGACAGCAATTTCTCACTGTGGCCATTTGGCCTCCATTATGTTTTGAGAGGAATTTCTTGAGATCTTGAGAAATCACCATGATTAGGCCAATTGTCAATCAGTATTCAGAAACTAGAAAGGAACAATGAGATACTTGTTTATGGTTCTTTAGGGCATATGTTTGAAAACCCTCTCATCTCAGATCTGTATAGCTGGTGTGTGTTTGTGTCCATAAATACACGTGCATTGCTGTCGTGCCCATTAAGAAAGGGGGAGTAAGTAAAAGAGGAATCGCTCAGATCTTTCCTTGGATGAACAGCAGTGGCGTGGTTGGTGTGTTGACTGTGAACAGGCTGACTTAGCTGTTGATGTATACTCAGAACCTCCATCTCCTCCCAGACCCTGCACTTTTCCTTCTCTGCAGTCTGATTCTCTAATGACTGTCACTGGACAAACCCCAGTTTTATGCTCGCTTAGTAAAAATAAGTTTAAACATTTCATGGTGGTTGACAGAACTTTGTCCCCAAACATGCGGATTCAATTCTTTAAAACTCGTTGAACGTTTATACCAAAGGTCCCGCCCCGCAGGTGTGTATGTGGTGCACAGAGGGTGAGGTTTGGAGCATCGGGCACTGTGTGCATTGCTAAGGGGACATAGTGAGACAATGTGGGATTTAACTAAAAACACATCAATTGTGTGTCACATTACCAGTGTTGTCAGGTATTTGTTCTTAATTGTTATTGTAATATATTTTCAGTTGTTTTTCTAATTTAATTCTCTCCGTCTGTTGTCTGACTGTGAACTGCTAACAGTGTTAAACTTGATGTAAATAAATGAGGCCCTTGAAAGGGACTGCTTTCTCTGTCTTCTCACAAGGTTTGCCAAGTTGTGTTCTGTTTTAAATAAAGGTTGCAATATTTTATTGGCAAAGTAGGCTGGAGATTGGAGTGTTTCTCCCATGATTTTAGTTGACAGGGAGTCTAAGCAGCATTTCTTTCTCTCTCTGTAATGCAGATGTCTATAAGGTAAAGAAGCTGATTTTAGCAAGCATCCCTCTGGCACATTCTTTTTTTTTTTGAGACTGAGTCTCGCTCTGTCGCCCAGGCTGGAGTGCAGTGGTGTGATCTCGGCTCACTGCAAGCTCCGCCCCCTGGGTTCACACCATTCTCCTGCCTCAGCCTCCCGAGTAGCTGGGACTACAGGCGCCCGCCACCACGCCCGGCTTAGTTTTTGTATTTTTAGTAGAGACGGGGTTTCACCATGTTAGCCAGGATGGTCTCGATCTCCTGACCTCATGATCCACCCACCTCTGCCTCCCAAAGTGCTGGGATTACAGGTGTGAGCCACCGCACCCAGCCTGGCACATTCTTTAGAATGTCCTCTGCGGGGGTGAATACTCATCCTTTGATGGATTACATTTTTGGAAGTGAACAAAAGGCATCATCTGGAGTCCAGGCTGCTGTGCATAAGGTGGGTAATGTGTTTGTTTGTGTGTCTTCAACATGAAGCGACTGTCAAGTGAAATTTAATTCTCTCAAAATCCATTCTGAGGACAACTCCAAGTAAGTTCTAAGTGTTTTGAGTCAATGTAGCATTTATAGAGTAGGTGTAGAACCTCACAGGATAACATTCTATTCTTGTTTGACGTGGTCTTCAAGTTTTTATGAATGAGTTATTGCTTTTAGAAGTAACCTTAACAGGTATGGGTAGAATATACACAAGTTGTGCGTACGTGAGGCCCAATTGAAAAGGCTGGTAAGCAGCAGTTTATACACCTCCTCACACTCCACCTTCAGTCCTTTTCTCCCACTCATTTTTGGTTGTCTAGAAAGTCTTTTTAGAATCTTCCAAGAATCTCTCAATGTGATTTGACTTACGATATTTTTTTTTTTTTTTGAGACGGAGTTTCCCTCTGTTGCCCAGGATGGAGTGCAGTGGCACGATCTCGGCTCACTGCAACCTCCACCTCCCGGGTTCAAGCCGTTCTTCTGCCTCAGCCTCCCAAGGAGCTACGACTACAGGTGCGTGCTACCATGCCCAGCTAATTTTTGTATTTTTAGTAGAGATGGGCTTTCACCATGTTGGCTAGGCTGATCCGGAACTCCTGACCTCAAGTGATCCACCCGCCTTGGCCTTCCAAAGTGCTGGGATGAGTTTGCCCACTGCCTAGACAGAGCCAGTTTATCAGGACAGAAGAACTGCGATGGCGAAAGAATAATTCACACAGAGCTGGCTGTGCGGGAGACCGGAGTTTTATTATTACTCAAATCAGTCTCAGAAAACTTGGGGATCAGAGTTTTTAAGGATAATTTGGTGAGTAAAAGCATGGGGAATCGAAGCTGTTCTCTTCTGCTGAGTCAGTTCCTAGGTGGGGGCCACAGAACTGGTTGGCAGGTCCAGGTGGGGCCATCTGGTTGTTAGAAATGAAAAACCTGAAAAGACATCAAAAAGGCCAATCTTAGGCTCACAATAGTGACGTTAACCTTCAGGAGTAATTGGGGAAGTTGCAAATCTTAGGACCTCTAGAATAATGGCTGGTAAGAATTCCAGTTTCTCTCATCTTGACTTGGTGGCCTTTCATTTGTTTTACAAGAACTGTTTAGCCTTTTGGGAAGGGCTATTTTTTGACAAACTATACACAAAAATCCTTCCCAAAGCTAGTTTGGCCTATGCCCAGGAATGAACAAGGACAGTTTAGAGGTTAGCAACAAGATGGGGTCAGTTAGGTCTGATATGTCACTCATAATTTTCTCAGTTTATGAATTTTGCAAAAGCGGTTTCATAGGCACTTTATAAAGATGAACTCATGTCATCCAGCAACCCTGTGAGGTAGGTAGTTATGCTGGAGTGGACACTGAGGCTAAACTGCTTTCCCATGGCCTCACAGTGCTAAGTGATGAAACCATGGCTCCAGCCCTGGTAGTCTGGCTCCAGAGCATGTGTTTGGAACCACTATATTCTGCTGCTTGTCTTGGTTCCCAAGGTGGGAGGTTCAGATCCTCTATTTATGACACCAAACACAGCTGGCCAGTGCTGGAACGAATGCCACGTGTTCTGTCTCTGAGACTTACCCTTCAACGAGTGTATTCAGTGTGTTTAGAGCCTGGTGTGCAGTAGCATCGGGTGGCCTACATCTTCTGGGATGCTTGAGACGGAAGACCTGTGAGTAGGAAGCTAACACTGGCTCCATCTGATTGTACCATTAGGCCGAGTTCTCTTTTATCCCTTGAGTGGTATGAAACTAAAACCCTTTTATTTCATTGATTTGAATATTTGAGTACCTAATGTGGCTCAGGGTAGGTACTTTCTAACCTTGAGGCAGTTGAGTAAATGAGCACAATAAACTGTTGAATGTGGGAGAGACAGAAGTGTTTCATTTTACAAGAACTAAAGGAGAGAGGGTTGAGGAAGGCTTTTATTTTTTTTACTTTACTTTGAGATGGAGTTTCGCTCGTCACCCAGGCTGAAGTGCAATGGTGCGATCTCGGACCATTGCACCCACCACCTCCTGGGTTCAAGTGATTCTCCTGCCTCAGCCTCCCGAGTAGCTGCGACTATAGGTGCATGCCACCTCACCTGGTTAATTTTTGTTTAATAGAGACGGGGTTTCACCACGTTAGCCAGGCTGGTCTTGAACTCCTGATGTCAGGTAATGTGAGGAAGGCTTAAATTAAGAAAGGACGTGAGATGATGACAAATAGAAAAGACAGAAAAGGCTAGGCATAGTGGCTCACGCCTATAATCCCAACACTTTGGGAGGCTGAGGCAGGAAGATAGCTTGAGCCCAGGAGTTCCAGACCAGCCTGGGCAACATAGTGACACCCTGACTCTATATGTGTGTATAATTAATATATAAAAAACATAGGGAAAAAAGACCTGTGTTATTCCAGAGGCATGGGAGAAGAACCAAGAAAAGGGGAAAGGCACATAATGAACACTGTGTCTAGGCACAGTGCTACATGTCTACACGGTGCCATTTAATCCTCAGAATGACTGCTTTTCTTTTTATAGCTGAGAGTACAGGAGTGAACATTTTCATATATAAGAGCAATGTGCTATGGGAGTCTCTTCAGTAGGAGGTTGGCATGACTTGGCTTCACTGATGTGGTCCCAAAGCAAACAGACTAGACAGGCAGACCAGTCACATACCCTGCCAGCTCCGTGTGTGCCAGCATCTGCCCTGTCTCTGCCAGGCCTTATCAGGATTACCCAGTGTTTGTTTGAAATTTTGCTAGGTCTCAGAAACAGAAAGTACGCCAAGGATTTTAGGAAAATCAAAAATTTTAATCTTATCATCTTTACATACAACAAACATGTCAAGACCCCCTATTGTCTTTGAAAAGGTCCCCCCTCCCCCGCCAAAATCTGTAGACCATAAGTCTTGGCCTACACTGACCTGGTTTGTAAAATATCTTCCTCTGTGTACTTTTCCCTTCAGCCTCAGGCTCTTGGCTGATTCGCTCACAACAGAAGCAGCTTGGCTTTCCTCTGGAAGTACCAATTTGAAAGCCCACCAGCCTGCAAACCTAGAGTGTATTCTCCACCCCTGGGTCACAGAACTTCGTTCTCCCCGGCTCTGTAACCCAAGGACCCTACAGCCTCTGAGGCCTAACACCCAAGCTCTTCCTTGCAGAAGAGCTGAGATGCTAAGGAGACCATCTGGAGTGTCATAATAAGCCCTTGGGATTTGCTGAGCTCCCACATGGCTTTCTTCAACCACCTGGCCCACTTTCTTCAACCACATTCCACTTTGGAATGCGTGTCTTTAAGGCACCAAGTGATCTTAAGAATGGGCTCTGTTTTTGAATTCAGCAATCCAAGTTCCTATCTATCTCGGTGGGACCTCCAAAAAAAAGAAAAAGGATTGGCTTGGCTTCTAATGTAAGGCCTGCCTTTTACACACCAGTTGTGTGTTTGTTAGTGGCTGCTGGATGCCAGTCCACACCCTCAAACACCTCACAGTCCCAAACGGGGTGCTCCTACAGGTCCCAGGGTCCTGTTAGTGGAAGAAAGGCAGTTCCAGGAAGTCTTCCTCTAGCCTTCATGACAGGAAGTAGTTAATCCTCTGGGAAATAGACTTGCAGCCCTGGGAAGAAAAGAGTTGTTCCTCCTTGGGGACATACACCATCATCTGGGCTATTTCATCCAGTGTCTCTTCTTTATACAGGAGCTCCTGGCTCAGGAAGGCATCCCGTGCACACAGCCTCACGTGACGGTACTCCAAAGGCAGGAAGGGGATGAAGTAGTCAATCAGGTTTTCCTTCACAAGACGGCTGTGGCCAAAGCCATTGTCTGAAAGCAAGACCAAAGTTACATGGAGTCTGACCTAGGACTGAACCTAGCTGGAATTTAGCGGGGGTGGGGGTTGCTGTTGGTTTCTTTGAAACAGGGGCTTGCTCTGTCAACCAGGCTGGAGTGCAGTGGTGAGATCTGGGCTCCTTGCAGCCTCCACCTCCTAGGTTCAAGGGATCCTCCCATCTCAGCCTGTGAGTAACTGGGACCACAGGCGTACAGCACCACACCTGGCTAATTTTTGTTTTTTTTCTAGAGACGGGGTTTCACTATGTTGGCCAGACTGGTCTAGATCTCCTGGACTCAAGTGATCCGCCCGCCTCAGCCTCCCAAAGTGTTGGGATTACAGGTGTGAGCCACCACACCTGGCCCCGACTGAAGGGGCTGGGTGAGGTTGGATCTCATCTCTCAACTCCAGGAGTGCTGTCTGCAGCGTATGTCAAGAACTCTACAGCTGTGTCTCCTTTAGGTAAAGTCTTGCAGTGAGACTCAGAGTCTCAGGCTTCAGAGACCACTGCGCCTGTTCTTGGGGCCAGTGCAAACTACTATTTCCAAGCATTCCCAGAAAAGGAGCTCAGGCTTTCTTACCACTTTTCTTGTGCCCACCCAGGGTTGACAATGTGAGATGATTATAGTCTGCCCTCTGTGTTCCCAAGTACCCTGTCTGCTTCATAAACACACATTCCAACAAACACATTAATTATCACCAGCTGTGGCTCTCACCAGAGGCATATTGAGTCAGTTACTCACCTATGGTCTCCACAATCTCCGCCTGGAGGTGGGGCTCCAGGTGTTCCATCGTAATTTCTTCCCGGGACCATCCAGCCTTGAGCAACTTTAGGACCACCTCATTGATTATATCGCCCCTGAGATTACTGAAAGAGACAAGAGCTTGTTAACCCATTTGTTTATATTTAGCTTCCATATATGTTATCTCACCGCTGAAACCAATGCATTAGTGCCTGGAAGAATAGAGGCTGAGGGGCGTGGACCTTCTCTCTCTTCCAGGAGACCTTGTCACAACCTCACAACCCAAAGGTCTGCACAGAAAAGACACTGTCCAGTTTTGCCACCCATTCTCTCTTGTTCCCTCTTGACACACACTTACTGAGACTGTGCTAAGTGCAGGGAGCATGAAAAGATGGTAAGATATGGTTCTTCTGTGTGGTCTGAGGGGCATCCGTGTATTCGGTTCCAGGACAGTGTGGCAAGCGCTAATGGAGGAGTGACTGAGTTCTAAGGAGAAGGCTTCAGAGGGAGGATGAGGCTTCTGAGCAAATAAAGACCAAGTAGTGATCATCAGACACTTGGCAAGGAAGGGAAGTGTCTAGGCCTGGGTGCGCCAGAGGAGCACAGGCATGAAAGGCTGGCTAAGGTGAGGAGGGCTTTGTCTGCCATTTGCATGGACTTGAGCTTATGGATCATGGAGAAGGGATGGAAAGGAGGATTTAAGAATTAGTTATGGAGGCACAATTGAAAAACCCTGTAACTGATGGATGTGAGAAGTGAAAGGAGGTCATCAAAGAACAAGCGTTAGCCTCAAGCTGCTTGCTGTCCCCCTTAACAGAGGTGGAACACGGAAAGGTGGAGATGAAAGTTTGGTTTTACACACGTTTGAGTGTTTTTTGCTTGCCTGTGATCTCTCTCAGGTTGTGATATCACTGGGCAACTGGAATTACGGGTCTGAAGCACAGAAAGTGATTTGGGTTAGAGATAGGAGGGAGAAAGGGGATAAGGAGAGAAGATGCAACCGTAGAGCCACCAGCAGGGAAGCTGGGACAGAGGTAGTGGAGACTTGGCCTTCCTCCGCCCTCCACGGCCCAGGCATACTTCTCCCCCACCTCACTGCACTCTCCTCCCCTCCCTGGGCTGCAGCCTCAGCCAGCTCCACCAGCTCCTTAAACCAAGTCCTTGCCCAGCTCCACATCAATGCACTTGCACTTCCCCGTGCTTTCTCTCTTTTTGGAGACAGTCTCATTCTGTCACCCAGATTGGAGTACAGTGGCGTGATTTTGGCTCACTGCAGCCTCCACCTCCCCAGGCTCAGCTGATCCTCTCACCTCAGCCTCCTAAGTAGCTGAGACTGCAGGTACATGCCACCCTACCCAGCTATTTTTTTTTTTCTTGAGACAGAGTTTCACTCTTGTTGCCCAGGCTGGAGTGCAGTGGCGTGATCTCAGCTCACAGCAGCCTCTGCCTCCCGGATTCAAGAGATTCTCCTGCCTCAGCCTCCCAAGTAGCTGGGATTACAGGCACATGCCACAATGCCCAGCTAATTTTTTTAGTAGAGACAGGGTTTCACCATGTTGGCCAGGCTGGTCTCAAACTCCTGACCTCAGCTGATCTGCCCGCCTCCCAAAGTGCTAGGATGACAGGTGTGCCCGGCCCTATTTTTAAAATTTTTTTGTAGAGACGAGGTCTCACTATGTTCCCTAGGCTGGTCTCAAACTCCTAGGCTCAAGTGATTCTCCCACCTCAGTCTCCCAAAGTGTTGGGATGACAGGCATGAGCCACTAGGCCTAGCCTCCCTTGCATTTTCCTCAGGTCCAGCAGAATGAGGGAGGGTAAAGGACAGGGAAGGCAGGTGGCAGGTTAAGGAGTGGGGAACCAGTATCTCCATCTCTTTCCCTCCTTACCCAGCTCTGAAAGCCCCCATGACACCTACCAGTATATTAGCTCACATCTTTGCTCATTTAGCCTGTGACCACACCCTGTTGACTAGGCTCCATGGGGGCTGCTGGGAAATGAGGGGAGCTGTGTGGTTCTCTCCCTCCCTGCCTCCACCATTGCGTAGAGGCTAAGGCTGGGCAGGCGTCCTTCCCTGCCACGCAGGTTAAGCCCGGACAGCCAAGTTGTCTAGCTAGGTGCCTCATTGTAGGGGGAGGTGCTAATGTGTCTTTCACTGCCAGAATTTACCAGGGGCTGAGAGCTCCCAGCTGGAGGAGCCCGGCAGGAACAAGGGCCATCTGCAGTGCTTGCTCAAGGTCAGTTGCTCAGCCAGGCTTTCCCCGGGGAAGCTGCTCACACCACTCTTCCACTTTCTGACACTGCCCCTGCTGCAGGAAGGCCTTCCAGGCACATGATCTGTGCACACAGGAGCAGCCACAGTTGCATCAGCTGAGGCAAGACCCTGCTGCCAGGGCATTGCCCCATCCTGCATTCCCCACAGGAGGCAGGCAGCACTGTTTACCTTGGCAGGGGCTGGAAGGCAGGATCCAGGGTGCTGTGAAACCCCACAGAGTGATACTCCCTCACCCCATCCTAGGGGCATGGACTCCAGGGCCTTCTCCATTCTGTAAGGTGCTTACATGGGTAAAGAGAGGTCCCATCACATAGGGCAGGAAGCTTGGCCTGTTTATTTCTGTAACCCCAGTGCTATGTGCGTATCAGGCACTCAGCCTTTAGTAAATAAAGGGACATCTCTGCACATGTGTCTGCACCATCTCCACCCTTCTCAATCTCTCCTGTTTTGTCCCATAGCCAAAGTCCCTTTTCTTCCACCACTTTAGAGGCTTTAATCTCACCCACTGACCCATAACCTGGGGCCCCTCTCTACGCGCCGCCCCTCCCATCTTCAGGACCACCACTCTGGCACCAGCGTTCTACCTTTAGACAGACACTGTCTTTCTGGAGCACCTCAATTCCCTTCCACAGCCTCCCAGCTCATCTGCTGACCTGGATCGCTGGGAAGTCTGGAGGGGCCAGAGGGCACCTCTCTCAACCAGCCCTCATCCCCCGTCTCCAGCCCCTGCCAGGGCTGATCTCACCAGCCCTTATCCCTAAGACCCCAAAGGAAGGGGACTTCAGGCCTCACCAGAGAACTGGTTGTTACTGGTAACAAACCCCATGCTAACTGCTACATCTTTCCTAAAGAACAGACATAGACTCAGTCATCTCTTTGAGCCTTAGTGTTCTCATTTATAAAGTCAGGACTGGACCAATCTAAGCTGTCCTCTCATTAGTCAACAGGCAGCCAACAGACACTGGGGGCTGGAGCGCAAGGCCCACCACGACTCCACAAATAATTTCTATTTGTGTAGTTCTGTAATTTTTCAAAGTCCTTTCTATCCTTTTCCTGACAACAGCACAAAGGAAACAGGCTTTAATTACCCTTGTCACTTTACAGCTCCCATGAGAACAGGGCAGCAGCTCCGATCGCAGAGTTCCACGTTCCTGTCCTGCCACGTGAGCCCATTCCTGCAGCCTTCTATACTTGGCAGAAGTGGGCGAAGTAATGTTACTTTCCTGGTGCCCAGTCACCGGCCCCAATTCCCTGGCCCGGATGAAGGACAGGCTCTGAGCACCACACTCAACTCCCTGCTTCAGCTCCCACCTCCTCTCTCCTGCCACCAGGAGGAAGCCAGCAAAGCCACTGGCAACTCACTTCAAACAGCAGGTTTAGGATTTATTTCAGAATTAAACTGCTGCTCTTCCTTCGTGCAGTATGACTTGGTCACTCTAGCAGTTTGAATCAGCTGTGCTTTTCTTTCATGCCCTAGAATCCTTATTACAGTGGATGATTAACTGAAGCTCATTATAGAAATCAAGTCCAGAGACTCCAATATCAACAGTGTGTCTCCTCCCAGCCATCGCTGGACTACCTGAGAACTTGAGGTTGAGAGGCTGCTGCCCTGGACAGCCTGGGCACAGACTATGTCAGCCCAGCCCTCGGCTGGAGGGGGGAACCTCTGGCTCGTAAAGGCTGGGCACAGGCCCACACCAGAGCCACTAGAACCTAAGGCCACATCTTTTTAATGTGTCCTTTACATCCTTGTCAAAGGCTCCTGGGGGACCTCCCCACCCTGCTGTGGCATGGAGGAGTCTGGCAGGCGGCTTTCCCGCAGGCCCCCCCCCCCACCCCGCCCACAACCACATGGCCTCGGACAGTCCACCCAGGCTGGGTCACTGGGGGAAAGGACAGGCAGCTGGAGGGTGGTGCTGTCAGGTCGACGGCCAAAATACTACAAAGGCTATAACATTTGCCTGGAGACTGCAGGGTCACCGGGTCACGTTAGGCAATCACGGCCCAGGTGAGGTTTTCCAAGCTGAGAAGTGGGTGGGAGAGTCTGTGTGGCCGGCACCACCTGAAGCCGGGAGACCCCTGTCTCGGGGAGAGGGAGGAGGAAGACACTCAGCGCAAGGGAGATCCCTGTGGAAGCGAAAGGGAGGCCCGAGGCTGGGTCACCATGCTTTGCTCCGTGCCGTGGGAAGGACTGGCTTCCGCATCGGTGGTTCAGAGGGTCCCCTGGACTGCCCGACCCAGGGCTCAGGTGGAGAAACCACAGAGCACCCAGGTGACTCCTCTGTTCAGGCTCATCTGCATGTTGCAGCCCCCACCTGACTCTCTGTAACAGGAGGAGAGGTGAGCCCGGCTGCCTCCGAAGGTGGGAAATAGTACAGAACGTGGGAATAAGAACTAACTGGAAGAATGTATTGTCCTCACCTCCTGGTTCTGGGCACCCAAATCATGCAAGAGATCTCTCTCTCCTCTTAAAAATCACCCTGGGCGCCCCACTCCCCTCCCACTTCGCAATGCATTTTAAGTCTCCACAGCTTCACCTGCAGACCAGGAAGGGCTTCCCGCCACTACACAGAAATCCCAACCCAGCAACGGCTTAAACCTGTTTCACTTTTTTTTTTTTTTTTGAGATGGAGTCTCTCTCTTGTTGCCCAGGCGGGAGTGCAATGGTGTGATCTCAGCTCACTGCAACCTCTGCCTCCCAGGTTCAAGTGATTCTCCTGCCTCAGCCTCCCGAGTAGCTGGGATTACAGGCACCTGCCACCACACCCAGCTAATTTTTGTATTTTTAGTAGACAGGCCACTGCGCCTGGACCCTGTTTCACTTCCTCTTGTGAATCCACACCGAAACTAGATCTGCCCTCCACAGCTCAACCCTTCACCCCTCCACACTCCCCAAGCTAGGATGAAAATCAGCATCCCCTCACCAACTTCCCCATCCTCACAAAGTGAGCCCTGCAGCTTGGGAAACCCCCCCAGCAAGCAAGTGCTGGCCTGGGGAAGGCGAGGCCGGAGTGGAGTTGGGAAGGGAGCACTCAGTTTGACTCCTACCGAGGCTCGAGCTGTTGTGAAGCCTTCAAATTGGGTCAACAAGGGCCCAAACTTGACTTGTAACAGACACAGGACTCCCCCAGTTGGAGCCTCCGCAAAAAGATGAGGTTGGACAAGTTATTTCTAAGTTGGCTTCACGCAAAGATGTCAGTGAAAGCACAGGAACCTCAGTGCAGTGATTCAGTGACTGGGTCCCGCATGGTAGCGTCACAACTGAACTACAGGTACTCAGAGGAAGCATGGGTTTCTCAACCCGTATACCCTGGATTTTAAGCCAGTGATGACTTCTCATAATCGGAGAAGAAACAGACTTCCAAGGCTGAAGGAAGAAATGGCCGTGTTGGACTTGATGGGAGACTATGCCGTTCTCTAACCAGGCTTGCCTTGGGAATTTGTTTCAAAAAATCTGTCACCCAGATTGGAGTGCAGTGGCCCGATCTCAGCTCACTGCAACCCCCACCTCCTGGGTTCAAGCGATTCTCCCACCTCAGCCTCCCGAGTAGCTGGGACTACAGGCACATGTCACCACGCCCAGCTAATTTTTATATTTTTTGTAGAGATGGGGTTTCACTATGTTGCCCAGGCTGGTCTTGAACTCCTGGACTCAAGGGACCCGGCCGCCTTGGCCTCCCAAAGTGCTGGGATTACAGGCGTGAGCTACCACAGCTGGCTGCTGCTTTCTGTACCAGAGTTTGTGCTGTTTTTTCTTGAGGAAAGGTTCTGAACCTGGGGGCGTGTGGAAGCCTCCACTGCCAGCTAGTATCTTCCCCTCCCCCAGCCCTCCTGACTATTGTTCCCCAGAACCCACCTGAGAAACAGAAAGATAGTCCATGGAGACTCAGCCCTGTGGCCCTCAGGGGCCCGGCGTTCTAAGTGTGGCCCAAGGACCTCCAGCAGCCCTGGGTGCAGCTTCTCCGCTTCATCGAAGATGAACAGGGTCTGGTGGCAGAGCTGCTGCGTCTCCCGGATCTGGCTCATCAGCTGCTCCTGCACGGGATATAGGGAGCAGCTGGGGAAGTGGTGACTCCTTCCACCTCCGGCCTTGAGGGCGTGGTTTCCCCTGGGCATGTGCAATGGACCCCCTGGGGCTGGGTTCCCCACCCCCCGCCCCCCGCCAGAACCTATCAAATCCAAGCTCTTGGGGAGGGCCTAGGACATTTGCATCTGACCAGCTCCCAGGTGATTCTCAAGCACCCTGAGGGTTGAAAGCTAAACAAGGTGAAGCCAGCTTGGGGACTAGGAGACAGCCTAGAAAGGAGTGGGGAGAAGCCCTTCTGCCCTTGAGAAGGGGCCCCTGCTCCAGCCCTGCTCTCTCCTCTCCAGGACTACATCCCATCCAGGAGCTAACAATGTCCACACACCCGCAAACTTTCATTACTTCTACAACAAAAACATCCAGGCGCAACTTCCCTGTTTAAGCTCAGGGTCTATTCCCAGGGGGTGGATAGGAGTTGAGCTTTCATACAGGGGTGATGGGCAAAGAGAGGCTCATGTGCCCAGAGGCAGCCACAGTCCCCTGCCCTGAACTCCCGGGTGCAGAGCGCCCACTGGCACCCTGGCTGGGCCGAGATCTCAGGGGAGCAAGCCTGCTGAAGGACTGACTGGGCCTAACCAACATCCAACTTGGCTCCTGCAAGCTGTGGAGGGTTCCTTGCCCCAGGCAAGACAGTAAACCCTCAAGTGAAAAGATGGTTCTTTGCAATGTTCATCGAAATGGGCAGGGAATATATTATTCAGGGCCAGCTCCCACTCCAGAGCCCACACTCCCTGTCTACTGGGTGCACCTTTGTGGGGGAAAGTGTGAGGTGCAGGGCTATGCACATGCCAGTTTTCACAGCAGGGAAGCTGGGGCTGCAGCAGTCTTGCCACAGTCTAAGCCAGACAGTTCTGCCCGGAAAGGCCCAGCTCAGCCTGCCCCTGCCCTCCAAAGCCATATGGAAACTGCCAGGAGACGCGGGCAGCCTCTGTCCTCAGACGCTGACATAATCTTCCCAGGTGAACACATTCCAAATATTAAAACAAAGCCAAAGACAGGTGCAGTCAATTCTGTCAGGCTCTTCTGGTATGTTTTCAATACTACATGGCTGAATTAGTAGAAGAAACCCAAAATGGCAGAACAGCCAAGGAAATTTCTGTCCATCCACTTGCTGGTATATAATAAGCTGATACGGGAAGACATGAAAAAATCAGGTAAGATAGGATAGGCCTGTTTTCTTTTTTTTTTTTTTTTTTGAGATGGAGTCTTGCTCTGTTGCCCAGGCTGGAGTGCAGCGGCACGATCTCGGCTCACTGCAAGCTCCGCCTCCCGGGTTCACGCCATTCTCCGGCCTCAGCCTCCCGAGTAGCTGAGACTACAGGTGCCCGCCACCACGCCCAGCTAAGTTTTTGTATTTTTAGTAGAGACGGGGTTTCACCGTGTTAGCCAGGATGGTCTCGATCTCCTGACCTCGTGATCCACCCACCTAGGCTTCCCAAAGTGCTGGGATTACAGGCGTGAGCCACCATGTCCGGCCAATAGGCCTGTTTAAATTTTAAAAAGGCAGGATATACAACTTTCTGTCCAACGTAGTTACAATGACAAAGAGCCTGGGGAAAGGTTCCGCACCAAAGGCAGCACATAAAATGCTACCTCTCCTTAGCTGACAAGGGTGTGTCCGTGTGGAGAGTCTGACAGTTTTTGCTTTTCTCTGTTCTACACTGCAGTCTGTGACATTTCACTACTTCTACAACAAAAATCAACATGCAGCGTCCCTGCTTAAGCGCAGTGTCCAGCCTCTCGAGTGTGGCTGTTTGGGGACAGAGCAGGGGGTGGTGTTTGGAACGCCAGTCTCTTCCACATGCTAAGGGCCTCTGTGAGGAGTGGACGGAGTGGCTCTGTCACAGGTTCTGCCACCTGTCCCCACCTCCCCAGGCTTCTCCAGAGCCCATTTCCTTGCAAGGAAGGGCTGGCAGAAGGGTCTCCCTCCCAGCACAGAGGCCTCACCCCAGCCCTGGTCGGCCTCACCTTGTACAGGTCCACATATTTGGGGTGAGGAAAGTGGAACGTGGCGATGAACATCCTGACACAGTCACTCATCAGCCCGTCCCGATACAGGTTCTCCACCAGCATCCGTGCCACGAAGTTCTTGCCTGTGCCAGACCAGCCGTGGAACGACAGAGCAAGGGCCTTTTCTGGCTGGGGCGTCTCTAAGTAGCCCCTCACTGTTCTTAGGACCAGCTGCTGGACCAAATGCTGGCCATGCAGCCGCACATTCAGGTCCCACTCTAAGCCTAAGGACAGGAAAGAGGTAGTCACAGCAAAAGGCACACACAGGCCCATCCACCACAACAGCCAACAGCCAAGAAACCAAGCAACTCTGAATCTCTCTCGGGTGGAATCAGTTACTCCTCCTGTTTGGCCTTAGAATAAGAAGCCAGAGGGCAGACTTTGTAGCAGAAGGGATTCAAGGACTACTTTCTTTTTTTTTTTTTTTTTGAGATGGAGTCTTGCTCTGTCACCAGGCTGGAGTGCAGTGGCGCAATCTCAGCTCACTGCAACCTCCGCCTCCCTGGTTCAAGCGATTCTCCTGCCTCAGCCTCCCGAGTGGCTGGGATTACAGGTGCCCACCACCATACCCAGCTAATTTTTGTATTTTTAGTAGAGACGGGTTTCACCAGGTTGGCTAGGCTGGTCTTGAACTCCTGACCTCGAGATCCGCCCACCTCGGCCTCCCAAAGTGCTGGGATTACAGGCGTGAGCCATTGCGCCCAGCCTCAAGGACTACTTTTTGAAGAGTTTGGGAAATCAAGATGGGACTCAGGGAGAGTGGAATCACCCTTCCTAAAGATCCTGCAGATACCCAGAACAGTTGGCACAGACCTGTCTAGGGAGGAACCCTGTCCCCCATGTCCTGAGGCTGCTCCCATCCCTTGGTTTCAGGGCTCCCTGTTTTATGGAGAAGCCTGATTTTATTCATTCTCATTCAATTCAGCCAACACTTGGTGAGAGCAGCTCCAGTGTGCAAAGCCTTCTGCTAGGTCTAACTTCCTCCTGTCAGACGTGAGGTTGTAGGATTTGGAGATGGCGCTACCAGGAGCCACAGTGCAGACAGGCAGGGTGTGCGGCCAGCTGTGGGTGAGCATTCCAAATCCAGGATCAATTGGTTGAACACCTTAAGCCAGCCCAGAGCAGGTATTCTGGAGCCTTGGGAGGTCAAGGTCTATGATAAAACATTGAGGGCATCACACATTGCTCCAAAAGTAGTAGTGACATAGAAGAAAATTAACATTTGCTGCTTTTTTCTCTGTATTCAGAACTGGGCTAAGTGTTTTACATTTGGTCTTCACAATTCTGCAAGGCAGGCATTATTATTCCCATTTAAAGCTGAGGAAACTGGCTGGGCGAGGTGGTTCCCGCCTGTAATCCCAGCACTTGGGGAGGCTGAGGCGGGCGGATCACGAGGTCAGGAGTTCGAGACCAGCCTAGCCAACATGGTGAACCCCCTCTCTACTAAAAATACAAAAATTAGCTGGGCATGGTGGTGGGCACCTATAATCCCAGCCACTCGGGAGGCTGAGGGAAGAGAATCGCTTGAACCTGGGAGGCAGAGTTTGCAGTGAGACGAGATTGCTCCAGCCTAGGTGACAGAGACTGACTTGGTCTCAAAATAAATAAGTAAAAAAAATAAAATAAAATACAGCTGAGGAAACGGACACTTGGGAAGGACTCTTCAGTTTGCCAGCAAGGAAGAGGCACGACTAGGAGGGGTCTCCAATCCGCTGGCCAGAACAATTTGGATATCCAGGCCCTTGTCGAACAAAAGGCATGTTGAGGACAGAAAGTAACTTGCTAATTGCTACCTAGGGTCTTATCCAAGTCAGCAGTGATCCAAATTAAGACTTCCTGACCTGTATGTAGTCCTATCTTCTGTCCTGAGCCAGACTGTGTCCCTAAACACACTGTGTTATTGGCATTTTGGCCAATTAAGTGACCTAAATATCTGGGGTGGGCCTCATTTATGGAGATTGAAGGACCTGGGATCAGGAGAACTCTGGGCAAGAAATTGCTCCTGGGGAAAAGAGAGGAAGCTTTTGCAAATGTCTGAACAGGTTTCAGAACATGGGGCCAAAGATCACCTTGTGAGAGTGAAAATGCAAATCAACTGCGATATGCAAATCAAGCAACCCAAACTAATTAGAAAATACTGGTTGCCATGGCACAGTGGCTCACGCCTGTAATCACAGCACTCTTGGAGGCCAAGGCAGGCAAATCACAAGGTCAGGAGTTCGAGACCGGCCTGGCCAACATGGTGAAACCCGCCCCCCCCCCCCCCCCCCGCCTCTACTAAAAATACAGAAATTAGCCGGACGTGGTGGCAGGCACCTGTAATCCCAGCTACTCGGGAGGCTGAGGCAGGAAAATTGCTTGAACCCAGGAGGCGGAGGGTGCAGTGAGCTGAGATCGCACCACTGCACTCCAGTGTGGGTGACAGAGCAAGCCTCCGTCTCAAAAAAAAAAAAGAAAAGAAAGGGACACTTTTAATCACAACCCAGAATTTCTGATCAGTTCTCTCTGGATAGTTCCAGCCCCCTCTGAGAGGTAGCTGTTTCTGTTTAGAGTGAAACAAGGTGCTCTGGGCCTGACAAACAGCTCAGTTTGCCTGGGCTATTAAGCTAGAGGCTAAAAAGGGGCTTCCCTGACTCAAGCATTTGGTACTCCCTCAAAACTTCAGTCAGACTGTGGCAGTTCCTGCTTGTCGGGAGGCTGGGCAGGATGACGAAAGGTCCCTTGCATCTAACCATTTCCCCTGGACTGCCTCCCCTCCCCACAGATCCCTAGCCCCTTGAAGCCATGCGGGGTCCAACCTGTAAAGTTGTTGGAGATTCTGCAATCCCCTCTAGGGCAGCAGTCTTTGAAGCTGCAGTACCACGTGGTCAGGAGGTCCAGGTACCGCTGGCCCAACAGAGGAAGGCGCCAGCCTGGAAAAGGAGGAGCTGTGAGACCGAGAGGAGACCATCCGGTGCTCTACAGTGATGCGGCAACCTTGCCACACAACTTGTCAGGGACAGAGGGACACCCAGAACTCAGATTCTAACTCCCAGCCCCGACTCGGCCCACTGTCGGTCCTCAAGCCCTGCGTCCAAAAGCAGCAAGGGAGACGGCAGTCACCAGGCATGTCCACAGCGGACGTTCCCTAGAGCTGTCAAGAGCAACACCTTCGAATAACGCCAGGGTGGGCTGGGAGATGGCACAGGCGGTGCGAGAGAATCTGGAAAGCGCAGGGATCAGGGGAGGCGGGGGACGGGAAGCCGGGCGCCAGGGGGGTGCGCAGGGGACGCGGGTGGGGCAAGGGCGGTGATGGGGCTCCCTGCTCCGCGGAGGCTGCCCCCGCCCACAGCCGGTACCGGCGGCTGAGCAGAGCAGGACTGCGGGCCCAGATGTCGCCCCGGACAGGAGCGAGGCGACCACAGCCGCGCCCGGATCGCACTCTGCTCCGCAGCGAACGGCGGACCGTGGGGACGGGGTCTTACCCAGGGGCCCCGTGGCTGCCTCCTCGTCCTCGTCACAGTCGTCGGGCCACACCTGGCAGCTGAAGAGCGTCCAGTACCGCTTGGAGAGGGCACCCGCCGCCCTGAGCTGCTCCTGCAGGCGCTGGAAGCCCGGCCAGGCCCAGGCCGAGCCCGGCTCGTCGGTTCCCTCCCACGGCCTGGAGGCGCCGCGGGGCTCAGGCGCGCCCGGGAGCAGCAGCAGGAAAAAGAGCCAAAGCTGGCGCCACGGACCGCGAAGCATGGCCGGCCCCGAGCTGCGGGACCATCCGGCTGCCGGCCTAGCCAGGCTCCCTTAAGCCCGGGGCGGTCAGGCGGGGACCGCACTTCCTAGGCGGGCTTGAACCCGGGATTGGTGTTGCTGTGGCGACCGGCGGGCCGGGCTGAGTGCGCACTGGCAGCCTCCGTACACGTGACCCAGGCGGGAACCCGAAACCCTGTCTGGGGTCCTGAGAGGCAGTCCCGAGACTGACTTCAGGCCAGGTGCAACTAGCCGGCTTCCAGGAAGCAGTTTATTCTGGGTCGTGATTGTGGTTGCAAAGAAGGTGAACTCAGGCTTTGAAATGGCCACTGTCAATCACTCCGCTAGGACTTTCGGACGGCTCTGGTGGCCCATCAGAGGCCTACCGAATAAGGACACTCCTGCTTTGCCTCGCGTTTGCAGATCAACTTCCCGCCAACCTGTTAGAGGAAGCCGGAAAACCGTCTCAGTCAGGAGCGTTAGGCAGGCCAGGGGAGTCAGCTGAGTGGAGAAGAGGCCCTGGAAAGAAGGGCACAGCTAGGTGCCTGTCTGGCCAAGGTTGCCCTGGCTCCTCCGCAGAGGGAAATGAAACCGCAGCAAAACACCAGCAGGTTTCCACAGTGGGAGTCCACGAAAAGCAAGAGGAAGCTGATTGACGGGCTCCAGTCTGGAGGTGTTTGGAGTTTGGAAACCCCCCGAGTCATGGGTAAATCATGAGGCGTCATGTCAATGTAATTATATCTCATAAAAATCCGAAGTACTGTGTGCACTTTCTTGACTAGGTTTGCAACTTTCAAGTGCTGGGACTGAGCAGCCCATCCGACACCATTGGCAAAAGACTACAGGGCCTCTTTCCCTCAGCGCTCTCTTCTCCATAGCGAGGAGCATGGAACAAGGCTGTTAGATTTCAGAAGAGCTTAATGCATTGTTTAAAATCACCTGGCTTACTTCAGCCAAGCCAAAAAGCCGTCTTGTCTTAGGAGAAAACTGCTGTCTAGAGAGATCAGAGGACTTGGCTAATGTCATATGTTTAGTGGCTTTGAGGTTGGGCCCTCCAGACAGTAAGGTGAATACTAGCACCGTGTCTCACAAATGTCACAGGCAACTTGATTCATCTGTTCACCCCAGTCTCTTAGATCACACCGTGCCAGGTCTGCTCCATTCTCAGCAGCTCACCAAATTTGTGCCTTTCATTCGAACAGCTACAGAAACTAGATAAAGCACCTTTGCTAGGACACGAGGTTGAGTTGAAAAGTAAAATGTTTATAGTGTCTCAGCCATTCAGTGTGATGTCAAAAACTTTTCATAGAGTAGCAGCCATGGCACCAGCCCAGCACTGTGTACATCGAGCTTGCGGAGTCCACCGGAGACAGTTAACAGCACATACACCACAGTGCTTATTGGAAAACCAAAAAAAATTAGGCAGGGTGTGGTGGCTCACGCCTGTAATCCTAGCACTTTAGAAGGCCGAGGCGGGCGGATCACCTGAGATCAGGAGTTCGAGACCAGCCTGGCCAACATGGTGAAACCCAGTCTCTACTAAAAATCCAAAAATTAGCTGAGTGTGATGGTGCGCATCTGTAATCCCAGCTACTCAGGAGGCTGAGGCAGGAGAATGGCTTGAACCCAGGGGGCAGAGGTTGCAGTGAGCCAAGATGGTACCACTGCACTCCAGCCTGGGTGACAGAGCAGGGCTCCATCTCAAAAAAAAAAAAAAAAGAAAAAAGAGAAAAGAAAAAAAATTAACTCACTCAACAAATGTCGTTTGAGTCTGAATGGCAGTCTAATATAGTGATTACCATTTTCTATTTGTGCAACCATGGATGTTACTGAACCGTCCCATGCCTGTTTCCTCACCTATAAAAAGGGATAATAAAATAGTCCCCTCATAGGGCTGCTGTGAAGATTAAATGAGCTCATTCAATGAGCACATCATCAACACTCAATACGTGGCCAGTTTTATTTTTGTATCTACCCAGCCATGGAGGAGGCTCTGGGTGGTCTACACAGGAGGCAAGGATGGCTTTAGTTAATACTGGTGGTTTATAAGTGAATTTATGGTGAAAAAATTAATAGTAACAATAGTTTATTAAAACAATCCAAGTTTTAAGATGTTGTGGAAAGAATTATCTGTACTTGGAACTTTTATGTAGGGCTACCTGCTCATTTCTGAGATGTTCTGACTTGGATTTAGCATCCCATTGTAAATAAAGTAGGTTAGCTGGGAAGTTCTTCGACAACCAACTTGATTTCAAGACATTTTTATTATTTATTTATTTATTTATTTATTTATTTAGAGACGGAGTCTTGCTCTGTCGCCCAGGCTGGAGTGCAGTGGTGCAATCTCGGCTCACTGCAACCTCCGCCTCCCCGGTTCAAGCGATTCTTCCCCCTCAGCCTCCCAAGTAGCTGGGATTACAGGCGTTCACCACCACGCCCCCGCTTTTTTTTTTTTTTTGTATTTTTAGTAGAGACGGGGTTTCGCCATGTTGGCCAGGCTGGTCTCGAACTCCTGGCCTCAGGTGATCTGCCTGCCTGCCTTAGCCTCCCAAAGTGTTGGGATTACAGGCGTGAGCCACTGCGCCTGGCCGTTTTTTTCCAAAAAAAAAAAAAAAAGAGGTAAACACTTTTTCACCAAAGAGTCAGTCCCGTGTAGAAACAATAAATCCAAACACCAGTTTCTAGATACGTCTCTTGAGTATTTCAATAAATACTCCTTTCCGTCTCAGGCCTTGGAGGCTGTGCTCGTTTTAAAGTTCTGGAAGCAGTATCTCATGGATGACGGGGACATCTAGAGGCTGCTGGGAAAACTACAGACAACTATGATTCTTTAGCAAGCATTACGGTGCTACTCAAGGGCGGTTCCAGAACCCCACCACTGGCATCACCCAGGAGCTTGTTAGAAATGCAGAATCTCAGGCCCCAGACATACTGAATCAAAACCTGCACTTTAAGAAGGTCTTTCTGTGCAGGGAGCCATGGCTCATGCCTGTAATCCCAGCACTTTGGGAGGCTGAGGCAGGAGGGTGGCTTGAAGCCAGAGTTTCAGACCAGCCTGGGCAATAAGGCTAGACCCCTTGTCTCTACCAAAAATAAAAATAAAAAATAAGCTGCGTGTGGTGGTGCGCGCCTATAATCCTAGCTACTTGAGAGGCTGAGGGAGGAGGATCACTTGAGCTCAGGAGTTCGAGGCTGCCAATGAGCGATGATTGTGCCATTGTACTCCAGCCTGCGTCAAAGCAAGACTGTCAATCCAAAAAAAAAAAAAAAAGCCTAAGGCAAAATTGGCACACAACACCTTTATTGATGTCATCTGAGTATGACCTAGCTTTACAACAGACATCTTCCCAACCCCACTGAAGGCAATCAGAACCATCTGCCTTGGAAACACTGGGTCAAAAGCAAGTCTCGGCCTGGGACGGTGGCTCACGCCTGTAATCCCAGCACTTTGGGAGGCCAAGGCAGGTGGATCACTTGAGGTCAAGTGTTTGAGACCAATCAGCCCGGCCAATATGGAGAAACCCCGTCTCTACTAAAAATACAAAAATTAGCCGGGCGTGGTGGCATGCGCCTGTAGTCCTGGCTACTCGGGAGGCTGAGGCAGGCGAATTGCTTGAACCTGGGAAGCGGAGGTTGCAGTGAGCTAAGATCGCGCCATTGCACTCCAGCCTGGGCACTGCAGTGAGATTTGGTCTCAAAAACAAAACAAACGCAAGTCTCCATATTTAAATAACCCTGCATGAGAAACATTACAGGAATGTTTCCCAGCTCATCTATGTTCCTTTAACATCTACACAGCACTTGAGGTGGACTGAGAATGTCCTCAAGAGACAGGGCACACAAACATTTCCTAGAACAATGAGAAACCCCTGAAGCGATATTTCTGGTGACCCAGATACTGAAAATACAGGCCCAGAAGGCCCTGTATCCACTAAGCAAATAGTTCTGCATTTCCGGAGTCAGGGGTTCTATACACACCTCTCGTCAAGCCTGGATCAATCTCCACTTTTTCAATGTAGGTACTGCCTAACCCAATCCCTCCCAATCCCCACCTCCATGATCCTCTCCCGTTTCTTATTCTCACTGCAATTAATTTATATAATTCCTGAGGGACTTGGTGCCTCACAAGCAGTTTTTTTTTTTTTTTTTCTGCCAGGTCTAGACTGCAGGCTCTTTGAGGGAAAAGACAGTCACTATCATCTCAATGGTATACCACAGCTTGCAGCACAATGGCCCACAGATCTACTGATGACAGACCAAATATCTCACAAATTGTGATTTAATACCATTATTCCTTGGGGCTTATACTGCAACTTACCTTACAAAACCCTACCCATGGAAATCCAGTGGCTATGACCATTCCTATCTATTTTACAAAATGACGACTGCTAAAAATCAGTCTAATAAGCAAACATACTAGGTAAAATTACCCAGTAACAGAGCCCCGCCCTCCCTACTCCCAGCTACCTTTTTCAAACTCTAATACCAGTCGTTCTGATATGCTTGAGAAGCAAATGAATCCTGAACTCTAGCCTGGAAAAGAATTTGTATGTGGTGAGTCAGTGAGATACACAGACCAGGCTCTACTAGCCTCCCACATGTATTCATGTACAAATGACAAAAACTAGCACAAATATGCTGCAAATAAAATAGTTTTGTTTTGTTTTTTGAGACAGAGTTTCGCTCGTTGCCCAGGCTGGAGTGCAATGGCACGATCTCGGCTCATTGCAACCTCCGCCTGCTGGGTTCAAGCAATTTTCCTGCCTCAGCCTCCGAGTAGCCGGGATTACAGGCGCCTGCCACCACACCCAGCTATTTTTTTTTTTTCTTTTTTTGAGACTGAGTTTCACTCTTGTTGCCCAGGCTGGAGTGCAATGGCACAATCCCAGCTCTCCGCCTCCCGGGTTCAAGCGATTCTCCTGCCTCAGCCTCCCCAGAGTAGCTGGGATTACAGGCATGCACCAAGCTGGCTAATTTTGTATTTTTAGTAGAGAAGGGGTTTCACCATGTTGGCCAGGCTGGTCTCAAACTCCCGACCTCAGGTGACCCACGGGCCTTGGCCTCCCAAAGTGCCGGGATTACAGACATGAGCCATGGTGCCTGGCCCAATAAAAATCTTAAGAGCTTTGCTCAGTTACCTGGTTGAGGTTTATGATGCTGGATTCTATTTCAAAAGTTAAAAATCTAGGTGTCCTAAGAAGTACTACTAGGGCAACTGGCCTTCTCTTCCTGCCTTTTTTGTAGTGTGCTGACAAGTTCTTCAGGATTCATAATTCTTTACCTCTAAGGAAGCTGCAAAAATGGAGTTAACTATTAAATATACAAAAAGCACCTAACAATGATCCCATAGAAAATTTTGGTATAGTTACAATCTAGTATGAACCGTTTGAAGACTGGTGAGGAAATTTAAAGGTCTAATCCACCAGGTACTGTGAAACTATCCCTGTGGAAGTTTAAGTGGTCACAAAAGATGTAATCTTCTTCTGTCCCCTAACAGGAAGGGAACTGAAATAGGAACCACTGGAAATATCCTGAAGGGGGAAAGAAGAGGAAAAGATCAGATATCAATATTTATTAAAATCTTTATTCATTTTCTTTTTTCAGAATTGAAACCCATAGAACACATTAGAAATTTAGATCCATATCTGTCTTGTTTGGTATCTTACCAAGTACAATCTCTGTCTGTGCAACAGCTCTGAGAGGAAATCCTTGGCAGATCAAAAGAGAGGGTAGTGGCTCCCACACTTTCCATTTAAGCAAATAAATGAGCTTCTGAGTAGTTGTTCCCAGTTTCACCCAACATTTTGTGTTTATGAGAAACACCTTAGTTCCTAAAAACCTGTGGTAGTCCAGTACCTAGCCCCTACCTTGTCACCACCCAGACTTGAGGAATTGAAGGGAAAAAAACTGGCCTTCCCCTGTAGGATGAGTTTCCCAAGGCCAGATGTGCCTGGCTCACTAGTATGTCTGGCCTGTGCTGGCACACTAGAGTTGCTCAGTAGTTATTCGCTGATGAATGGTCTTTATGTTAATTAGGGTCCACTCTCAGAGACTGAGAACCTTTCACTAAGGTTCTTTCTGAATCCTTCAGAAAGTCAGTGTTCCCCTTTGTCAAAATAAATATGTTTTTCTTGCTAGAATACATATACGACTATATACATTACATATACTTTTACTCATGTTTCCTGAAGCTCAAACTCACAGGATGAGGCATATAAGATAGCTTACTGATGATGCTGTTTTACCATCATTGAGGTGTGGTCATTTACTGGTCAAAGAATACACGGGTGATCGAGAAGAAAGGCTGAAGAAATATGGCGGATGGGAAGGGAAGGGAAGGCAAAAGCATTTTTTTTTTTTAGAAAAAAAAGATCGATTTCTTTGGAAGATAATGCTGGCTTCAGATGACATTGAAAAATTGCCACGTATAGGACTCATCTTTCCCAAAATAATATGCAATTAATGTACCTGAATTCTTCCATTTCCTTCTTAAATTTCATTTGACATATTAACCCTGAGTGCAAACAGGGGGCAATGCCTTATTAATACATTCTTGAATAATACTCTGAGCAAATCAGATCCTATGAATTTGTTTTACACAGAAAATTATTTACATTTCCCCCAAACCCACAATGCAGCCTTACACTAAAGAACAGTTTTATAACAAAACCTTTATACTCAAATTTATCCATTCGAACTTTAGAATAAACATGTTTTAACAAGTTGGAGGAGGGCAGGAAATGGCCATGAGTTCTGATTTTCCTAGTTTTGTAGTATTAAAATGTCTCCACGTCTACCTTTGGATGTTTGGTAGGCATACCTAACTTACAGCTGATCCAAACCCTGCAACGACTTGATTGTAACAGCCTTAGATTCTAATAAATAAAGTAGGACAGTGTTACAAAACTTAAAAAAAAATTCACCTCCTTTTTTTTTTTTTAAGACAGAGTCTCGCTCTGTCTCCCAGGCTGGAGTGCAGCAGCACAATCTCAGCTCACTGCAACCTTCGCCTCCTGGATTCAAGTGATTCTCCTGCCTCAGCCTCCCGAGTAGCTGGGACTACAGGCGCATGCCACCGTGCCCTGTTAATTTTTGCATTTTTAGTAGAGACGGTCTCACCATGCTAGCCAGCCAGGCTGGTCTCGAACTCCTGGCCTCAGGTGATCTGCCTGCCTCAGCCTCCCAAATGCTGGGATGACAGGCATGAGCCACGGCACCCGGCCCCCACCTCTTCTTTCAAACAGTGTTTGAAATTTTAGGGCTTTCTGAATTTTAGAGCTGTAAGTTTATGGTTGGTTTTCTCCAAGATTTGCCTAAACATACTTTTCCAGCTTACTCCAATCCTGACTTACAACAAAAATTTATATTTTTAGTGCCATGTCATACCACTCTATTAGCTCAATTCTAACTTTATGGATTAGAGTTCTAAATTTTATAGATGAAAATTCTAAATTTATCATCAGAATGCCTTTTAAGATCACGAGTTTGAAAACAGATGGGAATAAAATGAAATGATATATTTTCTGCAAATGCTTTCAAGAAAGGATGAGACATTTTCTTTCCTGCCTGCTTTTTTCCTTAGCAGAATCTTCTGCCTTCAATGTTATGAAGTTCCCAGTTTCAGAAGACTTCTTATTCATTTCAGTGTGGCATACTAAAGGCGTCATGTATTTGAAAGACCACAAATCCATAACTTAGTTCAACTAACATTTACAGGGAGAGCAGAGATGACATCTCTTCCTATTGTCTCCTCCCAGCTGGCTCCTGGAAGCTTGTGGGTGAGCACTAACCAAGGTATTCTCATACTGAGCTGTGAATTTCCCTGGACACACAACACTGAGTAGCCTTAAAACTGAAATCAATGCCTCCTTTGGTTAACACGAATTCTGTGTTTTGTGCTAGTCTGTCTTCTTAAATTCAATACACGCTTTTTATAACTCAGCCCATTGTTCTGTTCATCTCAAAATGTATATAAAATGTACAAAAGTTTCCTAATTTCATGCCATTTAAAAATAGTTACAGGTTATTACTCAGTTATCTTTCAATGCAAGAAAACTGGGCATAAATTCTAAAGCTGTTTTTGAGAGTGGTTGCCTAAAACTAGTTTCCAATGGCTGGCATTAAATGTATTCAACCACACTGTTTATATATTCGCCTCTACTTGACAGAAATGCAAAGCTGGAACAGCACCTCAACAAGATGCAGGAGCAAAGCACACAGCTCTGAGTCCATAGATGAGTGGGCACATCAGGCCTGTCTTCCTTTGCCCCTGTGTTTTACTGCAACTACTTACATGTTGAGATCACTTTGCCAGAACACAAAACAAAAACTGTGTTTTACAAACCTGAAATTTGAGAGTGCTAAGAGGAGAAAGAAGCATAATACAACATCATGGGTTCAGAACTCCAAACAAGACTGAATGATAGAATTAGGATTTGACATAAATCAAAATCTTAAGGCTCTTCCTTTTAACCTCCTCAATTTCAAGGCTCAGAAGGCTTAAAATCTTGGCCGGCCACGGTGGCTCATGCCTGTAATCCCAGCACTTTGGAAGGCTGAGGCAGGTGGATCACCTGGGGTCAGGAGTCCAAGATCAACCTGGCCAACATGGTGAAACCCGAAACCCTGTCTCCACTAAAAATATAAAAATTAGCTGGGCACGATGGCGGGCGCCTGTAATCCCAGCTACTCTGGAGGCTGAGGCAAGAGAATCGCTTGAACCTGGGAGACGGAGGTTGCAGTAAGCCAAGATCGTGCCACTGCACTCCAGCCTGGGCAACAGAGTGAGACTTGGTCTCAAAAAAAAAAGAAAAAAGAAAAAAAGAAGAAGGCTTAAAATCTTTGTTTCCAATCTTCCATGGCCCCAAATCACAAGATAAGTCCAGCCACTTATCTGAGAGAGTAAGGTATACACTCTCACCTGTAGGAGTGTCCCTTTCTTATGAGAAAGGGACAAAAAGGTTGCCGATCTCTTGGGAACAGCAGCTTCAGTGACAAAAATGCCTTAAAGGCAGAGGTGGAAATTCATTTCAGAAGAGAAACGAGGATGACAGAGACCACAGGCAACCTGTTATTCAAGGTATTATTTCAGTTTGCTTTGTTAATTTGGGAAGGACTGCTTTTGGCAAAAGGGGAAAAAATTAGTCTCCACAGAGAATCATGCTTAGATTGTAATAGTATTTTCTCTAGAGACAACTTTTTGGTTAATTGGGACACAACTATGAGAATGCAGAATTTACTTAGGTGCAAAGTCATGTTTGCTTTTTATACACCTTAAGATCCTAAATACAAGGGAACCTGTTTTTCAGTAGTTCAGTCATCTCCCTGATTCTGGTTCTACCATTGGGTCTCTCTCTCTTCTTCCCTCCTCTAAGATCATCAAAACAATACTACCCAATGGCTTAAAAGCCCAAACATTTTTCTGTTTTTGTCCTTCCCTCCAATTCTATCTTAAACATGTATCTCCTCTAACAGAGTGTGCTATTTTGGCTTGATGGAATGCAAGGTTTTATTTGCTGCCACTCTGTAGGACAGTAAGCATTCCAATGTAACTAGTTCTGGTAAAAAAAAAAAAGACAAAGAGATTGCAAAGTGTTTCCACAAAATCCACGGGCGTAGAGAAAGGACTGCAAGGTTCAACTCAAAACACATGCTCCAGAGCCAATCCCAGTATTCATCTATCCAAATGTCACACCTGTTTGTCCTTTGGCATGGGAATTAAGACTGACCAACTATGATGCCCAACCCTAGAATGAGCAATTGCCGAGGAGGTGAGAAGGCGATTCAGCAGGAATGTCTCCATGCTCTGAAACTTGTGGTCTTTGCTTTAGTTTCTACTACAGAAAATACCAAAGACATCCAAGGCCACTCTGTCCCGTCACCAGAACTTGCTGCTGGCCACTTCCAATCCATCTCATACCATTTGGAATTGATTGTGCTGTTTCTCTATCTTTGTAAAAAGAAGTTTCACTTATTTTGTGTCGAGAATTACAAGTGTGAGAGAGGCATCCTGTCTTCCACCAGTACTGTGTCCATCCCAAACTGGTCGGTGCACTGCTTCACGGTGGCCAGGACACTCAGGAGCCGCTGGTCCACGGCGTCCAGATGAGGATCAGAGAGCACTGGGGAGATGGGGTCATGGGCCATGGCAGATTTTAAGGCAGACTTTAGCACACCATTCTTTAGGTAGTTCAGTCTGTTCCAGGTGGACACCCGAATGCTGGGAGAAAAAGTTATAGAACAAGGTACATAAAACTTCTCATTATCAAACGGAGTTGAAAGCCTGCTAGGCAGACAAAAGTGAAAAAATAATTAGGTAAAATCCTTTAACTAAATAATTTTTGCTTTAGAATTACCCCTACATAATGAGTAAGCCACATTACTATGTTTTGATATTGTTTCTGTGTAACTAATCAGAGATATATACAGAGATTTACACACATGTTCACTGCAGTGCTGTTTATAACAGGAAAAATGTTGAACAATCTGAATGTCTAACGACTGGGAAATAGTTAAATTATGGTTCATCCATTGAAAGGAATACCATGCAGCTGTTAAAAACAATTTTGAAAATTTAGTGGAATGGGAAAATGCCTATGATATGATGCTGGGTGGGGGGAAGAGGTTGGAGGAAAAACCTGTTTCACTTCAAATCTGTAGGAAAACAAAATACACATACATGGATTGGAATGAAGTACACTACAGTGTTAACAAGAGGATCCTTAGACGTTAATCCTTAGACGTTAATGGGTACTATAAACTTCCTTCTTCCTCATGTGTTTCTGAAGTCTAAAATAATTTCTACTGGGAAAAAATTATTATTATTATTTTTTTTTTGAGACAGAGTCTTGCTCTGTCGCCCAGGCTGGAGTGCAGTGGTGTGATCTCGGCTCACTGCAAGCTCTGCCTCCCGGGTTCACGCCATTCTCCTGCCTCAGCCTCCTGAGTAGCTGGGACTACAGGCACCCGCCACCACGCCCGGCTAATTTTTTTGTATTTTTTAGTAGAGACGGGTTTTCACCGTGTTAGCCAGGATGGTCTTGATCTCCTGACCTCGTGATCCGCCCGCCTCGGCCTCCCAAAGTGCTGGGATTACAGGCGTGAGCCACTGCGCCTGGCGGAAAAAATTATTTTAAGGATACCTATCTGCCTTATTTCACCAACTGCTACCATTTGAATGTCTGTCCCCTACAAAATACATGTTGAAATTGCCATTGTAACAGTATCAAGGTAGAGTCTTTTAAGAGGTCGTTAGGCCATGAGTGCTCTGCCCTCATGGGTGGAACTAATGCTGTTATTAAAAGGCAAGTTCAAGGCCAGGAGCGGTGGCTCACATCTGTAATCCCAACACTTTGGGAGGCCGAGGTGGGCCCTCAGGTTGGGAGTTCAAGACCAGGCTGGCCAACATGGTAAAACCCCGTCTCTACTAAAAATACAAAAATTAGCTGGGCGTGGTGGCAGGTGCCTGTAATCCCAGCTACTTGGGAGGCTGAGGCACAAGAATCACTTGAACCCGGGAGGTGGAGGTTGCAGTGAGCCAAGATTGTGCCACTGCACTCCAGCCTGGGCAAAAGAGCAAGACTCCATCTCAAAAAAAAAAAAAAAAAAAAAAAAAAAGGCGAGTTCAGCCCCTTGTTGCCCTCTCTCTTTGCCCTTTTGCCTTCTGCCATGTGACATGATGACACAGCAATAAGTCCCTTGTCAGATGCTGGCACCTTGATATTTAACGTTCTAGCCTCCAGAACTGTGAACCAATAAATTTCTGTTCATTATAAATTACACAGTCTGGCCAGGTATGGTGGCTCATGCCTGTAATCCCAGCACTCTGGGAGGCCCAAGGGGTCAGATCACTTGAGGTCAGGAGTTCGAGACCAGCCTAGGCAACATGGTGAAACCCCATCTCTCCTAAAAATACAAAAATTACCCGGGCATGGTGGTACATGCCTGTAATCCCAGCTACTTGGGAGGCTGAGACATGAGAATCACTTGAACCTGGGAGGCGGAGGTTGCAGTGAGCCAAGATCGCGCCACTGCACTCCAGCCTGGGCAACAGAGCGAGACTCCATCTCAAAATAAGATAAAATAAAATAAAATAAATTACCCAGTCTGTGGTATCCTGTTACAGCAGCACAAAACGAACTAAGACACCAACTATAGCATATCTTTTATTTAAAATCTGAGAAGAAAAGTTCTTAGCTCTCTGTGGGTAAAGGAGGAATTACTGGGTATGCAGAAATGTCTGATTCTGTAAAAGGCAGCCTGTTGTGCAGCAATTTAAAAGGTAAGAAAGACTGCTGCATAAAGCATGCATGGAAGGGACAAACAGGCACAGACGGAGTACAGTTATTTTTATTCTTAAATATATTACAAATGCCCAGAGCATCAGAGCTTCCTCTGTGAGACTAAGTTATTATGTTACTTCCTCTCAGCTCCAAATTCACTCTTCAAAATATGCTCTGCTGGCCAGGCACGGTGGCTCATGCCTGTAATCCCAGCACTTTGGGAGGCCAAGGCGGACGGATCACCTGAGGTCAGGAGTTCGAGACCAGCCCCACCAACATGTTGAAACCCTATCTCTACTAAAAATACAAAAAATTAGCTGGGCGTGGTGGCAGGTGCCTGTAATCCCAGCTACTCAGAAGGCTGAGGCAGGAGAATCGCCTGAACCCGGGAGACAGCGGTTGCAGTGAGCCGAGATCGTGCCACTACACTCCAGCCTGGGCGACAGAGCGAGACTCCATCTCAAAAAACAAAACAAAACAAAAACAAAAACAAAATGTGCTCTGCTACGACGGATGGGATTCCTTTAAGCATCTTTCCCCTAAAGCATTCTCACTAGAGGGCGCAAAGGGGACACTGCAGGGTGAAGGGGCTCTCCAAATGCTTCTGTGGGTCAATGGTGGTGTTGGGGAGGCAGAGAGGTCATCCACTGAAGACCTGTCTAGCCACACTCCCAGAAGGTGTGGGTCCTTGGTGACCTGAAGCCTTAGCCTGGCCTGGGGATAACTCTCCCGAGGCCCTCTCAACATGGAAACCAGAGCTTTGAAGGCCATCTGCTCACCCTGGCCCCAATTCCCTCTGAAGGCCCACGTGTGTGCCTCACTTGCAGCACAGAAGGTTTCTACTGGATTCTCTCTCTCCTTCTGCATGTCATGACACCAGCTGTGGCTTGAATGTACACCCCACCTGCACTCTGGAGAGTTGCTTCTGGCTTGCTCAGCACCTGCAAACTAGCAAACTTCTCTGCTATCTGGTGGGCTGAGCTAAACCTTCTCCACTGAAGTCCAAACTCCAGTCATTGGGAGGGGATCCCCTTCCAAGTTTGTCCTTCCTTGGGTACTCTCCCTCAGCCCTTTTATAGTCACTCCTGTTATTGGAATTTAATAATTCTTTATATTGGGTCGGGCGCAGTGGCTCACGCCTGTAATGCCAGTAGTTTGGGAGGCCGAGGCAGGCAGATCACAAGGTCAGGAGTTCTAGACCAGCCTGGCCAATATGGTGAAACCCCGTCTCTACTAAAAATACAAAAATTAACCAGATGCAGTGAGGGGCGCCTGTAATCCCAACTACTTGGGAGGCTGACGCAGGAGAATCACTTGAACATGGGAGGTGGAGGCTGCAGTGAGCCGAGATCGCGCCACTGTACTCTAGCCTGGGTGACAGAGCAAGACTCCATCTCCAAAAAAAAAAAATTCTTTATATTAAACACCTCTGTTTATCACACTATGTCTTTGCTATCTCCTGATTGAACCAGACTGATAAAACTACTACCACAAAAACATCTTCAAAGACAAACACACAATTCTTGATTGTATATATCACTGCTTCCTATCATTAATAAAGACAATGAAGGACAGCCTGGGTAAACTGTTACTTTCTACAGAATTTTGTTGTCATTTAAAAAAAGAAAGAAGATTAAGAGACCAGTTGCTATGGCAGTCTTATGTGATATGATGTTGCTGGGAGCTGACCAGTATTAAATGGTGCTCTTGAACTTGTTTTTCTGTGTAGCCAAGCAAGGTGGATCCCAGCTAATTCTTGATGTGCGTGCTCTAAAATTACACCAGGATGGTCGGGCGCGGTGGCTCACGCCTGTAATCCTAGCACTTTGGGAGGCTGAGGCAGGCGGATCACTTGAAGTCAATAGTTTGACACCAGCCTGGCCAACATAGTGAAACCCGTCTCTACTGCAAATACAAAAATTAGCTGGGTTTGGTGGCAGGTGCCTGTAGTCCCAGCTACTCGGGAGGCTGAGGCACAAGAATTGCTTAAACCCGAAAGGCAGAGATTTCGGTGAGCTGAGATCGCACCACCACACTCCTACCTGGGTGACAGATGCAGACCCTGTCTCAAAAAAATAATAAAATAAAAAATAAAATAGTAAAATAAAATTATTTCAGGAATGATGAAAAGAAGCTTCTTAGAGCTTAGACTTTATCTCATTTTCTTGACTCATTTTTCAATTTCTCTGTTCTCTAATACAGAGTTTTTTTAAAAAAACCAATTATTATTTATTATTTATTTTTTTTGAGACAGAGTCTCACTCTGTCACCCAGAATGGAGTGCAATGGCACAATCTCGGCTCACTGCAACCTCTGCCTTCCAGGTTCAAGCAATTCTCCTGTCTCAACCTCCTAAGTAGCTGGAATACTGGTGCCTGCCACCATGCCCGGCTCATTTTTGTATTATTAATAGAGACGGGGTTTCGCCATGTTGGCCAGGCTGGTCTCGAACTCCTGACCTCAGGTGATCCACCCACCTTGGCCTCCCAAATTGCTGGGATTACAGGAGTGAGCCACTGTGCCTGGCCAAAATAAATTATTATTTATGGAAAAAGTTACTTTTGGTTTAGACAATTTCAAACTGAAATATGTAAACCCCAGGTGGTATGTGATGGGTGAGTGAGAGGAGTTAAAACCACAAGGTAACCAGGTGTAGTAACCAGGCATACAGATTTTACTCCTTTTTTTTTTTTTGGCAGTGGGGTGGGGAGTGTGGGTGATTATATTCTGCTATTAAACCAAACATGTATTACTGTATACATACAATCTTCTATTCATACAAAATTTGAGATGAATTCTGAGCTTTGGGTTATCTGCCTTCACCTTTCCCTGATATCCCATTTCAGGATGTCCAGAGGTTCTAGGTTGGAAAAGTATGAAAAGCACTGCTCAGGTATCAGAAAGTTTGAGGGCCAAGAAAATGGATGTACTGTTACCTGAGCCTGGAAAAGAAGGCAATGCAGGCACATGTATTTGCTGTGCATAACTTACATGCAACACTGATAGAGAGGGGCAAGAATGCTTCTTTCATCCAGCGAGGGGTTCCCAAAGCTGAAAATTAAATTAAAACTTAGTGAATTAGGTGGAAGTACTGTTCTCTTCTTAGCATCAAAGCAATAGCAAATTCTATATGAAACTCAAATGTGATCCTAGATAATTTCACGCTCCAGCAGCTCAAATCACTTAAATTGAAAACAAGCGGGGCATGACCAATTAGACACAGGATCCCTAACAGCCTGTACTAAAATATCTGACAACAAATATACTCATTTACAAGGGACATTTTCCTGCCAAGATATCACAAGGTGCTGGAGCATAACTATGGTAAACACAGTGCGGAGTTCACAGACCAAAGGGAGAACTTGAAGACCCCTAAGCCTGCAAAGGTTTTAAGGACCAGAGAGAAATAAAAGCCATTTATATTAGATTCCCACAAACAAGCAGATGACCATTACTTGTAAAAAGAAGTCACACTTATTCTACTCCCAAATTAGCAATATCCTATTCCCTACAAGTAAGTATAAGTACAGATTCAAATTGGAAAAACTGTTCACACAGGCTGAGGAAACTGATTCACAGCAGATGCAAAAATTACCTTAGCAGCAATTCAGAGTTAGAAAAGGAGAACTGATTCTGGAAAACTGTCAACCTTTCAATCTTTCCAGAGGCTCACCTTAATAGCTAGAGTCTGGTAGCCCTTAGTACAGTGTAGGTCCTCCAGTAATTCAAGGCAAAGGCAACTGCTATGGTCTGAATGTTTGTGTCCCCCTCAAATTCGTAATCCCTGGTACAACAGTCCAACAGTATTAAGAAGTAGGGCCTTTGGGAGATGATTAAGTTACGAGGGAAGAGCCCACATGAACGGGATTAGTGCCCTTATAAATGAGGCCAGAGGGAGCGTGTTTACCTCTTCTGCCATATGAGGACACATAGAAGGCACCATCTGAGAAACAGGCCCTCACCAGACACTGAATCTGCTGGCACCTTCATCTTAGAGTTCCCAGCCTCCAAAACTGTAAGCAATACATTTCTGATGCTTATGAATTACCCAGTCTAAGGGATTTTGTTATAGCGGCCCGAGTGGACAAAGCAACTATTTTGATATACACCAAATATCAAGTATCATGTGTATCACAGGATGAGTGCTATGTGCTTTGCTGTAATGGGGTAGAGGGAGAGGCAGTGTTTGCTGGTTTTTCATTTTCTGTGGCCATCACCATCTTTCACAAAGCATGAGGCGCCTGGTGTTCAGTATAAGATGGTGGCATCATTAGCAAATGCTGCCCAAGCACTCTTTGCTGAGGAGCCATGTCTTAGCTTATTTCCAACAACCAATGTTAACAGTAGTGACCTAGGGCCTGGAAAATTCTGTACTCCAAGGAAGCGTTCTATTTAGTAAATATTTATTAAATGCAACTAAAAGTGTGGCACTACACCTGTAATCCCAGCACTTTGAGAGGTCGAGGCAAGCAGAGCACTTGAGGTCAGGAGTTCAAGACCAGCCTGGCCAAAATGGCGAAACCCTGTCTCTACTAAAAATACAAAATTAGCGAGTGCCTGTAGTCCCAGCTACTCAGGAGGCTGAGGGTGGAGAATCGCTTGAACCCAGGAGACAGAAGTTGCAGTGAGCTGAGATTGTGCCACTGCACTCCAGCCTGGGCAACAGAGCAAAACTCCGTCTCAAAAAAACTTAAAAAAAAAAAGTGTGGCACTAAACCGGCCACCACAGAGAATGCAGAATATGAAATGGAAATACAATGTGCTCTCCAAATAGCTCAGGCCTAAAAAAATAAGGACATTCTATTTATTCAAAATGAATAAACATTTTTTATTCAAGATAAAAGTAACTTGTTGTTATATATAAAATCCACACTAGGCAACAGCTCTTCTTCCCATGACAGCAAAAGTATGGACCTAGACAAACACAAAAATAGCAAAACATCCTACCAAATAAATTAATTTTTTAATTGCAGGAACCTTTGGATAGAATAAATTTAACGACAAATTCCACACTCTATTACATCTGTATTTCTCAAGCTTCTAAACACCAAATATCATAGCCAAGAAAGAACGATGTAGGTAGTAACAAATGAATAACCCTGGTTTTCCAGTTGTCTGAGAAGAGGCTCATAGAGTCTTAGACTCCTTGGAAGAACCACTTTTCCATTTTTTGAAGTACTGAGATCCCTGAGAGTGGAGAGAAGGACAGGTACCAATAGCAAAGACTCCAAGTGGAAAAAAGAAGGATGTTGCCTATCAATTGCATTCTGGATATTCTCCAGGATGCTCTGGAAAATGCCCTTCTTTCATATACAGAAACCCCTCCCTGACAAGGACAGTCCTGCTGGTCTCACCTTTTGGCATTATCAAGAAGGATGAGCATACTAGCGCCTTCATCATCTTGAAAGCTCTCATAGTGATGGCGGTCAGCATTGCCAATCAGGTAATCAAAGACAGCTGTGTCAATGATGTCCAAGAGGCGCGGGCCAGAGTCATAAGGGGACGTTTTCTTCACAGCATCACAGTAGCTCTCATCATACTCCCACCTGGAGACAAGCAGCATCACAGCACTGAGTGACAACACTGTACCTGGCACTGTTACACACAAAGAGAAGACAGAGTTCCTACCTACCGGTTTGCCCCTGACTCCACAGTTCTTTTCACTCTTGGACAGAACTGCTGGCTCCTTTACAGAGTTGGCACCTGGCTAGGCACAGGGGAGAATTAAGTAATGGCTCATAGGAGCATTTACCTGGCCAATTTGCCTTCTCGGTAAGTCCTGCCCCATGGGTGACGGTGCTTCTGCAGAGGCCACACATCTGGAAGCCAAAGTGTGACAGATCCCTCCATTATGTCTCCATCAGCACAAGCTGGTTCTGTTTCTCGGCAGTAATAGCACTTCCCATAAAAACAAGTATTGTTTCCTAAAGGACAGAAAGGAGCCAAATACACTTAAGGAAATAACGAAGACTCCAAGTTCTCTCCCAAATAATGCAGAACAGAGTAGCTAAGTAAATAAGCATGGTGAAAACAAAGACCCTGAGTTTACTATATTTCAAACATTTATTTTCCTGTATAGGTAATAAAAAAGCACACGGTGTAAAAAAAATTTAAAAAGTACAAAAGGATATACACCCAAAAGTAAGTTGCCCTTGCCTCCTGTGTCCTTTCTACCCAGTCTCACTCTCTGGTGTCAACTACCATCACCAGTATCCTTCAAATTCACTTTTTGTTTGTTTTGTTTTTGTTGTTGTTGTTGTTTTGAGACAGGGTCTGGCTTTGTCATCCAAGCTGGAGTGCAGTGGCGTGATCTCAGCTCACTGCAACCTCTGCCTCTGGGGCTCAAGCCATCCTTCCATCTCAGCCTCCTGAGTAGCTGGAACTATAGGTATATGCCTCCATGCCCAGCTAATTTTTGTATTTTCCTGGTAGAGATGGGGTTTCGCCATGTTGGCCTGGCTGGGCTCAAACTCCTGGACTCAAGTGATCTTCTTACTTCAGCCTCTCAAAATGCTGGGATTATAGGCATGAGCCACCATGTCTGGCCTCTAAACTCACTATTTTATTTTTTTTTGAGACTGAGTCTTGCTCTGTCGCCCAGGCTAGAGTGCAGTGGCAAGATCTTGGCTCACTGCAACCTCTGCCTCCCAGGTTCAAGCAATTCTTCCGTCTCAGCCTCCTGAGTAGCTAGGATTACAGGCGCATGCCACCATGCTTGGCTAATTTTTGTATTTGTAGTAGAGACAGGGTTTCACCATTTGGTCAGGCTGGTCTCAAAACTCCTGACCTCAGGTGATCCGCCCACCTCAGCCTCCCAAAGTGCTGGGATTACAGGTGTGAGCTACCGCGCCCGGCCTGAACTCACTTTAATTAAAGGAAAGTAACATCCTCCTCTTCTTCATTAGGGCTGAGATCTTGGCCAGAGTGCCCAGGGGAGGGCAAAAGAGGTCATGTACTAGGCCAAGTGTGGCCAAGAGTTTGGTTACATAGAGGGGTAGGTATAGAGGAAGGGGGGAAGTTGAGCAAATAAGTAGACAGACTGAGTGTAACAGTAACCAGGCTTCTCACCAGTGGAGAAGAGAGTTAAACATACAGAAAGAGAGAAAGCCAGGATAAATCCTGCAGTGGTGAATTAGAATTGGAAATACTAGTTTGAATTGATGGGTGTTTTTTTTTGTTTGTTTTTTGTTTTTCTTTTTTTGAGATGGAGTCTCGCTCTGTTGCCCAGGCTAGAATGCAGTGGCATGATCTTGGCTCACTGAAACCTCCGCCTCCCGGGTTCAAGCAATTCTCCTGCCTCAGCCTCCCGAGTAGCTGGGACTACAGGCGCCCACCACCATGCCAGCTAGTTTTTGTATTTTTATTAGAGATGGGGTTTCACCATATTGGACAGGCTGGTCTCAGAACTCCTGACCTCATGATCCACCCACCTCAGCCTCCCAGAGTGCTGGGATTACAGGTGTGAGCCACTGCGCCAGGCCTGAATTGATGGTTTTAATACACACAGATTCAGAAAAAGATACAGATGTATCTTGTGTGTATGTATGCACACATATACATATATTTCCCACCTCTGTCCTTCAAGAGAACATGGAAACAATGACACCCAGGAAGTAATGAGCACACCTAGCGCCCACAGGGTAGTTCCTAAATACCATTTTAGTACCACATTAAAAGGAATTAAGGAGTAGTGGTGTGCACCTGTAATTCCAACTACTTGGAAGGCTGAGGCAGGAGGATCGCTGAAACCTGAGAGGCAAAGTTTGCAATAAGCCGAGATTGCGCCACTGCACTCCAGCCTGGGAGACAGAGCAAAACTCCATCTCAAAAAAAAAAGGAACTAGGGTTCCTTTTAATGATCCTGGACCACAGTGTTATGCCAGTTGCAAGAAAGTGCTTGGAGAATGATGGGACCATTCCAAAATGACACAGGAACTAGTTTGTAGAGGTTCCCACCGGCCAAATGTGGAACAGTTTAAGCATCCAAATAATTATAATGGTCATAAATTGTAGCTCATAGTGAGTTCATGGTGATATAAATAAGCACATGAATGTGTGGAGGCAGGGGAGTTCTACCCTTCAACAGAATGACAACTAATAGGTCTAGAAGCAACGATAGAATGAAAAAAATCATCATTTGATGACCAGGAACTGTGGCTCACATCTGTAATCCCAGCACTTTGGGAGGCCAAGGGAGAAGGATCACTTGAGCCCAGGAATTCGAGACCAGCCTGGACAACACAATGAAACCTTGTCTCTATAAAACTAAAAGTAAAAACATTAGCCAGGCATGGTGACTCATGCCTGTAGTCCAAGCTACTCAGGAGGCTGAGGTAGGAGGATTGCTTGAGACCAGGAGATTAGGCTGCTGTGGGCCATCATCGTGCCACTGCACTCCAGCCTGGGTGACAGGGTGAGACTCTGTCTCAAAAAAATAAAAATACAAAAATCATCACTTGGTGATACTGCTGAGAGAGAGCATTTCAAAAAAAAAATCACCATTTGGCAACTATCATACTAAGTGAACTCCTGATCACTTGAGGTCAGGAATTTGAGACCAGCCTGGCCAACATGGCGAAACCCTGTCTCTACTAAAAATACAAAATTAGCTGGGAGCAGTGATGTGCACCTGTAATTCCAAATACTCGGAAGGCTGAGGCGAGAGGATCACTGGAATCTGAGAGGCAAAGGTTGCAGTAAGCCGAGATTGTGCCACTGCACTCCAGCCTGGGTGACACAGCAAAACTCCATCTCAAAAAAAAAAAAAAAAAAAATTCGACAAAGAGTATTTACATCTCATGTCACAAAAGACTATATGCCCTAGGGATGAACTCCTATACGTCAGTAAGACCAATGACACAGCAGAAAATGAGCAAAGGATATGCAAAGACAGTTAACAGAAAATACAAATAGCTCTCAAACAAAAAGATGCTTCATATGAAATACACAAAACCAAAAGTTTAATAACATATTGTTGGTGAAGCTAGCAGAAAGAGTCACTCTTATATATTTCTATGGGAATATAAACTGGTTAAACATCTATATAGGATAATGTGGCCACACCTATCAAAACTTAAAATGCACGTGCCTTTTGACCTAGCACTCCCATTTCTAGAAATACTTGCTCATGTGTGAAATAATATATATGGGTGGTCCCCAACCATTTTGGTACTGGGGACTGGTTTAGTGGAAGACAATTTTCCACAGACAGGGGTTGGGGACTGGGTGGGAATGGTTTCAGGATGAAACTGCTCCATGTCAGATCATCAGGTATTAGATTCTCATAAGGAACGTGCAGCCTAGATCCTTCACATGTGCAGTTCACAATAGGGCTTGTGCTCCTATGAGAATATAATGCTGCCACTGATCTGACAAGGAGCTGGTGCTGAGGCGGTAATGCTCGCTCACCCCTCACCTCATGCTGTGCAACCCAGTTCCTACCACGCCACAGACTGGTACTATTCCGCAGCCCAGGGGTTGGGGACCCCTGACATATATACAAGGTAATTCTGGGCAACACTGGTTGTAAAAACAAAATATTGGAACAACATTTAAGTCCAATAAAATTCTGGTTATATGAATTATGGTAGACCCAAATAATGGAACACTTTGCAGTGTGAAACAACAAAACAATGAAGCTCTTTTGATGTGATACAGATTTCTAGAATCTATTAAGTAAAAAAAGTAAGATGCAGAAGTATGCAAAGTGTGCCATATGTTGTATAAAATGGTAGAGATAAATAAAAAAATATATATATATTTCATACAAAAAGACATAAGGAAATTACTAGTTAAAGGTTGCCACTTGGAGAAAGGGGAAGGAACTAGACAGACGAGAAAATTTTTCATTGAATTTCACAGAATTTTTTTTTTTTTTTTGAGACATAATCTTGCTCTGTCTCCCAGGCTGGAGTGCAGTGGCATGATCTCGGCTCACTGCAACCTCCACTTCCCGGGTTCAAGTGATTTTCCTGCCTCAGCCTCCCAAGTAGTTGGGATTACAGACGTGCACCACCACACCCGGCTAATTTTTATATTTTTAGTAGAGATGAAATTTCATCATGTTGGCCAGGCTGGTCTCAAACTCCTGGCCTCATGTGATCCTCCTGCCTCAGCCTCCCAAAGTACTGGGGTTACAGGCGTCAGCCACCGCACCTGGCCTGAATTTCCCTGAATTTTGAATTGTGTGAATCCATTACTGATTCAAATAAAAATGTAAAGCCCTAAAACAAACAAAATACTGCCTGGTATAGGAAACCTGTTTCCTATAGGATACAATCCAAACTCTTGAGTTTGGTAAGTAAGAATCTTCATAACTAGAAGGGAGAATGTGGGGTCTGAGGTCAGGTTCCTGGGGTTAACATTTAGACTAGTTTAATGATGAGATTGCAAGACTCTGGGCATGTAATTTAGTCTCTCTAAGCAACTTCTGTAAAATGGAGACAACAATAGTACCTCCTCCACCACTGAGTTGTGAAGAGTGAATGAGGCAATCCATGGCAATGCTTAGCACAGTGCCTGACATATTGTCAGACACCAATCGATGCCAGCTACTTATTTTAATAACATGGTTCGATCTACCTTTCCAGAGTTCAATATCCCTGTTTCAGTACCATGAGCTGAGGCTCTGAACCTCTATTTCCTGGATTGCCAAACTTTTAAAAACTGGTTTTCTGATCAACTCAGTCTCCATGCTCTCCTTGGGTGAACTACCAACTGTGACAAGAATGTCTATGGCTTCAGCCAAGCCTTTTCTCCTAAACTGTAGGCTTTAGCTCCTAAATGATTAGTCTACACTTACTCCTGGATGTGCCTGTGAAGGAAACAAAATATCCAAGATTAAATTCATTATCTTTCTCTGCTCCACCTCCCTAAATATGCTCCTCTCCCTACATTCCTAAAATAGTTAACAGCTCCACTAATCATTTGTCATCCAATCCAGAAACCTAGGAGTCATTCTTAATTTTTTCTTCTCTCTCAATTGCTCTCCCAGCCCAAATGTTCACCAAATTCTTTCCATTCCAACTCTTGAATAGCCCTTAAATCTTTCTATTCCCTGTCCCTGCTTTAGTTCTCTTATTACATATGAATTCACAACACTCCCAGAGTGCTCTCAGCTCTTGATTCTCCCCTTCCCAATGCACCCTTGACAATGCTGCCACAATTCGCTCTTGAAATTCAAATCTGATTTTTCCATATTCAAACTCTTTTAATGGCTTTCTAGTGCCTAAAGAGAAAGTCTCTACTCCTAAGCATGGTACACAGGCCCTTCAGTGACACTGTCCTGACCAGCTGTCTTCCTCACTGGCCAGCCCCCACACATCCTTTCCTTCAGCTAAACAGCACAGTCTCCTGAGCTTGTTGCTCTTCTCTCATTGCTCATCACCCTTGTCCAGGCTCTGTCCTCTACCTGGAACAGGGTCAACTCATAGGGTCTGTAAGCTGGATGGGAACAAAATTACATCTTTATTTTCACTAACCTCTACTAAAAATTAGCATTTCCTTCTATTATGATGGCAGGGAGCAAACCGTCATATTTGTATTACATGTGACTTTGTCTCTACAAGAAATCACGGATTTTTCATATCATACTAGCATTGTTGCAGATAACCTCAAAATACTATTTATAATCATAGTTTGAAATCACAGTAGTGACTAATCTGATAGATCTTATTTAATGTGTTAAATAACAAAGCACATATTACTGTATCTAAATTTGCTTTTTAAAATTTTTGATACTGAAATTATACTTCAATATTATTGGTTTCATTTATAAGTCTATGTATTTTAATTTCTGTATGTATTTAAAACCTTTATTTTTAGAAAGGATCTGTAAGCTTTTCCAGACTGCCAAAGGTATCTATAGCACAAAAAATGTTAAATACAAACCTAAAATATTCTTTCCCACTGTATCTACCTAAGAGACTGCTATTTTCCCTTTAAGACTTGGTTAAAATATCACCTTCACGAATTATCACCTGGCCATAACTTCTTGGCCACCTCCCTATTCCCACCCCCACCCCAACAGTCCATAGCCCCTTTGTACATGTCTGGCTCCCGCACTAGACAAAGATCCTTGAAGATAAGAAGGTCATTCAGTTTTGCATATTCAGCACCTAGCTCAGTACCTGTCAAACAGAAGTGAAATAAAGTCGTACTGAATAAATAAAGACTATAAGCTAATGAAAGATTTTAGAGTCTTAAAATCTGAGTTTGGATCCTGGCTAACAATTAGTAGTTTTGTGACTTTGGGAAAGTCATTAGACACTTCTAAGCCTCCACTCTTAGGTATAAAATGTGGGTAACACCTCACCTACTTATTGCATGCTATTGTCAAAAGGATCAGATAAAGTAACAGTGTGAACATACTTGGGTAGGTTGCCGGGGCTACACAGATTTTAGTTATTCTTGTATTATAGGCCAACTTACTTAATAATACATTTTAAAAATTGCATCAAGAGAATGAAACAAGTTATACATTTGAAGAAAATATTTTTTTTTTTTTGAGATGGAGTCTCACTCTGTCGACCAGGCTGGAGTTACAGTGGCGTGATCTCAGCTTACTGCAACCTCTGTCTCCTGGGTTCAAGCAACTCTCCTGCCTCAGTCTCCCAAGTAGCTGTGATTACAGGTGTGTGCCACCATGCCCAGCTAATTTTCGTGTTTTTAGTAGAGACAGGGTTTCACCATATTGGCCAGGCTGGTCTCGAACTCCCGCCCTCAAGTGATCTGCCCACCTCGGCCTCCCAAAGTGCTGGCATTACAGGCATGAGCCACCGTGTCCAGCTGGAGAAAATATTTTCAAAAGACACATCTAACAAAGGACTTTCGGCCATACCATACCAAGAACTCCTAAAACTTGACAGTAAGAAAACAACCAACCTAACTTAAATATGAGCCAAAGACCTTAACAGACACCTCAGCAAAGATATACAGATGACAGAAAAACATATGTAAAGATGCTGTACATTATATGTCATCAGGGAGATGCAAACTAAAACAATGAGATACACCTACTAGATTAGAATAGTCAAAATCCAAAATATGACAACATCAAATGCTGCCAAGGATGAGGAGCAACAGGAACTCTCTCTTTGCTGGTGGGAATGCAAAATGGTACAGCCACTTTGGAAGACAATTTGGCAGTTTCTTACTAAATGTACTCTTACTATATGATCCAGAAATCACACTCCTTGGTATTTACCCAAAAGAGCTGAAAACTTATGTCAATACAAAAAGCTATACACAGATGTTTATGGCAGCTTTATTCACAACTGCCCAAACATGGAAGCAACCAAGATGCCATTCAATAGGTAAATGGATAAACTGTGGTACATCAGACAATGGAACATTAGTCAGCAATAACAAGAAATGATAAATCAAGCCATGCATGAAAAGACATGGAGGAATCTTAAATGTGTATTATTAAGTGAAAGAAACCACTCTGAAAAAGCTATATACTGTGATTCAACTATGTAACATTCTGGAAAAGGCAAAATTATGCAGACAGTAAAAAGATCAGTAGTTGCAAGGGGATTGGAGAGAGGGGTGGAGAATGATGAATAGGTGGAACATAGAGGATTTTTAGATCAGTGAAAATACTCTGTGTGATACTATAATGATGTATACATGTCATTATATATTTGTCCAAACCCACAGAATGTGCAACACCAAGAGTGAATGGGAATGTAAACTATGGAGTCTGGGTGATTATGATGTGTCAGTGTGGACTCATCAATTGTAACAACTGTACCACTGTGATGTGAGATGTTGATAATGGGGGAAACTATGCATGTGACGGGCAGCGGTTATTTGGGAAATCTCTGTACCTTCCTCTCAGTTTTGCTGTGAACCTAAAGCTGCTCTAAAAACAATAAAGTCTAAAAACACAACAATAACAACAAGGTTATGCTAAGGTCAGACGATTATTAAGAACTTTACCTCCAGCCAAATCCCTCTACCTATTACTTTCCAGTCTTTATGCCCTTGTTCTCATTAATATTCCCATTATTTTGCCAATGCCCTTTCCTCTTTGCTGCCTTGGTAACTCATACTGGTTCTTCAATACTCAGTTCAAGTGTTAATAACCTCCTCTACAAATCCTCTGCTTTTCCCTTACCCACACTTCATACAATGTGTGAGTTGACCATCTGTGAGCCTTTGAAGAGCAGGTACCCTGGCTTCTTCTTCTTGGACTCTTTCCCTCAATCCCAGCACCCACCAGGAATTCATGCTTGCTAAACATAAAACTGAACAACCAAAGGTGATTAGAAAATATCTGAAACAAATATCTGATACAATATCTAACATTGTATGCTTTTGGTTATCTATAAGAAAAGTATAGCCCAAGCCTTATAAGTTGAAATTCTGAATGATGAATCTGTCATAAGTCCTTTAAATATTCAGTTTTTCCTCATTTTAAATGTAAATCCACTCACTCTAGCAAAAAAAAGCAAGGTGAAGTTCATCTTGCAATGTCTGTTTCAACAGTCATGCCCTAATGCAGAGCACTGTATCACTGAAAAAGAGTCAAGGTGAAGAGGTGGAAACAAGAAACCACCGCACTTTTGAATTCTTCCCATTCTCATCTTGCTCACAACAACAGGAGTGAGAATTTTAGCTCAGATCTCTTACCTCAGAGTTAAGATAATGGAAAACAGAGGCCAGGGGCAACATAGCCAGTTCCAGGCACAATGAGTTATAGGTTAACCCTTGCAGAAGGAGTAGGCCTGTTGATCTTCCAGGTCCAAATACAACCTTACAAAATAATTTCTGAGCCTCCTAAAGAGTTGCCTTAAGATTTCCTCAATTCTAAGGAGATGGGAGACAGTTCCTGAGGAAACATATTATATATGTAAAAACAACTGAGCCAATGATATACAAACAATAACCAATTTAGGCCAAATTCTGAGTTTGAGACTTACTAATAGCTCTAAGAGAAAGCAGAAGGAAATAATCACCTGCTTTCACCATCACTAAATGACCTCACTCCCTATGTCACAGACAACACAAAGTATACAGGAAAATTTCAATTTCCTGCCATCTCCTTTAGATTCATTTTCCCAAATAACCTGAGAGCTGGTTGTCTGATTTGCTTTTGTATTCCACTGAGTTCTTCAATTCCTAAAAGTCATGAGCCAGCTTGCTCAACAATGCCCCATTTTAACTTATTAATCATTCCCCTATATAAATGTCCTCTACAATCTTCTTACCTACAGTTAGGAAGGTGCTCAACAGCTGCTCTGTGGCGACAGGTTTGATCTCTGTCCGAAGATTAACAAATCTGCCAACTACCAAGGGGGCTCGGTGGAAACCCAGAATCCTGGTTTGGAAGATTGAAGAACAGAAGAGAAAAATCTTAGGGGATGTTTTTTAAGTAACAGTCTTAAAAATTACAGTTCATCATGTCAAATGTGTAAAGGGTTTTTAGCTAGTAGCTAAACCTAATTTTTTAGAGGTACATATATTTAGGAATTTAATGTGAAGGTGTGTATAATTTATTTTAATATACATTTCAGCAAAAAGAATAAGACAAATCTGATAAAATGTGAACACTTTTTAAATCTACAGAGTGGGTATATGGGCTCATTATACTATTCTTTCTACTTTTGTATGATAGAAATTTTTTCATAATAAAAATTAAAAATAGATTTTAGGAAAGTATTAGAAAAAAAATGGGACCCAAACTCATATATGGGTTCAAATCTTTAAATAAAACAGCATGTTGGTTAAAAAAAAAAAAGCAGACTGATCTAAAAGGCTAAGCCCACAGAGCAAATTAAATATAGAGACATTTGAAGATATCTCTAATAATCTAAAAGGTTGAAAACAATGATTTATTTTAAAAAAATGAAATTTCCTGGCTAAAAAATATACACCAACTGAACAAAAGTTGGAGGGGCAGAATTTGGAACACACAGAAAATTTACAATGAAGAAAATAAAAATCACCTATGATTCCACAACCCAGAAATAATTACAGGTGCTGACATTCTGGCATATAAGCATGCTTTCCCTTTAAGTGTGGGTATATAAACACACACTCACACTTACGTATATACATACAATCGAGATTATATTGTATGCAGTTTTATATCTTGCTTTGTACTCATCATTGTATCATGAACCTTTTCCCCAGTCATTAGAAAGCCTTTACAAATGGCTATTGTTTAGGGCTGCTGATTCTGTCCTAAACACAGTCTTAGAAAAGCCACAAAGGCAAGATCAACAGATTTGTCAAAATAACATAGAAATCCAGAGATACCCCCAGAGGCAAGGGAAGGTGGTTAAATCTGACTGTAATGAAGAAACAGCAACCCAAAGCAGAAAAGTATCAAGATCCACAAATGGAAAAGGTTGGGAAGGGTTTTTTGTGTGTGTTTTGTTTGTTTGTTTGTTTGTTTGTTTGGGTGGTTGGTTTTTGAGTCTCACTCTGTTGATCAGGCCAGAGTGCAGCGGCATGATCATAGCTCCCTGCAGCCTGGAACTCCTGGGCTCAAGTGATCCTCTCACCTCAGCCTCCCTGGTACCTAGGACTACAAACGCAGCCTAGATTGGGAAGTATTTTTTCTTCCCATTGAAAATTGCCAAGCCCAAGAACAGCAGCCAGTTTAGCATTGAGGGGCAATGTTACTGTGGCACTTGAGGCTGGCTACGGTGGCACTTAACAAAAGTGACAGGGCGACTGGCAAGAGAACATCTTTCAGACTTTGAGGTAGGGAAGGACTTTTAAATACAAGACTCCCAAAGCCCAAGTCACAAACTGAAACATTATAGTTAGTTAACATCAAAAGTACACAAATACTCTAAGATAACAAATAGGTGTCCTGCTGTGAAAAGATAAACTTTGCCAGTAATGGGGAAATACAAAATAACAATGAAATAACAATGAAATATCACTTTACATATATATCAACAAAACTTAGTGTGTTGGGCAATACAAAACACTGGTACAGAAATGAGGAACTTTATGCCTGTTGGTTTCCAACAAACAGGATAGGAAGAAGGGAGTTGGGGACGAAGAAAAGAGGCAAACAGATAAGGTCTTGGAAAGCCTGATTCTAGTGTGCCATTAAGTGAGGAGAAGGATTTATCCAACTGTCCACCACTAGGTCTTAAAAGGGGCAGCAAAAATTCATGGTATTGTACACACATATCTAAGCTTTTCCATATCAATAGATGTTTAGGTTACAACCAGTTTTCCCACTATTGAAAATGCTACAGCTAAGACTGTTGTATATATATCTTTGAATTTTGTATTCTTTCTCTAGGGTAGTTCCTAGAAATGTCTTAGATATGTGTATAAAAAAGCAGTTATTTGTTCAAAGGATATGAACATTCCTTAATGTTGATATATTTATCCTTAATTTTGATATATAATGCTAGGGTTCTTAACAAAAAGACTGAAACAATTAACAATGCCATAAGCAGCATATGAATCTCAATGTATTCCTCCCAATAAAGTATTATCTTTTTTTTAAGCTTTGCCATTTTCAACAGGTAAAAACAGTATCTCATCTGAATTTTTAAAAATTTCTGGTGAGGATGAACCTCCCCCCACCCCACATATTTATTAGCAATTGACAATGTTTATACTCTTAACCCATTTTCTAATAGAGTTTTAACATACATATGTTTGTATAAACACATATTAAGACCATTAATATTTGTATAAACACATATTAAGGCTATTAATACTCAGATTACATTAGATTCAAGTGTTTTCTCCGTTTGTTGTTTGCTTTTAAATTTTGTCTCTTGCTATATAAGTTCATTATTTTATTTAGTCAAGACTATTGAATTTGTGATTTTTAAGTTATTGCTTTTATGTTTACAAAATCCTAATTCAGAAAAAGACAAACATTTCACCTTTTTTTTTCTGGTTTCCTTATAAATTCATTTTTAGGCTGGGCGTGGTGACTCACGTCTGTAATCCCAGCACTTTGGGAGGCTGAGGTGGGCGGATCACCTCGAGTCAGGAGTTCCAGACCAGCCTGGCCAACATGGTGAAACCCCGTGTTTACTAAAAATACAAAAAATTAGCTGGGTGTGGTGGTGCGTACCTGTAGTCCCAGCTACTCGGTAGGCTGAGGCAGGATAACTGTTTGAACCCAGGACGTCGAGGTTGCAGTAAGCCAAGATCAGGCTACTGCACTCCAGTCTGGAGGACAGAGTGAGACTCTGTCTCAGAAAAAAAATTTATTTATTATTTTATTTTATTTTATTGAGACAGGGTCCCACTCTGTTGCTCAGGCTGGAGTGCAGTGGTGTGATCACAGCTCACTGCAGCCTCGACCTCCCAGGCTCAAGCAATCCTCCCTCCTCAGCCTCCCCACTAGTTGGAACTATAGGCACACGCCACCACACTCAGCTAATTTTTGTATTTTTTTAGTAGAGACGGGGCTTCTCCATGTTGTCCAGGCTGGTCTTGAACTCCTGGGCTCAAGTGATCTGCCCACCTCAGCCTCCTAAAGTGTTGGGATTACAGGTATGAGCCACTGCATCCAGTCATAAATTAATTTTTTAAAACAAATATTGTTAGCAGTTTCTTTTAAAGTCAGCCAATATGGCCTTATGAAAGAGCTGGTCAGCAGAGTAACTGGGATACCAGACAGTTCAGCTGCAAGGTTCCTGACTAGTAACCTGCTGAAAAAGAAAAAAAAAGAATTTTCCTAGTTAACTTACAAACTTATAATTCACATCTATTTTCTTTCCTTTTTTTTTTTTTTTAAAGACAGAGTCTCGCTCTGTCGCCCAGGCTGGAGTGCAGTGGCACGATCTCGGCTCACTGCAAGCTGTGCCTCCTGGGTTCAAGCGATTCTCCTGCCTCAGCCTCCCAAGAAGCTGGGACTACAGGTGCCTGTCACCACGCCCAGCTAATTTTTTGTATTTTAGTAGAGACGGGGTTTCACCATGTTGCCCAGGCTGGTCTCGAACTCCTGAGCTCATGCAATCTGCCCACCTTGGCCTCCCAAAGTGTTGGGATTACAGGCATGAGCCACTACGCCTGGCCCTTTCCTTTTGTAATTATTCTGGTTTTTGAAGCTGTGCATAGTTTGTATAAAGAATAATAAAACTCATATTTCATGCTATATGTTTCCAGCACATGGAAATAAGTCAGCATTACTTACTTAAAACAAATACATAACAAAACAACAGGATGGCTAGACCCAATTAACGACCAGTTCAATTCAGAGATTTAAGTTCAAAGTTTATTTACCAAGAATATCTTCACTGATGATAATAACAGAGCAGGCCAGAAATGAAATGACCTAAAGAAGCATGGAAGTAAAATACTTCAGTATTCCTGGTGCCAACCAAATTATGAGACTCATACAAGTTTAATGGAACTAGTCAATTAGCTATCTAAAATCGATAACAAGTTATTTATTAGTGTTGCATCCTTCTGAAGGAGTCCACGAGTCCTCTCCAAGAAAGATTTTTGAAAGCAAACAAAATGAACATAAGCTGCTGTGATCATACGCACCTGTCCAAGTGAAAGGCTGCTACCTCTGCATTGTGTCTATCATAACCAGCATACGGTTCCCCTTCCACCACATGGTCTCGGCTATACCTGCAAAGTGAATGGGAAGCACAGATGTATACGTGGATTACACCAGTAACAGGTGACAGCACAAGTGGTAGAATACACCCATTAGCAAGCCTGATTCTGCTATAGTCACCTTCTCTGTCAACCCTGCAAACAACTGTGGATTAGCATGAATTGCCGGTAGATGGAATGAAGATGAGGTAGAGAAGGAAACTAGAATTCTCTATCTACGTCACCAATCATTCTAAGAATAAAACATGGAAGCTGTCATTTTTGCCCCACTAAAGGGCTTTTGATGTAGTTTTAGTACAGATAAAAGGTAGTTTTCTGGAAGGCAAGGACTGTCTTTGTATTGCCAGCACAGTGTTAAGCACATAGTTGGTGCTTAATAAATGTCTACTAAAATGTTTATTAGACTGACCTGAAGAAATGAAGAAAAATGTGTAATTAAAACTTTTGCTGGCCAGGCACGGTGGCTCACACCTGTAATCCCAGCACTTTGGCAGGCCAAGATGGGTGGATCACCTGAGGTCGGTAGTTCGAGAACAGCCTGGCCAACATGGCGAAACCCCATCTCTACTAAAAAACACCAAAATTACCTGGGTGTGGTGGTGAATGCCTGTAATCCCAGCTGCTCAGGAGGCTGAGTCAGGAGAATCGCTTGAACCTGGGAGGCGGAGGTTGCAGTGAGCCGAGACTGTGCCACTGCACTCCAGCCTGGGCAACAGAGTGAGGCTCTGTCTCAAAAAACAAAAAACTTTTGCTTACCAGAATGGCTGTGGCAAAGCTTATAAGAGAAATTTAAATTTGGGGGAAAATAGTCTGATATAACTCAATCTTTGTTAATGGGAAGGCAACAGCGCTTTTGAAAAAAGTTGTTTGAATAACCATTCTTGTTCTTTTTTTTTAAGTTTATGATGACGTACTACAAGGAGTCCTGGACTGGCAGTGGGAGGTTGGTGTGGCTGTCATTACTTGACTGGGTAAGCTTGAGCAAAACCTTTCTCTTCTCTGGGTCTCAGATTCCTTACTTACAATATTAGGGGCTGGACTAGGAGGTAATTTCTAAGGTCTCTTTCATCTCAGACTGCATTCTGATGATTTTCTATCACATGTATGACATAAGCAAAGGATAATGAAGACTGGCATATTTCTTTCTACTAACCATTTTAAAAGATAGAATTTAAATCTGTTAATTAGGAAGAAAAAAGTACTTAATTCACCTATGTCCTCTCTATTGGTCTCCTGCATTTCCTGAATCTAAAGGAGACCTTTTAGGCTTTACAATGGACCTATGAAATAGAAATAAATTGAGAGTGATGTGGAGAAGAGAGGTTCCACTAAGGATAGTTGGCTCTCTCATGCTAAAACAGCAATAGGGAAGTGGAAAACAGTACTATAAAAGGCAGTGAACTTCAACTTAAATGACCTTAGAATATAAAGTGAAATCATATCCACAAAATATATCTTCAAGGCAAAATGATGAAGCATTTGTTAGAAGACAGCCATGTATCACCTTCTGGTTGGGCACCAGTTTCTTCTTAGCATGGTCAATATACCCAAATGTAATTTTTTGTTTGTTTGTTCCTAGTGCAAAGGATTACTTAGGAATAATTTTTTAAAAGGTTTATATTAGCTACCTCTAAATTAAAAGTCAAATTTGAAATACCCCTGCAGCAAAAAGCTGACACTATTCAGGTACTGTTCTACTACAGATGTAGGCTATCCTTGAATACTTTATTTTTAGTACTTCAGGGCAGCCACAGGAAGGTATGTGGTGAAGTGCAGTATGGTCCTTTCAGTGAAACATTAGAGAGCTTTCCAATCCATCTAAAGGCTGCGCAGAGTAAAATGCAAAAGCTTAGAGGAATACAGGAACTTTGGGAGTGGGCAGGAGAGGAAAAGATGGAGGGAAGAGAAAAGGAATAAGAATCAAAAGAACTACACTGAAGTCAGGCCTGAATCCTCAGCTCATGTTTTGGTTATGTGAAATATGGAAAATCAGAATTCTGGATCTCATTTTTCTCACCTGTAAAATGGACAGTTGGACTAGCTGATCTCCAAGGTCCCTTTTAGTACTTCCTGAGATTACTCATTCACTTCTACGCGCTTCTAGGCCCCTGCCTTCTTGTTCTTTTTCCAACATAACTGCTGTTTTTGCCTGTGAAAATCAATTACTTCTAGAATGGAAATAGCTACATTAAAAAAAAAATCACCTTTACTTATAATGTAAGGCAAAATGTGTAAATAAAAGTGTCACTCTATTCCCATATATATCATCTACCTATACTGCACACACCTTGTATCTCTGAGAGCAGGACATGGATAATCAGGCTCCAGAAATGTTAAAACCACAAGTGGCTTTCAGAGAAAGGACTTAGATTCTTCTCTTACCAGAGAGTGATCCATCTTAAGTCACTGACAGAGCAGCAAAATTCATACAGTAACTGCCAATAAATCATTCCTATCCTTCTGCTGAAGGACATCAGAGTATGACCAAGGACATTAATTTGCACTTACACCAGGACTAAATAAATAGCCTCTGAAGCCCTGGGGGTCAGAACAGCATTTTGCTGGGTGTTTAGGGACTGGAGTCAATTTCTGCAAGCACTTAAACTTACAACCACTTTCCCCAGCCTGTGATATTTCCTGATATAAAGCAGCACAGGTCAGTATGTGCAGTGACTAAGAGAGTTAGCACCTATGGCAGGGGCCAAAAAAAACCTTGCTGAGTTGGAGAAGAGAGTGCCCTGTTGCTGGGAGTGGACACAGGCTGTTTAGGAGATGATGCGGGAGCAGGGGGCCAGAGTTTGACAGAAACAAAGAGCAAAAGGAAGATAAGGCTGAGTATAGAGAGGAGGACCAGACAGTCAGGGGCTTGACCTTAGGCTGTGGAGGCTGGGTTTTGTCTGGTGGGCAATGGGAAGTCCCTGGATGTTTTAAAGCTGGGGAACATAGTGATAATAAGTCTTCTGGGGAAGAACGGGGAAGAACGGAAGTGGTTTCCAGGATGGTCTGGAGGAGGGAGGTAATGAGAAGGCTGCAGTGGTAGTAAGAGATATAAGATGAAGCAAGAAGTGACTAAGGTTATGCATTATCTGTTACTACCTCCCCTACTCATCAGTCTGGCCTCTCCTCCCACCACTTATATCTTGTCTGAACATTTCAGGCCTATCCTGCAAAGCACCTGGTCTAACACTGCACGCTCTTGGGAATATCTGTCTTCTAACACACTTCCTGCTGTCCCAACTCCCCTTCAATTCTCCAGTGTACAAGTGGTAGGTGTGATGAGGATCTCTTTTTTTTTGAGACGGAGTTTCGCTCCTGTTGCCCAGGCTGGAGTGCAATGGCGTGATCTCGGCTCACTACAACCTCCGCCTCCGGGTTCAAGCGATTCTCCTGCCTCAGCCTTCCGAGTAGCTGGGATTACAGGCACGTGCCTAGCTAATTTTTTGTATTTTTAGTAGAAACGGGGTTTCAGCATGTTAGCCAGGCTGGTCTCGAACTCCTGACCTCAGGTGATCCGCCCGCCTCGGCCTCCCAAAGTGCTAGGATTACAGGCATGAGCCACCGCACCCAGCCAGATCTCCTCTTATTTAAACACAAAATGCTCACAACTCATCTCTTTATTTATTTTATTTTACGTTTTTGAGATGGAGTTTTGCTCTTGTTGCCCAGGCTGCAGTGCAATGGTGCAATCTCAGCTCACCGCAACCTTCGCCTCCCAGGTTCAAGTGATTCTCCTGCCTCAGACTCCTGAGTAGCTAGGATTACAGGCACATACCAAAACGCCCGGCTAATTTTTTGTATTTTTAGTAGAGATGGGGTTTCGCCATGTTGGCCAGGCTGGTCTCAAACTCCTGACGTCAAGTGATCCGCCCACCTTGGCCTCCCAAAGTGCTGGGATTACAGGCGTGAGCCACCGTGCCCGGCCATCTCTTTATATACAAATTTTATTTTTGTCTTTAGTTTGCCTTTTTCCATTACTCTGTTTATGCTGCTTATCTCTCAGGCCAAGAAGTCAAAGACCAAACTTCAAAGCTAAATGCGATTTTTGATGATGAGTGCTCCACGTCATCACTTATGGGAAGCAAACAAACTTAGAGAATTCCATGTGTGTGGCAGAATACAAGCTGTTTACAACTCTAACAAATATGGGTTCAAACTTCTGTACCACTGATTGATGTGAGGTGACCTTGTCAAGTTAGTTACACTCTCTGAACCTCAGTTTCTTATTCAGGAAATAAGAACTGAAATTGTCCAAAAAGGTTAAACCTTCGTATAAGGGTTTAAAGGATTAAGAGATACAAAAGTACTTAGTGTAATCCCTGGCAAATAGTGTGCATTACAGAAATTAGATCCCAGGCCCACATAACCACGGTTTTTTTTTGTTTTTTGGTTTTTTTTTTTGAGACAGGTCTCACTCTGTCACCCAGGCTGGAGGGCAGTGGCACGAGCATGGCTTGCTGCGGCCTCAAACTCTCGCACTCAAGCAATCTTCCCATCCTCCCACCTCAGCCTTCCAAGTAGCTGAGACTATAGGTGCACACCACCACGCCCAGCTAATTTTTTATTTTTTTATAGAGACAGAGTCTCACTACATCACCCAGGCTCAAGTGATCCACCCACCTCGGCCTCCCCAAGTGCTGGGATTACAGGCATGAGCCATCACGCCCAGCCCCAGTCAAATTTTTATTCTCTGAAAGTCTACCAAATGTTTTAACTTTCCTAATTTCCACATCACTGACATATATTTCCCAGTTCCAGACCAACAGTGATCCCTTCCATTTCTGGGCTCCCTATACATTCATGCTCTGACTGCCTTTCATTTACTAATAGTTGGGTAAGAAAGGGAGTTGAATTTTGTCCATCTTTTCCCTACATTTCTTCTCCCACTCCAGAAAGAAATCTAAAGTCATGTTATAATTTTTTCAAAAGCTCTACTGAGGAATGAAAAAAATGTTTAGTACCCAAAAGATTTCAGACATTACAAACTTTGAGAATATTCATTGGTAACTAACTCCCGGCAAAAGAATACAAATCACCATCATGATGTTAACCTAATTCAGATTCATACACTCAGAAAACATTTTTAGAAAATTAACTATACCCTCCAAGCTGTCTTGTGTAGAGAAATAAATAAATAAATAAAAATAATTAACTGTATCACAGAATTGTCACACAAATTATCTCTGTAGATCCCTAGGAAGTCCAAAGGGATCATGAACAACATACATATTTAGTTAACTAAGGTAACTAAAATGGCCCAATTCTTTACTTAAAACAGGTGAAAGAAATAAGAGATCTATTAGAACAGCTATGATCTGAAACACTGATGCCAAACCCTGGTGAGGATGTGGAGCAACAGGAATTCTCATGCATTGCTGGTAGAAACACAAAATGGTACAGCTACTTTGGAAGATAGTTTAGCAGTTTTTTACAAAATGAAACGTACTCTTACCATGTGGTCCAGCAATTATGCTTCTGGTATCTATCCAAATGAGTTGAAAATTTATGTCCACACAAAAACCTGCACATGGATGTTTATAGCAGCTTTATTCACAATTGCCCCAAACTTGGAAGCAACCAAGATGTCCTTCAGTAAGTGAATGGATAATTAAGCTGTGGTACATCTAGACAATGGAATATTATTCAGTGATAAAAACAAATGAACTATCATGCCACAAAAAGATATGTATAAACCTTAAATGCACTTTACTAAGTGAAAGAAGCCAATCTGAAAGGGCTTACATTCTGTGATTGCAACTATATTACATTCAGGAAAAGGCAAAACTACGGAGATAGTAAAAAGACCAGTGGGTTACCAGGTGTTCTGGGGCAGAGAGGGAAAAATGAGTAGGTAGAACACAGAGGATTTTTAGGGCAGGAAGACTATTCTATATGATACTATAAAGGTAGATTCATGTTAAGTGCTAGAAAAGACTTTAGAGATCTAGTCTACCCCTCTTATTTTACTGAAGAGACTTCCAAGAGAAGATGACAAAATAAATCTTATATAAATCCCAAGTTAAATGAATCAACCAACTAGCACATGCAGCTTCCAAGATCAAAACTTACCGCTTAGGTTTGAAAACAACTTTCTGGCCTCCTTCAAGTATCAGTAAGGCTTTCAGCTGTGTCCCTTTATAACCCACATCAGCTTTAATGATTTTCTTGGTGGCCATGGCATGCATGACTGCCCCCAGCTCTGGTGTCTCTTCAGGGTACACTTCCCGGGGAACCACCCACTGGGCTGCAATCTCCCAGGGAGACTGCAAGGTATGGTCCAGCTTGGGTGCCAGCTCCACCCGCAAGCCAGTCATCATTCGGTGAAAGGCCCTCTGGTCCTCCCGGTTGGCAGCTGATGTATCTAAGTTGTCAATCAGGAAAACTTTGGTGAAGATAAAAATGACAAGGAGAATTGCTAACAGCACGACTCGCTGCTTTAGCTTCATGTTGACCTCTTTTCCTTCTCCCCTGACCCACTCTTGCTCATGTATTAAGGAGAGCTGGTGGTGATGGTTAGCAAGGAGATTCCATGATTATACACATTGGTCCATTTCTTCACTGATGCACCTTCCACAGTTCCTGCAAGCCCAAGTACAAAGCAAAATTTGATCAAAAATTCTGTCCTTCCACCCCTGAATCTTTTGTAAGCCTCTAATATATGACTCACCCTTTTAGGCTTTCTATTCTTGAGCTCAAGAAGGTTCAATAATTTAAAATTAACTAATCTGGAGAAGGACCTAATGATGGCAGCAGTGGCCCAACTGGAGCAGCTGCTGCGAAGACACCAGCTGCAGTGGGAGAGGCATGGCCAGGGCTGCACACTCCACGGAGCTGGAAGGAGCTGGGAACAGGTGGGAGCCCTGCCCTCTTCCAAGATGGTGGAGCAGGGGCCCCGTGTTCCTGGGTACAGCTGCAGCCACCCAGCCACAGCTACACCCACAGGCTCCAAAATGCCACTCCTGCTGCCTGGCCTCTCCCCACTCCCCGCACCCACTCTGGGGTGGAGCAAAATTGTGGCAAAGCCCAGGTGATGTCGTGACCTGTATATATGTGGTTGGGGCAGTGCTGATACACCAGGCCCCTGCTGTCTCAGCCCACTCCGGACTTTGGGCACCAATGAGCATGGGAGGGAGGCCAAGGGAGGACTGAGGATGGCTCAGTGTAGGCCTGCAGGCATCCCTTGGTACAAACAGCTTGGGCACTGTGGATGACATGAATGGTGGCAGGAGGCAGGCTCCTGGGCGGAAAGGGATGGGTCCCCAGTGAAGCCCCACCTTCAAGCCAGGGATGGCCTGAAGCATGGGGGCTGGGCTGTCGGTTCTGGTTAAGAGTCCGCAAACCACAGTGAGAACTTATGGTGCTTTTTCTGGGCCCACCCATGGCCACCCATGGGCCAATCAGCACACACTTCCTCTCTTCTGAGCTCATAAAAACCCTGCACTCAGCCAGACTCAAACAGATATCCGGACAACCTGCGTGCACAAGGGATCTACCCACTGTGGGTCTCCTCTCCACTGAAAGCTAGACTCTCATCAGAACAACATGGCTGCAGAAAGAGCTATCCACTTTGGGTCTCCAGAGAGCTGTTCTATTGCTCAGTGAAGCTCCTCTCCACTTTGCTCACCCCCAGTTGTCAGCGTGGGGCATGGGACAAGAACTCAGAACCCACCAAATGGCAGGACTGAAAGAGCTGTAATGCAAACAGGGCTGAAACACACCCCCTGCTCACCATGTGGTAGGCAATCAGAAAGAGAGAAGAGCTGGGGCCCTTTGTGGAGCTCAGACCTAGGGTCTCCCCGAGCCAGGGCTGTGACATCCTCTTTGGGGTTCTGAGGTTCCTGGTGTCTCCAAGTTTCTGGATGCCACCATGTTCCCCTTGTCCAGACATGGGCACCCGCAGCAGAAGCTGCATGTGATACTCTGGTCCAGCTGCAGACTCACACAGAACCGGCAGCTGTGCTTATGCTTGGAGCTGCCTACCCCACCACAGCAGCCCCAGCGTGCGTGGCTGTGTACAGTGGCCAGACCCCATGCTAGCTTGTCCACACACCCCTTGCTGCTCTGCACCTGGCTTGCCCTTGGCAGGTATAAGATCCAGGCCAGTAGTACGAGCTGAGCACGGCCTGCAAGGCTGAGTGGGTAGAACGAGCCCAGTGGGCACAAGCACTACTCAGGCAGAAGGCACCACGGCCACAGAGGTTTCTCACTGGCAAAGTGACACCCCAAGGATCCTGTGACACTAATAAGCAAGAACCACATACACTGAAAATTTTAAAGCAAATATTTCTATTTTAATTGGAATGCAAGCCATCTAGGAGCCATGAGGTTGGCTACACATGCCTAATAACCAAAACAATGAGGAAAAACACAACAAAAACAAAAGAGCAAGCTATACATAATTGTTTAACTTTCATTTTTTTAACTTTCAAAATCCATAAAGGACTTTTGCATATCCCAAACCACCAGTATTTGGTTCTCATTCTGGTAAGACAACAATTCCTAAAAATGCCAGAGGGTCCTTTCCCTCTCCCCTCTCCCCTTTCCCTGCCCGTCTCCCTCTCCCGGCCCGTCTCCCGTCTCCTGTCTCCCTCCCCGTCTCCCGTCTCCCTCTCCCTCTCCCTCCCTGTCTCCCATCTCCCGTCTCCCGTCTCCCCACGGTCTCCCTCTCCCTCTCTTTCCACGGTCTCCCTCTGATGCCGAGCCGAAGCTGGACTGTACTGCTGCCATCTCGGCTCACTGCAACCTCCCTGCCTGATTCTCCTGCCTCAGCCTGCCACACCTGACTGGTTTTCGTATTTTTTTGGTGGAGACGGGGTTTTGCCGTGTTGGCCGGGCTGGTCTCCAGCTCCTAACCGCGAGTGATCCGCCAGCCTCGGCCTCCAGACGTGCCGGGATTGCAGACGGAGTCTCGTTCACTCAGTGCTCAATGGTGCCCAGGCTGGAGTGCAGTGGCGTGATCTCGGCTCGCTACAACCTCCACCTCCCAGCCGCCTGCCTTGGCCTCCCAAAAGGCCGAGATTGCAGCCTCTGCTCGGCCGCCACCCCGTCTGGGAAGTGAGGAGCGTCTCTGCCTGGTTGCCCATCGTCTGGGATGTGAGGAGCCCCTCTGCCTGGCTGCCCAGTCTGGAAAGTGAGGAGCGTCTCTGCCCGGCCGCCATCCCATCTAGGAAGTGAGGAGCGCCTCTTCCCGGCCGCCATCCCATCAAGGAAGTGAGGAGGCGCCTCTTCCCGGCCGCCATCCCATCTAGGAAGTGAGGAGCGTCTCTGCCCGGCTGCCCATCGTCTGAGATGTGGGGAGCGCCTCTGCCCGCCGGCCCCGTCTGGGATGTGAGGAGCGCCTCTGCCCGGCCGTGACCCCGTCTGGGAGGTGAGGAGCGTCTCTGCCCGGCCGCCCCGTCTGAGAAGTGAGGAGAGCCTCTGCCTGGCAACCGCCCTGTCTGAGAAGTGAGGAGCCCCTCCGCCCAGCAGCCACCCTGTCTGGGAAGTGAGGAGCGTCTCCGCCCAGCAGCCAACCCGTCCGGGAGGGAGGTGGGGGTCAGCCCCCGCCAGGCCAGCCGCCCCGTCCGGGAGGGAGGTGGGGGGTCAGCCCCCGCCAGGCCAGCCGCCCCGTCCGGGAGGGAGGTGGGGGGATCAGCGCCCGGCCAGCCGCCCCGTCCGGGAGGTGAGGGGCGCCTCTGCCCGGCCGCCCCTACTGGGAAGTGAGGAGCCCCTCTGCCCGGCCAGCTGCCCCGTCCTGGAGGGAGGTAGGGGGGTCAGCCCCCCGCCCGGCCAGCCGCCCCGTCCGGGAGGGAGGTGGGGGGGTCAGCCCCCCGCCCGGCTAGCCGCCTCGTCCGGGAGGTGAGGGGCGCCTCTGCCCGGCCGCCCCTACTGGGAAGTGAGGAGCCCCTCTGCCCGGCCAGCCGCCCAGTCCGGGAGGGAAGTGGGGGGGTTGGCCCCCCGCCCGGCCGGCCACCCCGTCCAGGAGGTGAGGGGCGCCTCTGCCCGGCTGCCCCTGCTGGGAAGAGAGGAGCCCCTCTGCCCGGCCACCACCCCGTCTGGGAGGTGTGCCCAACGGCTCACTGGGAACGGGCCATGATGACAGTGGCGGTTTTGTGGAGTAGAAAGGGGGGAAGGGTGGGGAAAGGATTGAGGAGTCGGATGGTTGCCGTGTCTGTGTAGAAGGAGGTGGACATGGGAGACTTTTCATTTTGTTCTGTGCTAAGAAAAGTTCTTCTGCCTTGGGATCCTGTTGATCTGTGACCTTGCCCCCATCCCTGTGCTCTCTGAAACATGTGCTGTGTCCACTCAGGGTTAAATGGATTAAGGGCGGTGCAAGATGTGCTTTGTTAAACAGATGTTTGAAGGCAGCATGCTCGTTAAGAGTCATCACCACTCCCTAATCTCAAGTACCCAGGGACACAAACACTGCGGAAGGCCGCAGGGTCCTCTGCCTAGGAAAACCAGAGACCTTTGTTCACTTGTTTATCTGCTGACCTTCCCTCCACTATTGTCCTATGACCCTGCCAAATCCCCCTCTGCAAGAAACACCCAAGAATGATCAATAAAAAAAAATAATAAATAAATAAATAAAATGCCACAGGGTGCAGAGGAGAGTAATAGCTGTCTCTGAGTCCAAGTATTCAGCGATCCTGGACGTGTCATATCTGCTGCTCATGTATTTAAATACAACCCCAGACACATATTTCTACTTAGTCCTTCGCCAATTATTTTTCAAAATTAAAATACCTGCAAACCATGGATAATCAAAACTGGGTACATTAAGTAAAGGGAAAAAAATATGCCCATACCATCTAGCTATTAGCAGAATATAACCAGAAAACTAATAAAGCCTGGTACTATGGCAGCACTACTACGTCTGGAATGGTCAAGCATATAACAAGGATATTCATGTCACAGACATAAAGAACTGCTCCTTCTAGCATGGGGCTGACCACACTCTGGGCAATTCTTAAGTTAAAAGGCTCCAAATACAAGATTTTTGCAAGGGTGTCAAGAACATACAATTCCGTCTCACTTGCATCCTGAGAGGTTGCTTTCTACTCCATAAGGCCATTTAAAAACATGCACAGGCTTGCTCTGCTCTATGCCTGCAGACAGCACAGCACTGAGGTAAGACAAAGATGACAAGAAGATAACAGGATGTTGCTTCACTCTCCAATTCATTTAACAACTCAAACCATTAATCCAAAAAATAAAACCAATACAAAAAAATAGAGCAAATGATTCAGGCTAAGACACTCCCACTTAAACGTGATACTGCTCCCTTAATAACAACTGGAAACAATCAAAAGCAGCTTATCAGAGCAATGTATTCTGAGGGCAACACTTTGCAGTGGGCCAGCTGAATGAAGTTTATTCTCAGTGATTAACCACTCCTTTTCTGTTCATGAAGGAAGCAGAAAGTGAGAGTTAATTTCAAATTCTAATTATTCCCTGCCACCTGTTTTGTTTCATCATCATCTCCCAGGGTACACAACACTATTAGCTGAAACAAAGGCAATTCAAGTGCATCTAAAATGTAATTGTGATGGTATCAAGTTTGGTGTGGAACTCAGTAAAACAGTTCCCTGTGATTACTGATAACAGCAGTGCTAGCAGAGAAGATTTCAGAGATTTTTGCTAGTTCTAATGCAACCTAAACCACACAACATTTTCAAGTGCTTGTTCAACAGTACACTTCTCAGGCTGCAGAGATAAAAGGCAATATGGAAATCTAGTTGTATTGACAATCACTTCTTCAGCATCTCCAGATGCCACTAGCTACAAATGCAATACAATTCTGGCACAAAGGGGTCAGCTTCATAGGCTTTTACTTTCTACAGAACATCCTTCAGGACTAAAGTCTGGTTAACCCATAAACTTTTTTCTTTTTTTTTTTTTTTGAGATGCAGTTTCGCTTGTGTTGCCCAGGCTGGAATGCCATGGAGCAATCTCGGCTCACCACAACCTCTGCTTCCTGGGTTCAAGCGATTCTCCTGCCTCAGCCTCCCAAGTAGCTGGGATTACAGGCATGCGCCACCACGCCCAGCTAAGGCTTTTGCATTTTTAGTAGAGACAGGGTTTCTCCATGTTGGTCAGGCTGGTCTTGAACTCCTGACCTCAGGTGATCTGCCAGACTCAGCCTCCCAAAGTGCTGGGATTACAGGCATGAGCCACTGTCCCGACCAACCCATAAACTTTTAATCGTATTGCTCATTCATTTAGAATGAAGAAAATCCTCCCCCTCGTGCTATATAAATATATCACATCCAAACATTTTGCACAAAGGTTAGAGCTGTGGTTTTTTGTTTTGTTTTTATCATCAATGCAATAAGAAGTTCTAACAGTTCCAAAATTCAGATAAGAAAAACGGTCCAATCCCACAATCCAAGTTTGTGTCCTTTTAAGTTTTGAAACTTATTTCAAAACTTCTCCTTTTGAAGCGGCCTCAGACGAACACATTCATCAATTCAGGGCCATAAACAATTCACTCACTCAGCTAGGTTAGAAATTTACATTAAGGGAACTGGCTGGGGACAGTGCCTCACGCCTGTAATCCCAACACTTTGGGAGGCCGAGGCAGGCAGATCACCTGAGGTCAGGAGTTCAAGACCAGCCTGGACAACACGGCGAAACCCCATCTCTATGAAAAATACAAAAATTAGCTGGGCGTGGTGGTGGGCACCTGTAATCCCAGCTACTCAGGAGGCTGAGGCAGGAGACAATAGCTTGAACCTGGGAGGGAGAGGTTGCAGTGAGCTGAGATCGTGCCATTGCACTCCAGCCTGAGCGACAGAGTGAGGCTCCGTCTCACAAAAAAAAAAAAAAAAAAAAAGACCGACATACAGAAAGCAAGCAAGCAAACAAGAAATAAATTCATATTAAGGGAACTGAAGGGTTCTATTATTTCACTATTTCCTTCTGCAGATTCTAAGTGAGGGCAGGTTAAAAAAAAAGAGACTAAACAAGTTTTCATGTTTGTGATTACAGTCACCACATCCTGGTGGAATGAGTAAGAGTGCAATTTGTCATTGTTCTTTACAGCCGTCTTTCATTTCCACAGCCACCAACTTCAGTGCTCATCACCTTCTTTTGGACCACAGAAAGAACTGATGCCTGAGCCTCCAGGTTCTCCAATCCAGCCTAGATAATGCAGCCAAAATCATTTTTCAAATCACTCAACCACCTTTGATTCTAGATTCCTTGGCAAGGCATTAAAGCTGTATCCTAAATAGCTTCCAAGTTAGACATCACTCCCATTGTTCCTCTTCTCAGCTTTAGCCACAATGGATCAACTGAACATGCTATGGTCCTCCTCTTGATGTGTAGGTGCTCTTTGCTTCTGTCATTCCTTACACTGTAGTCCCTCAAAATTCCTCTTTCTCTTAACATTTCTTCCAATCTCCTCCTGATAAAGTCTGAGCCTCCTTTCAAGGCTCATCTCCAAGGCCATCTCTAAGGCAATTTTTCGTCCCTCCTTACACTCTTAAAGTAACTTCTCCCTCCTTTCGGCCAGTACTTAACTACATTCGGCCTTGTATAATACCTTATTGCATATGGTTCTTAATTCTCCTTTCAGAATCTTGGCTCCTTAGAATGATCCCCTTCACTCCTTTATATGTGAGAGAGGAGAAAGTACCAGAGACAGGGTTTCCATGCCATATAATCTTCCTTTTTTATTTGGGACAAGGAGTATACTATATTGTGCAAACTGGACTTTTCCAAAGATTCCCCATTTCAGACACTAAGGAAATAAACGCAAATTCACTGGGTATATTCAAACTATTCACGAAAAACCTCACTAACATTCTCAGAAGAATGTGCCTGCTCTATTTCACACCCTCAGCTCCTCCGATACATGCTTCAAACAGTGCAACAATGTCCAGTTATATTACGGTCATTTATTTTAATGTTTCTGTTATGCAGAACAGAAACTACCTCAAAGAACAAACAAACTCAAGGTAATAACATAACTTTAAAAGTGTTAAATATAAAAAAGGCAGTACAAATGGCATATCTGTAAATAGTTTTCACATGAAAAGCTGGCATAAACTCCCAGCCTGGAGTTCTGGAAAGTAGACCTTTACAAGGAATTTTCCCACTGAACCCTGGTTTCAACCTGAGCTCCATCAGCTATATGGGGCTTGCTACGGAGGCTAATTTACTTACTTTCTTTTTTTATTTTGAGACAGAGTCTCGCTCTGTCACCCAGGCTGGAGTGCAGTGGTGCTATCTCGGCTCACTGCAACCTCCAACTCCTGGATTCAAGCGATTGTCCTGCCTCAGCCTCCCAAGTAGCAGGGATTACAGGTGTCTGCCATCACACCCGGCTAATTTTTGTATTTTTAGTAGAGACGGGGTTTCTCCACGTTGGGCAGGCTGGTCTCGAACTCCTGACCTCAAGTGATCTGCCCACCTCAGCCCCCCAATGTGCTGTGATTACAGGTGTGAGCCACCACGCCCAGCCGGCTAATTCACTTTCATTCTACACACACACACACACAAACACACTCATCCTACTCATTTGATAAATATTGTATAAGGGCAAACGTAAGACTATGAAGTTGTTTTGGGAGAAGAGATATAGATTCCACAGAAAAAAAGTGAGGTCTTAATGTAAAGTCTTCTTTCAAGAATCTCCTCTCCGGTCCATGCCTCCAAGATGACAAAGAAAAGAAGGAACAAAAGTCATGTCAAAAAGGGCCACAGTTACGTGCAGCCATTCGCTGCATGAACTGTGCCTGATGCGTGCCTAAGGACAAGGCCATTAAGAAATTCATCATTCGAAATATAGTGGAGGCCACAGCAGTCAGGGACATTTCTGAAGCAGCGTCTTCAATGCCTATGTGCTTCCCAAGCTGTTTGTGAAGCTACATTACTGTGTGAATTGTGCAATTCACAGCAAAGTAGTCAGGAATCAATCTCATGAAGCCCACGAGGACCGAACACCCCTACCCCGATTTAGACCTGTGGGTGCTGCCCCACGACCCCCACCAAAGCCCGTGTAAGGAGCTGAGTCCTTAAAGACTGAAGACAGACCATTCTCTGGAGAAAAATACAATGGAAATTGTACTTAAAAAAAAATCTGGCTGATGGTGGAGGAACATTTACAGAAAAGCATGTTGGTGTGGGGGTCTACAGATCATGTGATAAATCTCAATGTATGTGGCTGCCAAGGAACATGAGAACACCTGGCCTTAACGCTTACTACCTTACTAGAGGGTCCTACAAGCCACCAATGAGATTCCAAGCCTTATTAGAAGTGTCCCCTTGAATCACCCTCTGATTAAGTGACAAGCTCACAATACTACCTCTGAGGTCATAGAGAAGAAATAAATACCAACCTCTGCTCATAGCAACTAAAAGTGAAAGTTATGGTAAAAGTAAACATAAGTTTCACTTCTTGTGTTTCTAATTTAATGGTCAAATCAGGTTCTTATGACTTAAGTAGAATGTAACATGCCTTGTAAATGCAAAGCACCACAAAGGAAATGCTTAGTAAGAATGCTTCATGCAGAGGACTAACAACAAAAGAGATCTGAGGCAAAGGGGTAGGATTTCTTAACTGGTATAGAATTATATTTATGCACACAATCTCTTTGCCCTTGATCCTGAGTAGGAACTACAAGGATCCTTTAACAAAATACTTTGGTAATTATTGGTTTGACTAAAACTCTGAAGGTTTGGTGAGTATAGGAGGTAAGACTTGAATTTGAATTTTTTGTAGACTGTCTGCAAAGACAGACACTAACAATTTATCCTATCAAGAGGTGGAGTCAGGGCCAAACATGCTGGTTTACACCTGTAATCCTAACACTTTGGGAGGCTGAGGCAGAAGGACTGCCTGAGCCCAGGAATTCGAGACCAGCCTGGGTAACACAGTGAGACCCTGTCTCCATTATTAAAAAAAAAGAGAGAGAGAGAGAGAGAAAGAGGTGGAGTCTGTTTTTCCTCCCCTTGAATCTGGGCTGGCTTTGTAACTTGTTTTGACAATAGAATGTTGTGGAAATGACTGTGTGCCAGTTCTGGGCCCTGGTCTTAAGAGACCTGGCAGCTTCCACTTTCACGGGATCTAGCTACCATGTAAAGAAGCTCAAGCTAAGACTACCAAATGCCAAGTGATCTATATGGAGAGAGGTCCAGCCAACCCTTGGCTATCCTGGTCACCCCAGGTGAAGTGCCAGACATGAAGATGACACTTTCAAGGACATTCCAGTCCCAGTTGTGGTCTGGCAGAATGTAGTCACTGTTGTGACCCCAGCCTATACCATTTGAGCAGGAACACGTGAGACCAGATGACCTATATAATTATAAGAAATAACAGGCTGGGCGCAGTGGCTCACACCTGTAATCCCAGCACTTTGGGAGGTGAGATGGGCGGATCACCCAAGGTAGGGAGTTTGAGACCAGCCTGGCCAACATGGTGAAACCCCATCTCTACTAAAATACAAAAAATTAGCTGGGCATGGTGGCACATGCCTGTAGTCCCAGCTACTTGAGAGGCTGAGGCAGGAGAATCGCTTGAACCCAGGAGGCGGAGGTTGCAGTGAGCCGACATCACGCCACTACACTCCAGCCTGGTGACAGAGCAAGACTGTCTCAAAAGAAAAAAAGAAAAAGAAAAAGAAAGAAAGAAATAACAAATCATTGTCTTAACCCACTATTATTTTGAGGTAGTTTGTAAAACCCAACATTCTCACATCTGTTCTGCTCCTATCAACTCCTTTTGGGGATAGTAAAAATACCAGGGGAGAAGACATAGGGAAATAAATTACGTGACTAAAAACAATTATCTCAGGGAGGGAGTAATCACTAAATTAACCATTAAGTGCAAATAAAAATTGGTTTGATAAATTGTTAGGTCATATTTGTAAATTATTATTAATGGCTTCTAGGAGCAATACACTCATTATAAAAGTTACATGTCATTTATATTTTTCTGTTTTCATTGTATATATTTAGAAAGATACATAATTAACAAAGTCTCTTAAAGGTACCACAAGAAGAAATAGATTCTCAACTGGATCATTTACTAAAATCCACTTGCATACTTCAGAGCCCTACTTAGACTTATGCAGAGCAATCAAGGCTAACCTCACACATTCACACACTGACACATGTCCGGTTTATAAAGCCTAACTTTTGTACTTCAGCCAAAACATAAATAGCAAAAATCACATCTTTTAGTGCAAAAAAAGTTAGACACACACACGCTTTTACCGTGGGCTGTCTGGTATACTGCCCTTTTGATTTTTCACTAGCAGTGACAGTAGGGCACTGTGCATATTATTATTAACTGTTATGAGTTTACACCCCGTTCCCTAGAAATAAATGTCTCTACTGATGGTTAGTGGCAGTGATAAGTAAAATTAAGAGCATTCAGAAGTCTTTTAGTATTGTGTGACAGTCAAGATGTCCAGAAAGTCAAAACCTCCAATATTAAACAGCATTACATGTTTATTATCTCAGTAAATGCTGAGTACCCTGGGAAAACCAGCCCACTCCTGCTTTGCTGCCTGCCACAACAGCATGCTATTCTTCCTTTCATCTTCACATGAGGGTCTTCAACTAAAAATAAAAACTAATACTAAGTAATAGCATTAATCAGTATCTATAGATATTTTTTCTTCTTTTCTGTGCTAATTATCCACTTAAGAAATAGCTTCTTAATTCACCTTCTTATTTTAAATATAAGCTTTCTGTAGCAGAGGGGTTAAAAGCATGTCCTCTGGATTCAGAATGCCTAGGCCTGGATGCTTCCTTTACCACCTAATGTGGGTCTTGGGAAAGATATTTAACTTCTGACCTCTCTGGGTCTCAGTTTCTGCATATAAAAAAATGAAACAAGAATACTATTACCTAACTCACAGGGTTGTTAAAAATGAATGAGCCAGCTACTCGGGAGGCTGAGGCTGCAGTGAATCAAGATCATGCCACTGCATTCCAGCCTGGGTGACAGAGCAAGATCCTGTCTCAAAAAAAAAAAAAAAAAAAAAAAAAAGAATGAGACCTCTACATGTGTTGTGCTAAGATTAGTGCCTGGATGACCCACAGTAATCACTTGCTAGTCATTATCACCATATCAAAAACCCAGATGACCTCCAGAGAGGAGAAAAATGACAAAGAAAACCCTCATTGGAATCAATATACCATAATGTTGTCTTCTCAGTTACATAGTGAGGGGCCAAATCCACACATTGCATTACTAAGAGTTTAGTAGTAATTAGTAGTCTTGTATTTCTGAGCCAAATTCTTGCCTAAATTTGAGAGGTAGATAAGACTAGGCAAATAGATATCTTCAGAGTGAGTGTCATGCAAAGCAGAAGACTGGGAGGCTGTCACTAATTTGGCCAACCTGTTTCCCTTCTCTACAAAGTTCAATTCTACCACACTCAATGTAACTGAAACAGATGGGAAGCATGAACTTATCCCACTTCACAAAAAAAGGCTAAAATAGAATGCCTTTCACAACTGTTTTCAGTTTGGAAAATTAGTTCTGTGTTTTAAAGATGACAGCTTTTCATGTGCTAAAGCCCTTAAGATAAGCCTTAAGAGTAACTTAAGAGTACAGGTGTAGAAAATCTAATTCTTACATAATCCAAATTGGTCCAAGTGTCAGGTTTTCCTTACTGTTTTCACTTCCATTTAAACATTTATTTACATCTGTAAACTCAGAATCACTTATATGAAATTCTCTAACAAGTTCCCTCTGAAGGAAGGCAACTAAAACCATTACCAGGCATTAATGAAGCATTAAGGTAGTCTTTCTTGCTGGATGTGAAAGTAAAAATGAAATAGGCAATAACTGAATAATTTCAATAAGTGAACTGAAAAAAAATCAATCTCTGCAACCTGTCCCATTTAAACCTTGATTTAGGGCAACCCTCTTCCTTGAAAAATGAAAAAGAAAAAAACTTTAGCTCATACTGCTAGCGAGTTCTGTTCTAAAAAACCAACACACGCAGTAATCTTGACACTACGTGGAAATGAGTAACAATTTGCATTTTCCTTTAAATAAGCCAGGTATAATGACACTTCCCAAGTTCCAGGTATTTCACAGCACAACTGTCAGTACAGAACCACCATTTAAGGCTAGATTATAGAAGGTAATTCCTGTATAGTGTTGAAATACGGCATTACAAATATTATAACATTTTCCTTCAGCTTTTCATATGCTTTCCATCTTTAGTGTTCAATTCACTACAGTTCTTGGAAAACCACATAAACTTTATACAACAATAGACCTCGCATTTTTAGCCTTATGTTCTATGGTACGTCAAGCTGACAGCCCACACAGGAGATCACTCTCAGAAGCAGGAGAACCTCAAACAGATCTGTGCTGAAATTATGGCTAGGTGGCTCCAGGCATGATCCCTCTGTTATACTATGAACTCACACACACACAAACACACACACACACATTTTTTTTTTTTTTTGGCACATCTGTCTCTTCTAATATATTGTGTTTTTTGAGGATGGGATAGATTTTACTCACGCTTTGTACTTCCAAGTAACTTAGCACTGTGCAGGGCCTGTAAGAGGCATCTGATAAGTGTTTGTGGAATAAAAGGAGAGAAGGGCAAAGGAGAAAGACCTTTAGGGTTATAAGAATTTCTTCTAAACTGGCAACTCTCTGGTTTAAAGACTGCCTCTTTCAGAGACAGGGGGAAATAAGTCCTACAATGAATTCAAGTATACAGTATATAAAAGATGCAGAAATAGCGAATATGTATACCAATTATATACACTCAATTTAAAGTTGCCACCTTCTGTATATCCTGCTTCCACCTTTCAAGGCCACTGCTATTGCCAACCTGGTTCCTAGTATCGGCTGGGATTAAGAGTAAAGACAATTTGGAAATGCTAAAAGGAAGAAAGGAGGTTGTCTAACACACTGCCCAAGGATGATACAAGACAGGGCTGAAATCAGATCTTCAAGTATTATTGGCAGTGCTTTCTGAAACAAGAACCCACACGAGTAAGTACTTCCATATTATTTTGTTTTTTTTTTTACAGAAAACTACAGGAACATAAATGCACCTATACAGAGCACACGTTCACTATCTACACCAACGATAAGAAACAAACAAACAAAAACGTCCCTGGGCAACAAAAATAAGTGGTTACAAAGTTCATACCCTAAAACTTGGAGAAGAGCAGGTAGAACATAACTAAGCCAATTTAGCTGTTTTACATTCAATGTCAGGAAGCTCCTACTCCACAGATAAGAAGCTGCAAATTTAAAAGAGGGCAGCAAGGATACTAACAGCAGCAAAAGAGCAGCTTTCCACCACTGAAAGAAGACAAAGACTGACTACTGAATCGACTCAAGTAGATTCAATAATTCAAAAAGCACAGTGGACAACAAACTACATTTTTCGATCATCTCATAGCCTCACTCAACTACTGCCAGTATGCTAGTAATAATAACCAAAGCATATATTGTAAAAATTTTTCCACAAAAGGTATAGCTAAAATAAAATTTTCACATATAATACCTTACTCCCCAACATTAGGTAAATGAGGCATTGCTATGTATATAAAGCAGAAAGTTAACATTTGAGAGCATGGAATGATAGACTTCACTGCCTCCCTCTGTACTTGGTTCTGTCCTCTTTACACATTCATAATTTCATATTCCTTGACCTGCCTTTATAACGTGCCCAAGTTAGCACCCTCTTCTCTAAAGGGGTTATCTTGCCAGAAAGTACAGACCTTAAACACACACCAAAGCTCAAGGTCTCTTCTGCATCAGCTTACATTTTTCTCTTATCTCACACTGGGATGACAGACGCACCCATCTGTCATGTAGATTCTTTACATCCCAAGCTAGGCATTTCTTCTTTTGTTTTTGGTAAGAAAGACCAAATCAGAAGTGAGATCTTTGCATTATTTTCTCTTCTAGGCAGCTCGAGCAGTCATGCTGACATTGTAAGTTAGTCAGAAGCTGGTTTCAATAGCAAAGTAAGCTTCTGTTCTGCAGCCCAGGCCTATGTTAAAGAATTCATTAGTACTTGGGGTTACAGAGACAGCTGAAGGAAAACAGGAAGATATATGTAGGTGTAGAAGAAGGAACTGCTGGAGAAGTACTCTTAAAAAGGGATAACTCCCCTCTTCCACCGTCAAAATAAGGGACAAGGGCAGTCAGGTCAATGCTATTGACATGGCCATTGCCAAGAGCTCTAAGTTCTTCTATTAATGCAAAAACACTGGCTATCAATCCAACTGCCCAATTAGCCTAGCCAGAACAGACTGTAGGAGCAAGGTTGTGAAGCTGCACTTGACTGGAACCTGCACAGGCTACTGCCAGGCTCCAGGTGGTTTAGAACACCATATAATCACAGAAGCAAATAACACACCTCTACAGAATATTTTGAACAGTAATCCGAAACACATTTTCTACGCTTTTTTTTTCTTTTGACAAAAAGAGGAACTAAATAATTTAGTATATACATTAGAATATTTCCCCTTCCCTCATACTGTTTTCCATTTATTCATTCAACTGACGAATATTTATTGTGCACCTTCTACATACAGGCACTGTCAGGTGCAGAGAGAAAAATACACAGATACACAGATTACTGTAACAATTACAACAAACTGTAGGGCCTCATTGTAACTGTGTTCCCCATCCCAATCCACAAAACCACCTGGCACTTAGTCCCAGAAGGACTAAGAGTCAGATTCAGAAGACAGTCTCCTTCTGTTGTTGTTGTTGTTTGTTTGTTTGTTTTTTGAGACGGAGTCTCACTGTCAGCAGTCTGGAGTGCAGTGGTGCAATCTCAGCTCACTGCAACCTCTGCCTCCTGGGTTCAAGCGATTCTCCTGCCTCAGCCTCCTGAGTAGCTGGGACTACAGGCGTGCACCACCATGCACAGCTAATTTTTGTATTTTTAGTAGAGACGGGGTTTCACCATGTTGGCCAGGATGGTCTCAATCTCTTGACCTCGTGATCCGCCTGCCTCGGCCTCCCAAAGTGCTGGGATTACAGGCATAAGCCACCGCGCCCGACCAACTGTCTTTTTATGTATTCTTACAGAATACAAAGAACGCCCTCCTGCTTCTGTTATGAGATTGTGGCAATCACCAAAAGACAACCTCTGTGGTTAGCTATTTTAAAAAGTTATCAATTCAACAGCTGAAGTATCTGGCTTTAGGGTTTTACACTAATGAAATGATTTTAGGGTTTTACACCAATGAAATGATAGACACACAAAGTGTGGGAAGCTGAAGTCTGCCCTAAAACTGAAGGAACAGAAAGTTTCATTTAGGAATTTAAAATTCAGAAGAGATAAGAAGCAGAAACTTTAAGGCTGTGTGAAAGGGCTGGAATCTACAAATGGAAATCAAGGGAATGAACTAAAAGTCAAGGAATTATCAATTTAACATAAAATACTTCCATGATATAAAAGATTATAAAAATAAAGATGATAGAAGCAGTGATGTGTTTTTTCTCTAATCTTAAGAACCAAAAAGAAAAGCAGTGTATGTGTTTTCTAGTTTCCATTCATTCACCAAAACATAGCTACTGTCCTACCAGTTCTAGAGAAACGAATAGAGCATACCAATGTCACATTTTCACCACACAGAAAAGAAACGCTGTGAACTCCAAGATGTCTTGATCATCTTTTACCTGTATCCATATTTATCACTGCACTTTATCATGAGTGAGGCTGAGAGTCTGAATTATACTTGTGTGTGCCTTTGTATTCTCCTTTGATAAGTAATTTCAAATGGGAAAGGGACTCCTGCTGACTGATTCCATTGTACGGTTCGAGAGGCCAAAGTCCAACATCTTTGCAAACTTTAGAAAAGTTATTAATAGAATACATTGATTTTAAATCTCCCTGAGATTGGCTATGAGTCTGGGCAAATAATTTAGCATCTTTACCATTTGTACCTCAGTTTCTCAGACAGTCGTGATAACGAATCATATTTGAGGAAGTGCTCTAAGCTTAGCTCAAAGATCCTGCATAAACTCAAGGAATGTTTGTAATACATAAGAACACTGAGATCTCTAACCAGATTTTTAGAAATCAACGCCAGTGAAATTTTTGCAAGAATTTACAACGCAAAAAACATAGGCGTGGCTAATAAATGGCAATAGTAATTTGTACCAGATTATAGATTTATAAAGTCCTACAGTTTAAAGGCTAAAGGCTAAAAAAAACCCCACATTCCTACTTCCCTTCCAAGTGAGAAATCAAACCTCCAGAGGGAAGCTGGCTGGGTGGGGAAGATGCTGATATCTGGCACTAGACCCAAGTCGCAATAGCAAGCAACTCTCATTTTCCCAAATTAGAAACTCCTTATCCATCCCAATGATGGTATGGTCTTTAAAAGGACTAATAATTCCATTAAGACTAACCAAGCCCTGTTACCCCTACTTTCCCTCCAATCCATCCTTCTACCCCTTCTCTTCTTATCCGGAGACTGGCAGGTTAACAGAAGTCAGATTAGAATGAATCTCTTATCAGAACCCACAATCAAGGACGCAGCTCGACAACTATTCACATTCATCATTAAGGGAAACGTATCGGTCCGCTCTTAATCGCGGGGCCGTCACACCCGGAAATGAAATCTCAAGCGCAGCCCACTGAGGGCTAACACAGCATTCGTTAAGTTGTGCCCTTCTGCGAGCGCCCGGCGCAGGACCCCAGGAGACCGCGGGCCCCGGGCACGGTTGCCCCGCCTTCCGCCTCCGGCCTGCAGGTCACTCGCGCTTCCCGGCCACGAGGCGGGCCCAGCAAAGACCCCGCGAGGGCGCGCTCCCTGGGCTGCCTCAACGGGCGCTCCGGGGAACACAAGAGAGGCACCGGGGCCAATCGCCTCTGGGGACCGCGCAAGGGGACGAGAGACGGTCACTAGAAGGACCTCTGGCAGCCTGAGGCGGCCCCAGGTGGGCCCGCGCCTCAGGTGGGCCAGGGACGTGGCGGCCGAGGCCGCGTCCCTTCAGCCGCGACCGCACACAGGGACACGCGGCCCGAGCGGGTCTCCCAGGAAGCCTCGGGCCCTCGCCCGGGACCCGCCCGCAGCCACTCGGGGACGGCTCAGGGCACCCGGTGCCCGGCCCCTCAGGGAGGCGCCCCGCCCCCAGGCGGCCCCAGCCCGGCGCGCGCTACGTACCGTGCCCCGCCCGCGTGCCGGTCCGCATTTTCCCGCCCGCCGCGCCGGGGGCGGGGGTCGCGCGCCCTCCCCCGCCCCCGCGCCACTCACCTGTCGGGCCCTAGGCTCGCTCCATGGCCGCCCGCGCGGTGCGGTGCGGCGCGGCCCCGGCCGCCCCCGCCGCCTCCGGGGAGGGGCAGCCCCACGCCGCGCTCACCGCCCCCAGCCGCCGCCGCCGCCACAGCGGCTCCGGCCCACCCCCGGCCCGGCCATTCCCAGGCCACCTCTCGCCGCGCAGAGCGGCAGTCCCACACCCACCCCCCCGCCTCCGAGGCCCCCGGCTGTTGGTACCGTCCTAGCGTAGCGCCTGCCCGACGGCCAATCCCAGCGCTCGCTCGGCGCGGCCCCGCCCCCGCCCAGTAGGCGGCCCCTACCGGACCCGCTCCGGACTGCCCCCCTTAACCTCTTCCATACCGGGCCCGTCCGCTTAACTCCCTCGGCGCCGGCGCCGGTCTCCTGCCGGCCGCGCCGCCCTGCCCGCTTACATAAACTGGCCTCTCACTTCTCACTTCCTTCGCTCTTTTTTCTTTTTCTGTATTTGTCCTCCATCCCCCACCCCGTCTTCTCTTTTTCTTTCCTGCTTTTCTTAGGTAGGTAGGCAGCCAAGCAGCAGGACTGGAGAGTTGCGGTCCCCTAGGTCGAGTTCTGTTTGTGAGAAGCATTTTCCCTCCTCCTGTTGCCTTTTTAATTTGCCTTGACTTCTGCTCGGAACTTCTGCCTATCTAAATGTATCCCCCGCTTCTTTTGCCCAGAAAAAGGCTAGCCTTTCCACACTGAGTGCAAATGGCTCTTCATTCGGACCAGAGCGGAGCGTCCTGCTACATACTTTCAGGAGCATCTCACAAAATTATGATTCATTTACTGTAATATTAGTTGTTTTACATCTGTTTTTTGCTAAGGACCGTAAGCCCCATGAGGGCAGGTCAGTCGCTCCTGGGTCGCCAATGCCCGACCGTAGTGCACCCAGTGGGCGCGGATAAATCGTGTGAATGAAAGATTCTGCCTTCCCTTTGTTTGCTTTCAGCTGACTTATACAGAGCCGCCACTGTGTCCATCCATTTATTCACCATATACTAAAGCGCAAACTTAGTGTGCCTGACCCTGAAATATAATGCAGGTTACTCCATGGAATAAGATGCGTGATGGGGAAAGACTGAGCTGACACTTTTTCTTCAGGCCACATAGTTCATTTAATCAGTAAGGCGTACTGAACAGAATTCTTTCTTACTGGCTGTATGATACTGGATGTGCCAGTTAACTTTGCTGAGCATCAGTTTCCTTAACTGGAAAATGGGAGTTAATAACTTCACAGGGTTGTTGTAAGGATTAAGTTAGGAAATGTATGGGGAAAGTACTCTAAGATTATTGTGTATGATTAGGTGTTATTCGTCTGTATATTTGCTGAGCATTTACTATCAGGAGATCCTAGAGAAATAATTGGGCTTGACACTTGCTCCGGACAATGTAGTTAGGGAGGCAGCATTAATCACTGCAGGAGACGTACAGTCAAATGCAGAAGGCATTGTATTAGCTTTTTGCTGCGTGTAGTTGAAAAGGTTTGGAGGTTTGGAGGTCGTTTTCTGGCCGGAGAATACATAATTCTTGGGAAAATGAGCTGGAAGATAATGAGAATCTACCTTATTTCTCTGCACAGGAAGATCAGTCTGCCTGCAGTTAGCTAATCTCCCTGAACCTTGCTCACTACATCAGGAGACCATAAAGCAAAAGGGTAAATCAACAGTTCCTTTAAGACACTTTATCCAAAAGGATTCTCCTTTCTTGCCTGTAACTCTGACAAGGACAGTGAGGGTGAACGCTCCAACTGTCACTGTTCAGGAAAAGGCCAGCTTATCCTGCAGCCTCAGCTTCCTGGGCGGATGATCCCTTCTGTCTTTAAGGATTTTCAGGTGAGGGCAGGGGGCAGTCATTGCCTCTCCAAGCAACCCACTTCAGTGCTTAATTTCGCATCCATCTATCCATCCCACATACTGCAGGACAGACACACTTCCTCCTTTTCTGTCCTCAGAGAAGGAGAGCTATGGGTTCAGGGCCTCTCTGTGAAAGGCTTTCAGACGACAAAATTGTTCTGCCCCCCAGTTTTCCCTTCTCCATGTTGCATTACCCAGGCCCTTGTTGAGTGTATGCATAGCACCAGCACCGTGCCTGACACTCCATGATGTCAGTTTCTGCCCCCTCCGCCTGTACGGGATTATTTTCCAACCAATCAACAGTCAATATATTCTAAGTATTGTGAGGGATGCAATCATTTAAGAAGGGCGTTTACATGACTAGCACACAGGAAGCAGCTGCAAGGAATAGGGACACTTAAATTATGCAGCACAGACTCTGTGATCACTGAAAGAATCACAGTCCAGGAAAACAGTGTGGGCTGGTATTGAGGTGAGCAAAATACAGGTAGGAGAAGAGAGGAACAATATGAACCAAAGTTAGGCAGTGCTCTGTGAACTTACAGCCGCCATCTTCAGCAGATCCTGCGTGACAGGAGAATTGTTCATTTGTTTGTTTATTCATTCATTCACTGATGCATACATTCATTCATTTAATGAATGTCTACCAAGTGCCAGGCACTGAGCTACCAGACCATGCAGAGATGAAGAAAGCCTGGTTCCCATTCTTGAGAAGCTGGCAGGAACCCCAATTAAGGAGGTCTGAGCACTTTGTCAAGACTCTTGTGATGCTCCTTTTACCACTCATACGATGTATGGTTCTACATGTCGTTGTCTAATCTCCTCTTTGCCCTTCTTCCTTGTTCCCAAACTGCAAGGATTTTTAAAGACATACACTATTTCATCTTTATTCCCACTTGTAGAGTGCCTCATACGAAGTACCTTCTCCACATTGATGTGTTGAAGCTCACTGAGTTAAAACCAGAGCAGGAATTTGGCTGTCCCCCTCCAGCCAAGGGTGGTAGGCATCCTTAGCAGAAGGATGGATATTAGCCCCAATGTGGAACCCCAATCTTGGAATTAGCCCCAGTGTGGAACCCACCAGAGGCTTGTCCGTGGCCTGCGGAATTCAATAGGGACACCTGTGCTTGGCATTTACTGCCATAGTCACCTTTTCAGGACCATTTTCTGCTAATTCCTTATCCTCCAACCTAAGGGGCTCACTTGCTGTCCTTTCCCTGCCCTCATGGTTGTGATCACATTGATTCTTCCTCCAGGAAATCCACCTCACTCCCACCTGTAAAAATGTTATACAGCTCTCAGTGCTGCTTGTTCATGAAGCCTTTCATAGCCTTCCCAACAACTGCACATGCTTTCCTTGGCTTCTGAGACCCAGCACTTTATTTGTAACTGTCTTGCGGTGGGGTGTATTGAAGTCTTTGGGGATCTGTCTGACCCCGTTCCCCGGGTTGTATTGACATCTGCGTCTTCTGTAGCACTAACACTGCACATGGCCCATGGTAGCCATGCAATGCTTGAAAGGAAGGTTTGAGAACATGTACTACAGAGCAGGGAATTGAGCCCCAGAGACTTATTTCTTGGTTCCTTCATCATTGTAAGCATTTTCCTTAAACTGTTTCAGAATTTCCAAGTCTCTGCCAATTTGTCAAGCCCTAGGACTCCAATAACAGTCCAGCAATCCCAAGTTAGAAGGAGGATATTGTCTCAAGGTGCTTTTGCATACACGAAGGCAAAATATATATGCATACACGCGCGCGCGCACACACACACACAGAGTTTCTTTTAACCTAGGCAACACAGCCACCATGATGGATCCCTCTGAAACTAATTAAATTAATTCTACATCAAGCAAGTCGAGAGGAGCCCTAGGAAAGCTCACGCTGTTCCAAGGTGCCAGGAGCCTGGGGAGAGGGTGACGGGAAAGGCTAGCGAGTAAAGGAGCACACATATCTCTCTGTTTCCTTCCAGGAGCATGTGCCCTGCCTCAGCTGCTTCCCAGGCAGGTTTGTTCTCTGCATTGGGCTGTCTGTGGACAGCTGCTTCTGCATTTCTTTCCTAACAGGGAAAACTCCTTTCTTTCATTTTGCCACCAGATCTGCAGAGCTACTCCCAGCCCGCCTCTTGCTTATAGCAACGGACTGCCCACTTACCCCATCACGTGGCACCCCTGTCAATGCCATCTGAGCAAACAACTCACGTCCCAGGGACAGCATCATAAGCTACATACATACACAGCACACCCAGCTTCTCTGCTGAGACATTCGGGCTGTGGATTCTGAAAGTGGTGGGAATATTTCGGTTATTTTTTCACTCTAGCAATATTATTTTTAAGAAAAGCTTTATTGAGATATACATACCACAAAACTCACTTGCTTAAAATATACTCAGTGCCTTTTAGTATATTTACAGAGTTGAGCAACCACTAACATAATCTAATTTTAGAACATTTTCATCACCCCCAAAAGTAATACGGGATGTTTTCTTTTTTATTCTGAAAATATATTTACCTATTTATTTTGTTCTTTAAATCTGCACAGTAAAAGCAAAAAGAAAAATACATTAATGGATATGTTAGATTTCTAGAGTTAGTAAGAAATGCAGAGGAGTTATGGCTCTCAAAGCTGTGTATCACTTAACTGTCATGTATGGCTATAGAAATTTGTTTAACTACCCCAAAGTGTACACTTTGTTGTGGCATATACGCTTCAGTAAATGTCCAGGGCCACATCTTTGACATTTTCCAGTTTGTTATGAATTTCTCTAATGCCACATATGGCTTTTCAAGGGATTGGGTGGAGAGAGAATTGCAAATTCCAGATTGCTAATTCCCACAAGGTAATACTTTTGTAATATGCCTAGGATGGTACCACAGGCATATTGGTATTTAACACACATTTTTTTTTTGTTGTGATGGAAGCTGTTTTTTATTGACTCAATTCAATGCATGAAGTAATTGCAGTCACATGGAAGTTCTGGGTTCCTCAGACTTCTCTTTGAGACCCTGCTTGGAAAGCCAGGAAGCTTCTACCATCGATGGATAATGTGGTAAGGAGTTCAGCAGAAGGCTCTTTGAGCCTTTCTCATGGCTGGCCGAGGGATGTGCTAGAGGACAATTATCAGTCTGGCTGTAGGGGAGCTTTTTTTTCTTTTTGAGACAAAGTCTCCCTCTGTCGCCCAGGCTGGAGTGCAGAGGTGCAATCTCAGCTCACTGCAAACTCTGCCTCCTGAGTTCAAGCGATTCTCCTGCCTCAGCCTCCCGAGTAGCTGTGACTACAGGCGTGCGCCACCATGCCTGGCTGATTTTTGTATTTTTAGTAGAGATGGGGTTTTGCCACAGTGGCCAGGCTGTCCTCAAACTCCTGACTTCAAGCGATCCTCCTGCCTTGGCCTCCCAAAGTGCTGGGATTACAGGCTTGAGCCATTGTGCCCAGCCCAGAGGAGCTTTTTAAATAGCTCTATGCCTGCCCCCATCTGCAAAAATTTGAATTTAATAGTCTTGTGGTGAGGTCCTAGCAAGGGTATTTTTTAAAACCTCCAGTTTATTCTAATTTGCAACCAAGGCTGAGAACCATTGTCCTACTAGCGACTAAGCCAGGGCCATGTTAATAGGTTGAATCATGTGAAATTGTCATCTTTATAGGGCAAAGTTGAACATGGACAATTTTATATAGTTCAATCTAATATACAGGCAATTGGGTTTTATTTTCAAGGGAAGATAGCTTGGTCTTTTGGTAACCTTCTGTAGGAAGCCAGCCATCTCTCCAAGCGCTCATCCTGCTGTGAGCAAGGATGAGAAAGATGTGACAAGGAAGAAAGCCAGTGCCCTGTTGGTCCAGATGCTGCCCCTTGGTGGACCAGACCCCCTACATCTTTCCTTCCAGTGGGGCTTAGACATACAGAAGCCTGTGGCTGTCAGGCATGAAGGGAAATGAGCAAAGCAGGCCAAAGGTGAGGCAACCAGAAGGGTTGAGGGAACATGACATACCAGAGAGCCTGGTCCCTCCTTCAAAGGCATTTACATTTAAGTGTGTGTGTGTGTGTGTGTGTGTGTGTGTGTGTGTGTGTGTATACACACACATACACAGAGCAGGCCAAATCATAGACATCTATGGGTTGAAATCTAGTCTTCAGTCCTACAGTTTGTGATCCTTTCCTGGAAGGTAGATGTTTGTGGCACAGGGAGGTGACCCGAACAGAGGAAGACAAGGTACTCAACACAGTGGGACTATAAGCCCAGGGAGAAAGAACCAGTACCTCACTGATGGCTGCTGTACCCCTCTGGGGCCCATGGGTGAAATAAGGAGGCATGGCATGTAGGCAGGGAGATCCCTCAGGCAAGGGAGTACAGGGGACCACTGAAGGGAGTGTGCTAGGATTTTCAGAGATGTTAGCAACGCTTTGAAAGAAATGGTAATACCAGGCTGGTATTTTCACCATGGCAATGCACAAGAAAGGGTCTCGGCCAGGCGCAGTGGCCCACACCTGTAATCTCGGCACTTTGGGAGGCTGAGGTGGGCAAATCACCTGAGGTCGGGAGTTTGAGACCAGCCTGACCAACATGGAGAAACCCCATCTCTACTAAAAATCCAAAATTAGCTGGGCATGGTGGCACATGCCTGTAATCCCAGGTACTCGGGAGGCTGAGGCAGGAGAATCACTTGAACCCAGGAGTGAGAGGTTGCGGTGAGCCAAGATCGTGCCATTGCACTCCAGCCTGGGCAACAAGAGCAAAACTCCATCTCAAAAAAAAAAAAGAAACAAACAAACAAAAAAAAAAACCAGAAAGAAAGAAAGGGTCTCACTTAATGTGACCACCAGTCATCCAACCAAAATCATCAGTTGTCTTAGACTCATTTTTCTCACCCCCACCTCTGATTAGCACCAAGTTCTGCCAACTGTGGCTGCTAGAGAGTTCTCAATCCATCTCCTTCCTTCCAGCCACCCAACCACTGCTCATGTTCAGGCACCATTTTCTCCCCACTGGATTATGGCAACAGTTAATTTTATGTGTCAACTTGACTGGGCCATGGGATGCCCAGATAAATATTATTTCTAGATATATCTGTTAGGGTGTTTCTGGAAAAGATTAGCATTTGAATTGGTGAACTGAGTCAAGCAGATGGCCCTCCCCACTGTGCGTGGACTGCATCCAATCTGTTCAGGGTATAAACAGAACAAAAATGTAGAAGAAGGTTGAATATGTGATCTCTGACTACTTTAGCTGGGATATGGATCTTCCCCTGCCGTTGCTACCCCTGCTTCTCAGGCCTTCAGATCTGGACTGCAATCTATACCATCGGCCCTCTGGCTCTCAGGTTATACGACCAGCTTTCCTGGGTCCTCGGCTTGCAGACAGCAGATTGTGGGACTTCTCAACCTCCATATTCACGTGAGCCAATACCTTCTCATAAGTCCCTTTCTAGAGATATATGTATACATAGATCCTATTGGTTCTGTTTCTCTAGAGAACCTTGACTGATACAGATTTAATGCTATGGAATGAGTGTGTCCCCACAAACTCATAACTTAATGGTATATCATGAACAACTTCTACATTATTACATATTTTTACTACAACATTTTCTTAAATCACAACATTTTTAAAAGATCTTTGGGGCCGGGCATGGTGGCTGACGCCTGCAATCCTAGCACTTTGGGAGGCTGAGGCGGGAGGATCACCTGAGGTCAGGAGTTTGAGACCAACCTGGCCAACATAGTGAAACCCCGCTTCTACTAAAAATAAAAAAATTAGCCAGGCGTGATGGTGGGCACCCATAATCCCAGCTACTCGGGAGGCTGAGGCATGAAAATCGCTTGAACCTGGGAGGTGGAGTTTGCAGTGAGCTGAGATTGTACCATTGTACTCCAGCCTGGGCGACAGAGTGAAACTCAGTTTCAAAAAAAAAGATCTTTGGTATTCCATGCTGAGGTTATACTGAGGTTTGTTTAGCTGGTTCCTTTTAAGTTAGACATTTAGGCTGCTTACATTGAGACTTTTTACATAAAGGTCATAGGGCAGAGAGGCATAACAGAGATGGAGGTGTTCTCCCAGGACCCAGGCACATGTGACACAGAGGGAACTTGTCACAGATACAGCACAGTTCCACTCCAAGGGCTCCTGGAGAATCCATAAGCAACTGGAATTATCCTCTTTGATGATTCATCCAGATGTCAAGGGCAGAACACCCTCTGGCCTTCTTAGCTAGCTGCCTGCTAATCAGCAGCTTACTCAAGAAAAGGCAAAGTTCATTATCTTTCACACGTCTGCAGTTTTTCATTTTTCTCCTTTCTCCTCTTTTCCTATTTCTTATTTTGGCTCTGATATATGAAATAAAGCTATTTTTGGTTTCCCTTGTATTCAAGTAAATGGTGCCCTAATAATTAACCCTATGTCTTTGAATTATTCTTTGATACTATTATACACAGTCTTTCTGTGATCATTCTTGTAGCAAATTGGTGTGCTTATTCAGGACTGTGTTCCATGGCACTAACTTCTGGTGGATGCTGTGTGACTGTATTGCCCTATCTGACTCTAGCCCACAATGTGAAGGAAGGCAGCTTTCAGCATCACAGGTTATAAAATGCACCAAAGAATGACATAATGACACAGAAATAAATATAGAATGCTCAATGAAAAGCTAAGTACTGGAGAAACTTACAAGGAAAATGAAAATAATTCCAGCCCTGCAAATCTTACCTTCCTCCATACGCAAACACAGACTGGCAATTCACAAGTAAATGCAAGGTTTTCAATATCCAACAGTTTGTAGTCATGAAAAAAAAGTCAAAAGTAAAACACTCCGTACAGTGCCTTTCCTTGTCCTTTTTAAAGCTCAAAAGAGGCTCAAGCAACAACATTCTCCTTCTGAGTTGAAACCAACAGGAGCTGAGGCTGCCCTGGGACAGTGGCCCTTTTATGAACTGGGAGTGAAGACCGGGCTTATTCACAGGACTTGTGGGGCAGTTGGACCACACCCTTTCTGGGCTGCTTGCCAGTGTGTGGTTTGGGCTGGGCCTTGATGGGATTGCTGATCTCCAGAGGGCAACATGGGGTGTGCATTTGAACCAGCCTTCCTTCGGGGAAGCTTTAACGTCAACTATGAGATGTGGCTCTTGATAGATTTTCAATCCCCATTTCCTGAGCTGCTGCTGCATGCTGGGCCTGGGGACAATAAGGACACCTTGCTGGCCTGTGCAGGATCCCAGTCCAGTGGGAAGATTGACACATAGGCCCAGAATCACAGTAAAATTCTGCCATCATTTGTATAACAGACATCTACTGGTCAGCTCTTTTTGCCAGCTCCACGATTCCAAAAGAGGAAGGGTTTCGTAGAGGCTGTCTGGTTGGAAAGGGGTAGCTAGGGCACTAGATGGAAGCAGTTTTTTCATAGATTATACACTGCAGCCTATAAATATAGCAAAGTTTTCCAAAGGTGTTTTTATTCATGTACATATGATTGAGAAAATGTTTCTCAGTTTCCATGTCATTACATATATTGCCACATTCTAAAATTGTTTTTCATATTTGATTATTACTTGGGGTAGTAGGGGAGGCACTAATAGATGGTAAGAGGCAGATACATTCTCCCTAAACCACTCCTCAGGCTGCATTAGGTACAGAGGATGCCATCTAACACTGCCTGCGCAGCAAGCAGGGGCTTGCGATGCAGGTGGGGAGTCAGCAAGCAAATGCAAAATACAGTACAACTTAGCAAGTGCTGCTCATGCATCTGCTTAATGGCTCATTCTTTTAGTGTTTATTGAGTGCCTACTGCAGCCAGCCACAGTGCTGGGCCCTGAGGGTGCTCCTTCTCTGAACTCACAGGGCAGTGAGTCCTAGGGGTAGGGTTGCCTGATAAAACACAGGTGGTCCCATTAAATTTGAATTTCAAGAACAATTTTTTGGTATAAGTATGTCCTATGCAATGTTTTTATTTGTTAAGTCTCACAACCCTCCCAAGGAGAGACCATAAAGAATGCAGAATGCTCACAGCCGGGCACGGTGCCTCACACTTGTAATCCCAGCATTTTGGGAGGCCGAGGCAGGTGGATCACCTGAGTTCAGGAGTTTGAGACCATCCTGGCCAACATGGTGACAGCTGTCTCCACTAAAAGTACAAAAATTAGCCTAGCATGGTGGTGCACACCTGTAATCCCAGCTACTTGGAAGGCTGAGGCAGGAGGATCGCTTGAACCCAGGAGGCAGAGGTTGCAGTGAGCTGAGATTGCGCCACTGCACTCCAGCCTAAAAAAATTAACCTGGCACGGTGGCACGCACCTGTAGTCCCAGCTGCTTGGGAGGCTGAAGTGGGAGAATCGCTTGAACCTGGGAGGTGGAGGTTGCAATAAGCCGAGATCACACTACTGCACTCCAGCCTGGGTGACAGAGCAAGACCCTGTCTCAAAAAAAAAAAAAAAAAAAAAAAAAGAATGCAGAGTGCTCAGGACACGGAGGGTTAGGAGGAACTCCTCAGGTATCTGCTTACTTGGCATCCCCTCAGCAAGGCCGCCATGAGTGTCTTATCATTCTGCAGCCCTTCACCTTAATCATTCTGAAATTATACAGGATGATATAGCAAGGATTATCAGTCTTGCCCAGATGAATGTACTCCCCAAGAGCAGGGTCCTTAACTGTCCTAATTCCCAGCACATAGGTGGGGCATAACTACTTGTGGAATGAATGAATGTTCCTGGGGCAGATGAATGGAGGGCACTGTGGTCAGGAAAGGCTTCACAGAGAGGTGGATTGGAGTAGGGCCTAAAGAAAATGAGGGGTTTACTAGGTGGACAGAGGGGAGGGAAGGACACTCCAGGCAGAGGGATCAGTATGAACAGAGACATGGAGGAGTGGAAGAGCCGGTGGCCAGACTTTTTTTTTTTTTTTTTGAGACAGTGTCTTGCTCTGTCACCCAGGCTGGAGTGCAGTGGTGTAATCTTGGCTCACTGCAACTTCCACCTCCCAGGTTCAAGCAGTTCTCCTGCCTCAGCCTCCTGAGTAGCTGAGACTATAGGCATGTGCCACCATGGCCAGGTAATTTTTGTATTTTTAGCAGAGATGGGGTTTCACCATGTTGGCCAGGATGGTCTCGAACTCCTGACCTCAGGTGATCCACCCGCCTTGGCCTTCCAAAGTGCTGGGATTACAGGCATGAGCCACCGTGCCTAGCCCCAAGTGGCCAGGTTTTATAGGAGTGTTGAGGACGTGTCTGGGAAGGAGTAGGGATCAGGAAAAGCAGCAAGGGCCTGGCCAGGTTCTTGTGTGCCTGCCTAGGTAAGGAACCAAGGGGTTTTTAGGAGGAGGGGAATTGAAGAGGTGTGGGGTCAGAGCAGAGAGGGCATCACAGAAGCTATCCGCCTAGCAATGGTCTGGGCAAGAGAGCCTGAAGGTCTGAAGCAGGCAAGGATGAGATCATTTGCGGGTATTTAGGAGAAAGAATCAGTAGAACTTGGGTGTAGAAAGTTCTACAAGCCAAGGTAACAGATAGTGCCACATCTGGGGGAGAAAGGGTGACATTCCAGGAGGGCAGGGGCAAAGCCTTGGGAAAGAGAAAGGAGTTCTGAGCTAAGCAACCAGCATGTGCATATAGGCTGAGGTGCAATGGGCCATGACCCTGTGGGGGCATGGCGGGCACTGTATGATCAAGGGGGACCTTGAAGGCCCTGTTCCATAATTCCCTCTATGTGGATGAATAACAGCTCATGGCCCTGGCCCCACCAGCTGGGAGGAGCCATGGGTTATGGGTAAGAAGGATCTACTGGGTGATAAGTTCTCCTGTGTGCCCCAAAGGGACTCTTCATTGGCTTGATGTCAGAGAGCAAGTTCTTCCTTGGGGAGTTGGGGCAGCTCCAGCTATTTCTGAGTGGTGAGGTCCAAGGATTAAAAGGCAAAGACACAAGAATGGACAGTGAGCTAATGGCATTTCACAGGACCATGGTCATTCCAAAGCCACATGAACAGTAGGATAAGAAATTAAGCTCATGAATGTCTGCTCTCAACCAGGTCCTATCCTAGTCCTCAAAGGCCTCTGCCATCTGCTCTTCCTGCTTGAGCTTGGAGGAAGGATGGCCAGAGCCCATGACGGGGGGCAGAGTTTTGTTTTGGGTTGTGTGTTTGATGGTTTTTCTTTTCCTTTTTTTTTTTTTTTGCTTTTATTTGAAAAATGGTGGGGTGTTTTTTGGTTTTTGGTTTTTGTGTGTGTGTGTGAGACAGAGTCTCACCCTGTCACCCAGGCTGGAAGGCAGTGAAACGATCTTGGCTCACTGCAGCCTCCACCTCCCGAGTTCAAGCAATTCTCCTGCCTCAGCCTCCCAAGTAGCTGGGACTACAGGCAACCACCACCATGCCTGGCTAATTTTTGGATTTTTAGTAGAGATGGGGTTTCACAATGTTGGCCAGGTTGTTCTCGAATTCCTGACCTCAGGTGATCCGCCTGCCTCAGCCTCCCAAAGTGCTGGGATTACGGGCTTCAGCCACCATGTCCAGCCAGCTTTTACTTGAAAAATGTTTTATTTGCATAAAGTAAAATTAACTTTTTGGTGTACACTGCATGCATTTTTCACAGATATAGACTTTTGTAACTATCACCTCAGGCAAGATACAGAACAATTCTAACACCCCAAAGATTTCTCTCACTCTGCCCCTTTGTATTCAGACCTTCCCCCATTCCTAAACTCTGGCAACTACTGATCTGTGTTCTGTTCTTATATTTTTGTCTTTTTCAGAATGTCATAAAAATGGAATCATATAGCATGTAACCTTTTGAGATTGGGTTTTTACTCAGTGTAATGCATTTGAGATTCAGGCATGTTGTTGCATATATCAGTAGTCCATTCTTTTTTATTCTTTTTTTTTTTTTGATGGAGTCTCACTCTGTCACCCAGGCTGGAGTGCAGTGGTGTGATCTCGGCTCACTGCAAGCTCTGCCACCTGGGTTCATGCCATTCTCCCACCTCAGCCTCCCAAGTAGCTGGGACTACAGGCGCCCACCACCACGCCCAGCTAATTTTTTGTATTTTTAGTAGAGACGGGGTTTCACCATGTTAGCCAGGATGGTCTCGATCTCCTGAGCTGGTGATCCACCCACCTTGGCCTCCCAAAGTGCTGGGATTACAGGTGTGAGCCATCACGCCCAGCCCCAAATCCATTCTTTTTCTTTACTAAGTGGTATTTTATTGTATAGACCTAACAGTTTGAAAGACATTTGGGTTGTGGCCAGTTTTTGACAAGTATGAGCAATGCTGGCATAAATATTTATATACAGGCTTTTATGTCAAATTAGTTTTCCTTTCTCTAGGATAAATACCTAAAAGTGGATTGTTGGGTCAAATAGTAGGTGAAGTTTTAACTTTTTAAGAAAATGCCTATTTTCTAGAAAGGCTATACCATTTTTCATATGAGAGGGCAGAATTTTGCCAGTCTTCCTTTCACTTATTCCTTCTCTTTCTTTCCTTCTTTCCTTTCTTCCTTTGTTTCTTCTTCCTTTCTTTTAAACTTACATTTTTATTGAAGTGTAACTCACATGCCCTCTGAAGTGCACTATCTTAAGTGTATAACTAGATGGACTTTAACATGTATATACATCAATGTAACCACCGCCCAAGACACAAAACATTTCCAGCACCTCGTCCCAGTTCATACTTCACAATCTTGCAAAGGATTGCCGTCCTGACTTGTACCACCATAGATTGGTGTTGCCTATTTAGAACTTCATGTAAATGGGATCACACAGTACGTGCTCTTACGTCTGGCCTCTCTTAACTCTACATTATGGGAAATTCATCCAGGCTGATGTGTGCTGCAGCATCTCATTCTTTTCTGTATTGCTGAGTTGTGTTGCATTGTATGAATATGCCTCAATATATTTATTCACCCTCCTGTGATGGACATTTGGGTTGAATCCAATTTTTGGCTATTAAGAATAAAGCTGCTGTGAACATTCTCTTCTGGATGTTTCAACATGTGGACACAGCTCTCATTTCTGTTGGGTATATTCCCAGGAGTAAAACTGCTGGGTATGTTTGGATACTGCCAAGCAGTTTACCAAGTGATTGGCCAATTTACAGTCCCAGCAGGCAATGGATAAGATACAGAGTTGCACTGCATCCCAACACTTGGTATTGTCAGTCCTTTTCATTTTGGCTATTCTGGGGGAAGTCTAATGGTTTCTCATTGCGGTTTTAATTTTTATTTTCATTTCTCAGATAACTAATGCTGTTGAGCATCTTTGTATATGTTTCTTGGCCAATTGAATGTCCTCTTTGGTGAGGAGCCTGTTTAAACCTGTAGTCTATTTTTTTTTTTTTTTTGAGACAGAGTCTCGCCCTGTTGCCCAGGCTGGAGTGCAATGGCACGATCTTGGCTCACTGCAACCTCCGCCTCCTGGGTTCAAAAGATTCTCCTGCCTCAGCCTCCCAAGTAGCTGGGATTACAGGCACCTGCCACCATGCCCAGCTAATTTTTGTATTTTTAGTAGAGGCGGGGTTTCACCATGTTGTCCAGGCTGACCCGGTGATCTACCTGCCTCGTCCTCCCAAAGTGCTGGGATTACAGGCATAAGCCACCATGCCTGGCCTAAACCTGTAGTGTATTTTTTGATTGGGTTATCTGTGTTGACCTTTCTCTTTTTCTTTTTTTCCCTCCTACTTCAGCCTCTGAGTACCTGGGACCACAGGCATGTGCCACCACGCCCAGCTAATTTTTTGAATTTTTAGTAGAGATGGGGTTTCATCATGTTGCCCAGGCTGGTCTCAAACTTCTGAGCTCAAGTGATCCTCCTGCCTCAGCCTCCCAAAGTGCTGGGATTACAGGTGTGAGCCACTGCGCCTGACTAGTATTGACCTTTCTTTGTAGAAGAACTGAGGCCATATGAAGCATCTAACCTTATCTGATGATCATTTCAGAAAGAAAATTAGCATTGGCCCAAGGGCAAAAGTTGCTTTTGGGGATGTGAATGAGGGCAAGGGATGGGAGACCAGTCCTCTCAGAAACCTTGCTTACAGGCCTAGAGTCATGCAGTATGGCCAAGGCAGTTCTGGGTAGTTGGCCCACCCACCTCAAAGGCCCTGACACCCCCTTTCCCATTCCTGGCCTTTTTCACAAGTCCCTTTGGTAAATATTGGGAGACTGGGGATCCTGGGAAGCAAACCTCACCTCCCCTTGCCCCTGGGCCTGTGACCATATCTGACTTTTTAGGTTATATCTCTATCCCTTGTCTTTTGGGATGTAGCCTAATTGTTTTTAGAAAATTTATAGGAGGAATATATTTACACAAAAGCTTAAAAGTCATAAGGTTATAGATTAATAAATCATCACAAAGTGAACACACCCATGTAACAGCCACCCAGGCCAAGAAATGTTAACATTACCAGCATCCCGGAAACCCTGACCTAACCCTCCCAATCTCTATCTTCTTAGTCTTTCTCAAAGGTAACTTCTACCCTGGCTTTTAAAAGCAACATAGATGACTTTTGCCTGTTTTTGAACTTTATATAAATGGCTATGTAAATGGGTTCATGCCGCTGTGTTTTTCTCCTATCTGACTTTTTCACTGAACATGATGTTTAGGAAAGCTGTGCACATAGTAGCATGTGTCTGTAGACCAAGTATCCTTCTTTTTTTTTGAGACAGAGTCTTGCTCTGTTGCCCAGGCTGGAGTGCAATGGTGTCATCTCGGCTCACTGCAACCTGTCTCCCAGGTCCAAGTGATTCTCCTGCTTCAGCCTCCCCCAGTAGCTGGGATTACAGGCATGGGCCACCACACCCAGCTAATTTTTTTGTATTTTTAGTAAAGACGAGGTTTCACCACGTTGGCCAGGCTGGTCTCGAACTCCTGACCTCAAATGATCTGCCCGCCTCAGCCTCCCAAAGTGCTGAGATTACAGGTGTGAGCCACTGCACTCAGCCCATTTATCCTTCTTGCTTAGAGTACTCCCTTGTGTAAATACACCACAGTGTTGTTATCCATCCCACTCTTGCTAGACATGTGGGTTGTTTTCAGTTTTGGTTGTTACCAAAAGTGCTATGATGAACCTTCTTATACATGTCTTTTAATGCACATGTGCACAAACTTTACTTATATACCTAGGCATGGAATTGCTGGCTGATAATGTATATGTGTGTCCTGTTTAGTGAATACTGCCAAAGATTTGTCCAGAGTAGCTGTACCACCTTACACTCTTGGCAGCAATGCATGACAGTTCCTGGTGCTCCTCTTGCTATTGTCAGTTTTCAAATTTTAGCCATTCTGGTGGGAATCATTGCTTTTAACCATTCCAGTTGTGACAACTAGTGGAAGGAGGGGCCAGAACTCCCACCCAGTTCAGCAGACATAAGGTTTCCTGAAGGTAAGGGTGGGGCTATTTGAAGAGCCAGCTTCTTGGTCCACTTCTCCTTGATCTTCTCCTTGCCATCCAGAAGTCGTGAGATGTTCAACTTCACTTAGGTTAAATATCATTTAGTAATTCCACTTGCCAATCAGCAGGGTCCTTGAAATTCCAATTTAATTTAGAAATTAAGCACAAGCACAAGCAATATGGCTAAATAGGTTGGAGTCAGGAGTTGGCAGGCTCTCTTGAGCCTTTTAAAGTCAGAGACAATACATAATTCATATTTAAATGGGCCTAACACAGTGACTGGGACATAATAGATGCTCAGTGTTAGTTTTCATTTCATTAGTAAAAATCACATCTTAGATTATCCTGGAAGGGAAATGATAGTTGCTTGAAATAACTGTAGCACTGGTCTTACAAATGTCACTAAGTAGAGCTGTCCTGAGGACATGCCCCTCAGACACTCATCTAGGGGCCCTCCTCCCTTTCTAGCTTCAGGAACAAGGATCAGCAAAGGCTATGGAGAGGGAGATGGTGCTGCCTGTGGATTCTGGTTGGAAGGCTCGGGGCATATGTGTGGTCATGTATGTGCATCTGTGTTTCTGTGCACACTCACACACATACACACACCCTATTTAGGGTGGGGGGGAATCAGGCCATCTGCTCCCCTTCACTACCCCAAAAGCTTTTCCTTCACCATTTCAGCGTTGCACATTGTCTCTTGAGATAGTTTTCCTTTTCTGTCCCTGAAAAGTGTAGCAGCAGGGCAAAGTGTATTTTTAGTAGAGACAGGATTTCACCATGTTCCAATTCCAGCGCTGCCAAAGCATAGCTATGTGAACCTGGCCAAGTTATTAAATCTCTCTTAGCCTCTGTTTCCTCTTCTGCAAAATGGTCTAATGCTAGTGGTCATTACACTGTTCTGAGGGCTAATGGAGTAGGGCACGTGACTAAAGTCAGCCACTGTTGCGGTGCTTATTGTTATAGTGGCTCCCCTGGTTCAGGCTTTGCCTGTTGCGAGTTGCTGGCCAGAGAGGGGAGTGTTGGAGTGAACCATCCTCTCTTAGAGGTGGATGCTCTGTGCATCCTGTTTCAGAAATTCTGGGCATGTTCATTTGTTTAGCAAGAATATAGCATTCCTTTTTGGCTGGGCGCAGTGGCTCACGCCTGTAATCCCAGCACTTTGGGAGGCTGAGGTGAGTGAATCATTTGGGGTCAGAAGTTTGAGACCAGCATGGCCAACATAGTGAAACTCTGTCTCTACTAAAAATACAAAAAGGCCTATAATCCCAGCTAGCTGGGAGGCTGAGGTGGGAGAATCTCTTGATTCCGGGAGGTAGAGGTTGCAGTGAGCCGAGATTGCACCACTGCACTCCAGCCTGGGTGACAGAGTGAGACTCCAACTCAAAAAAAAAAAAAAAAAAAAAAAAAAAAAAAAAAAATATATATATATATATATATATATATATATATATATATATATATATATATATATTATATTCCCCCCATTGGAATATAAGCTGTATGAGGTTAGGAATTTTGCCTATCTTACTTACTGCTATATTCCCAATGCCTAGAACAGTGCTAGATACATATTGGGGGTTCAATAAATGTTTGTTAAATGAATGACTATTGATTGAAAGGCACCAGTCTGTTACTGCTTATAGAGTGGAAGTCAGTAGCCCTGGATGGGAGTGGAAGGAACATAGCTGGGAGCTAGATGATCAAGTAATAAGGTCCAGGGAGCAAAAGAGGACAAGAGACCTCTGGATGCAGCATTCTCTGGAAGACAGGATGGGGTAGCTGGCAAAGAAGACCTCATGGGGACATCTGCTAGGTCCCAGGCAGATGAAATCTCCAACGTGTAGTTCACACCTAGTGACCAATCATCCTTCTAGCCCCAGGGTCTTTCCTCACTGCTAAAAACAGCGACCCAAACAACAGGAGCCTCTCTTGGCTCTGCCTATTTTGCTGAAGTCTGCTTTGCCCACCTAAAATCAAGCCCTAACCAACCAGAGTCTAGATGCAATTAAACTTCCTCTTAATGGAAAGATGAGGAGGATCTCTTTCTCCAAGGTCTGGATTTACAGAAAGGAGAAAATGTACAAAATCCTGTTAATGATGAAGACTTCATGGAGGGCACCAGATGTGAGCTGTGGTTGACTTCCCACAGAAAACAATCAAGCAAAAATTTCCCTCATTACTGAAGCTTCAATTTCCCTAAAGTTTGGGAGAACAAGGGAGTTATTAAATGCTATATTAACACAGTAGCCTGGATAGTAATGATAACATGGATACGAGTGAGCTCAATTATTTGTTCTAGCTTGGAGGCAAAGCAAAAATCAACACCATTCCAAGTGCATTCATCTCATTCATTGATTTTTCAAACATTGACTCGGCACCTCCTTTGCATTAGACACTGTGCTAGGGACCTGGCATAGAGAAATGAATAAGACTGAACACAAGGTCATCGGTATGTGAGTTTTACCACTCTGAGTCAGGGATGTGCCATCAAAGAATTCCATCCACCCCCTTTTCTTTTCTTTTTTTTTGAGACAGAATCTCGTTCTGTCACCCAGGTTGGTGTGCAATGGCGCGATCTCAGCTTACTCAGCTCACTGCAACCTCCACCTCCCAGGTTCAAGAGATTCTCGTTCCTCAGCCTCCCTAGTAGCTGGGATTACTGGCGTGCACCAATACGCCCAGCTAATTTTTGTATTTTTAGTACAGACGGGGTTTTGCCATCTTGGCCAGGCTGGTCTTGAATTCCTGACCTCAGGTGATCTGCGTGCCTCAGCCTCCCAAAGTGCTGGGATTACAGGTGTGAGCCACCACACCCAGCCTACTTCACCTTTCTTACTGTCAGCCTCAGAAATTTTCATCTTGCCATGATGTGGCTGTATTCCCTTGATGCTGTGGCTCTCCTGACTCTGAAACCCACCTTGATTTTCTGATTCTGTTTAGAGCTCCAACCTCTGGTCCTGCTTCTTATTTATTTATTTATTTTTTTGAGACAGAGTCTTGCTCTGTTGTCCAGGCTGGAATGCAGTGGCACAATCTCAGCTCACTGCAACTTCTGCCTCCGGGGCTCAAGCAATTCTCCTGTCTCAGCCTCCTAAATAACTGGGATTACAGGTGCCCGCCACCACGCCCAGCTAATTTTTGTATTTTTAGTAGAGATCGGGTTTTGCCATGTTGGCCAGGCTGGTCTTGAACTCCTGACCGCAGGTGATTCATCTGCTTCGGCCTCCCAAAGTGCTGGGATTATAGGTGTGAGCCACCGTGCCCGGCCTGGTCCTGCTTCTGAGGATAACAAGACCTGGAAGCTTGTTGGGGGAAACAGGTGAGTCTCTCTTTTGGTTTTCTCAAGCGTATCTCTCACTTACATGAAAGGGGCTTCTCTGGTGAACAGCCTTGGTGAGTGAACACACTATGTCTCCTTTGAGCTTGCTCTTCCCACTTTATTTCTCATGCCTGTCAATGTTTATCCCTATTCATCCCATTGTTCAGGCCAGAAAACCCAGGCCTTTTTCCCTGTCGCCTGCTGCTGGTGGTCACCCAGAGACCTCAGAACATTAAAGCAGTACTGGGTCTGAGCAGATGTGTATGGGCAGTGGAGCCAAGAAGGGCTCATTCTCGAATCCTGGGGTTCCTGGGGTTGCCTCAGACTGTCATTAGACTGACACCCCAGGTCTTACAAAGTCAGCTCTTTAGCCTCCAGCTCTGAGTTACCCCTTTGGTCCCACTGGGGTGGGGCCTAGATATCTCACCATCTCGCCCACTGCCCTGTTCTCTCCCCTTTCTTTTGGGGTATCCCTGCACAAAACAAACAACACCCCACCCCCCGCAAAACCCACTTCTGCCTCATTCATTTGGCCAATATACACAGGCTTCCATTCATATAATCTCATGCAAGTAACTACTTTGGAGAAGTAGTCTCCAGCGTTGCAGGCAAAGCTGAAGCTTAGACAGTGAACCAATATTTGGTGATTGAATGAATGACTCTCTGTTTTCAACACCTTTGGATCACATACCCATTCACCCTTCTTCCTTATACATGGCAGAGTTCCAGTGTCTACATTTGCTTTCTTCTTAACGATTTAAATGGATTCTCTCATGTGACACAGAATCTTCCTTGGGACACAGTGACCTTTACAGAGGATTCCAGGAGCAGATGCAGCACAGCTCTACATAAGGTGGAACAATATGCGTTGTTTCATTTCGACATACATTTTCAATGATTTGCTTCTTTTCTGCCAACTAACATAACCTGGCAGGATTTTCATTCAATCATTCAACAAAAATATGTTGAGAATTTACTCTGTGCCAACCACTGTGCTAGGGGCTGGTGTAGAAAAATGAACAAAACACAGTACAATCTCAGCCCTTGAAAAACTATACACTCATGAGGCAGTACGATACGTGCTGTAGGGTGGGGGCAGACAGGACAGTCGCCTAAGGGGGTACATGGGAGAGGCACTTATCTCAGGCTTCATTTTTTTAAGCTTTTTATTCTGGCTAGGTATGGTGGCTCACACCTGTAATCCCAGTACTTTGAGAGGCCAAGGTGGGAGGACTGCCTGAGCCCAGGAGCTCATGAGCAACTTGGGCAACACAGCAAGACCCTATGTCTATTAAAAATTTTTTTAAAGCTTTTTATTTTGAAAACTTCCAAACAAACACAAATATTGAGAGGATAGTACAATGAGCTCTCACATATTCATCACCCAGCTTCAACAACAATCAAAATGATCGACATTTTGCCATTTTTGTTTCATGTACCTGTTCCCATATTTTTTCTTGAGTATTTTAAGACAAATCCCACCTATCATTATCATTTCATCCATTTCTTTTTCCTTTTTTTTTTCTGAGAGGGTCTCACTGTGTCACCCAGTCTGTAGTACAGTGGAGCAATCACAGCTCACTGTAGCCTTGATCTCCCCAGCTCTGGTGATCCTCTCACCTCAGCCTCCAGAGTAGCCGGGACTACAGGCACGCACCACTACACCCAGCTAATTTTTGTATTTTTTGTAGAGACAGGGTCTCACTATGTTGCCCAAGCTGGTCTCAAACTCCTGGTCTCAAGTGATCCTTGGCCTCCCAAGGTGCTGGGATTACAGGTGTGAACCACTGTGCCTGGCCCGTTTCACCCATTTCTTTCTTTCTTTCTTTCTTTTTTTTTTTTTTTTGAGACAGAGTGTCGCCCTGTCACTCAGGCTGGAGTACAGTGATGCGATCTCTGCTCACTGCAACCTCTGCCTCTCAAGTTTAAGCGATTCTTGTGCCTTAGCCTCCCAAGTAGTTGGGATTACAGGTGTGCATCACCATGCCTGGCTAATTTTTGTATTTTTAGTAGAGATGGGGTTTTGCCATGTTGCCCAGGCTGGATTCAAACTCCTGACCTCAGCTGATTTGCCTGCCTTGGCCTCCCAAAGTGCTGGGATTATTTGCATCTCTAACAGATAAGACATGACCTAATCATTCTCAAAGGGGTTAAGAGTACTTCCGGGAGGCAGCAGCACCTAAGCTGAGGCCTGGAGAGGAAGTAGCCTTACCACCCGGGTGAAAGATACAGGAGGGGGCCTTGGGGAGGAAGGAGAAAAGTTTCAGATCAAAGGAAGTTTGGTGGCGGTCAAAGGTGAGGGGAACATGGTGTGTTTAGCACCTCTTTACTCACCTGTGGTCTGTGGACCTGGAAGATTCATACTACCTGGGAGCTTCTTAGAGCTTCAGAACCTGGACCCCCAAACCAGGCTTGGTGAATTGGAATCTGTATTTTATCAAAATCCCCTGGTGATTTGTTTACAAATCAAGGTCCTCCACATCTGAGAGGCTGGCTGTTTAGGGAACTGCCTATAATCTCAGCATTTTGGGAGGCCAAGGCATGGAACCAAGGCTGAAGTTCCATGTCACAGGAGGGAAGAATGGCGAGTGATGTGGCGAGAGCAAGGGGTGAGGTTAGGGAGGTCTGTGAAGCCAAGACACACATACCATTTTTATCCTGAGACCAGAGAAGAGTTGCTCAGTTTTGAGCAGTGGGATGCAATTTGCCTTGAGGCGATGGCTCTGCTACAGCGGGGAGAGTGGATTGAGCTGGGGGAGAAGGAAACAAGTTAGGTTTTAGTTCCTTTAGAAGCTGCAGGTTGCACTTTGGAGCCCAGCGGCCATGGTGTATTTTTATCATGTTCAAACCCCAGCTTGGCTTTTCACACACTGAGTGGCTGTGACTTAAGACACAGCTATTTAACTTTTCTGAGCCTCTCCTTCCTCATTTGTCCTAGGCATGGCACCTTCTTTTTATGAGACCTCAATCACAGCGTCAACAAAAAAACGAATGTCCAGAATGGAATCTGATTTTGATGTGTTAGGAATTCAGATGGAATCAGAAATGCTACAACTGGCTGGCTCTATACCGACTCCTAGCCCAGATGGCAGAACTCAGGCCCCTTTCCTTCTACACAGCTGTGTGGTCAGAGAAAGAGCCCAGAACTGGGGCTTAGGAATCCAGCTTCTAGAAAATTCAGCTCAGTGCTCCACCTAACCTGAAATCTCCGCAGAAAAGCAGCTCCACTCTCCAGCCCTCCATGCACATTCCATACCTGCCTGCCTGCCTGCCCCTGCTTAGGCTGTCTCCTGCACCTGAAGTGCACGTGTGCATGCGCGTGTTTACTCCACATTATGTTTGGGACACTGTGCTCAGTGCTTTGGGTGAGTGAGAAACACTCTCTTCTTACCCCATCAAAATCCATCCTACCCTTTGAGCTCATTTCCTACACGCCTTACCCATCTGAACTCAAATGGCCTGTGAAGTCATACCCCAGAGTTGAGAGCACCTGGTGGGGACATTTCGCCAGGGGAGAACGAGTCAGCAGGCCCTGATAGGGCCAGGTCCTCTCCCCAGGGTCTTGTGAAGTGAGCAGGGACAGAGCAAGGTCGGTCAGGGAGGGCCTGCAGGGGTCGTTTGGCCAAAGGACCGTGCCGGGGCCTTTCCTCTCTCCCCGTGCTGCACCTCCAAACATGACCACACGGGGTCAGTGTCCTTTCATGCTTGAGTTGGTGACCCCAGGGCTCTCTCTGCAGGGTCTTTCTGCCGAGTTGTAGCTAATTGTACAAAAACTTCCCCGAGGCTGGGAGCAAAGTAATCTTTTACGCCAGAATGACCCAAGGTCAGGGTGAAGAAGAAGAGCAGCAGATTGTTTTCACAGTCATGTTGTTTCACTGAGAGGGGCCCCTGGAGCCCTGCATGGATGCCCTACACAGGCCGGCTCAGAGCTCTCTGGCTCATTAGTAAGCACTCATTCGGGCAGACGGCTGGGGAGGCGGGAAGGCCAGCCACAACAGGGAAGACGTCTGAATTCCGCACACTTAAATCCCTCTGGAACATTCAGGGGTCCCAATCCACAGCAGACTATTCCTGCTGGTCCTGTTTTTTGTTTTTGTTTTTGTTTTTGTTTTGGAGATGGGGTATTGCTCTGTCACCCAGGCTGGAGTGCAGTGGGATGATCACAGCTCACTGCAGCCTCGGCTTCCCAGGCTCAAGCAGGCCTCAGCCTCCCGAGTAGCTGGGACTGTAGGCATGCGCCACCATGCCTGGGTTTTTAAAAATTATTTTTTGAGATAGGGTCTTGCTCTGTCGCCCAGGCTGAAGTGCAGTGGCACCTTCTTGGCTCACTGCAAACTCCGCCTCCCAGGTTCAAGCGATTCTCTTGCCTCAGCCTCTCGGGTATCTGGGATTACAGGCATGTGCCACCACGTCCTGCTAATTTTTGTATTTTTAGTAGATATGGGGCTTCACCATGGTGGCCAGACTGGTCACAAACTCCTGACCTCAAGTGATCCTCCCACCTCGGCCTCCCAAAGTGCTGGGATCACAGGAGTGAGCCACCGCGCCTGGCCCCATGCCTGGCTTTTAAAAAGTTTTTCTAGAGGCGAGGTTTCCCTATGTTGCCCAGGCTGGTCTTGAACTCCTGGGCTCAAGCAATTCTCCTGCCTTGGCCTCCCAAAATGCTGAGATTATAGGCATAAGCCACTGTGTCTGGCCACCAGTCCTGTTTTTAAAGTCTACAGCAGACTCAGCCTCAAGTACTGCTGCTGGTGGTTGAGACCTCAGCCCAGGCCACAAGGGCCAGGGGCTCACCCTTCACAGGAGGGTGGTGGGTACTGACACAATGGCCAACCACCCTGCCAGGCAGGACTTTGCTGGGGGAAAAGTCCCCAGAGGTCTAATCCAGCAAATGCATGTCTCACTGGCTCACCCACCCTCCTGCTCCCCAGAGAAGCAAAGAGTTCCTCAGCCTTATGTTGTTGATGGCTCTCAGGGCCTGAGATGAGGGCTGGGATGCGGACTTTGGAGAATGGGCTAGGGACCCTAGAGGCTGCTGAGGGCCAAGAATGGCTGTTGGTATAAATCCCTGGGCCCCACACCACAGTCCAGGCACAGATCAAGTTTTGTGAAGTCTGAAGCTTATATAATTTGGAGATCTCTTCAAGAAAAATAACACAAAATAAAAAAATACAAAGTTGAATATAAAAGTAAATATTTAGAATGAGAAAATAGATGACATCAAGTTATAAATTTTTAAAGGCTGACAAATACCACAAACATCACAAAATCCAGAAAATTCACGTTTTTATTAACTGATACACTTCTATAATATTTTTCCATGTGCTTCTGTCTGCCTACTCTTTGATGACCGCTTCAAATGCCAACAATTTTGTAGTGCCATTTTCTATAGAAATAATAGAAAGATAATTTAGTGTTTTTTCCAGCATAGTTGATCAAAAATTTCTGTAATATTGCTATAGGTTTATGGTTAACTCAAGAATTTCATACATTCTATTTTTTCAATCCCAACAAATAAATAAATGTACAGTGCGTTTATAATTGTATTCGCAGCAGTATTAAGAATAGTCACGACAGGTCAGGCATGGTGGCTCACACCTGTAATCCCAGCACTTTGGGAGGCCGAGGCGGGTGGATCACCTGAGGTCAGGAGTTCAAGACCAGCCTGACCAACATGGAAAAACCCCGTCTCTACTAAAAATACAAAAAATTATCCAGGCGTGGTAGTGCATGCCTGTAATCCCAGCTACTCAGGAGGCTGAGGCAGGAGAATCGCTTGAACCCAGGAGGCAGAGGTTGCATTGAGCTGAGATTGCACCGTTGCACTCCAGCCTGGGCAACAACAGCGAAACTCCATCTCAGAAAAAAAAAAAAAGGAAGAAAGAAAGAAAGAAAAAAAGGCCGGGCACGGTGGCTCACGCCTGTAATCCCAGCATTTTGGGAGGCCAAGGAGGGCAGATCACGAGGTCAAGAGATCAAGACCATCCTGGCCAACATGGTGAAACTCCGTCTCTACTAAAAATACAAAAATTAGCTGGGCATGGTGGCGGGCGCTTGTAGTCCTAGCTACTCAGGAGGCTGAGGCAGTATAACTGCTTGAACTCAAGAGGCAGAGGTTGCAGTGAGCCGAGATTGCATCACTGCACTCCAGCCTGGCAGCAGAGGGAGACTCCATCTCAAAAAAGAAAAAAAAAAATAGTCACAGCAAGGGGGAATATCCTGGAAGAAGAAAATGTTGACTAGACATCAGTGAAAAGCGAACCCTGCCTTTTACATTTACCATAGCTGAAAGAATTTTCTACAAACTAGCTTCTGACTCCATATGTTTTCAACATTCTTTCTGTTCCACTTCCCACCTACTTCCGGTGCCAGGTATTGAAAGTCACATTTATATTTGGATAGGACCTTTGGTATTAAGTCAATACAGTAGACAATGGAGATGCCCCTAGAAGCCATTCCTTGACTGAGGGAGGGGCTGCTAGAAACTATACTTGAAAGTGACTGCAAATCACATAAGTGAACATACTCTCAACTCAATTTCTCCTTAGATAGAGATTAAAAATGCCCACAGCCACTCCAAATACCACCCAACAAGAAAGGAAGTGTGACTGAGGGATGTCAGGGAGGGAAAAGACTGTAGTCTTAATTCTTAATTTTTTTTTTTTTTTTTTTGAGACGAGTCTTGCTCTGTCATCCAGGCTTGAGTACAGTGGCTTGATCTCAGCTCATTGCAACCTCTGCCTTCCATGTTCAAGCAATTCTCCTGCCTCAGCCTCCCAAGTAGCTGGGATTACAGGTGCCCACCACCACCCCCAGCTAATTTTTGTAGTTTTAGTAGAGACAGCGTTTCACCATGTTGGCCAGGCTGGTCTCGAACTCCTGACCTCAGGTGATCCGCCCGCCTCGGCCTCCCAAAGTGCTGGGATTACTTACAGGTGTGAGCCACCATGCCCAGCCTGTAGTCTTAATTTTTTATTTTTATTTTTTTAGAGACGGAAGGCTCACTAGGTTGTCCAGGCTGATCTTGAACTCGTGGCCTCAGGTGATCCCCCAGCCTTAGCCTTCTGAGTAGGTGGCACTACAGGCAAGTGCTACCACACATGGCTGTAGTCTTGATTGTTGTTAATATATCTCACTTTTCCAAATTTTGCAAATTTTAAACCAATTTCTAGGGGCCTCACCCAGGAACTTGGAAGGGTCCTTGCAAGCGAGGGGTGCTGAGGCTGAAGCTTCATTAGTTTCATGCTAAATCCGCCCCCGCCTGGGACCCATCACTCTTCCCTCCCTTTTTCCCTTCCCCCTTCCTGCAGAAATTGCCTGCTTTCTTTGATCTCTGCTTCCCAACTCTTGTTGCTTCTGGTGGAGGAATTTCTTCCCTTTCCAGACAGAAGGCAGAACAGGTCTCAGTCCGAAGCCTCTCTGGGGCTCTACCCTCCCTTCCAGTAAACATACGGTCTGTCTAAGCTTTCTGCTGATTTGACAGCTAGGACAGCAGAAAGGGAATAGAATGGATTCTTCTAATGTGCCTTTACCTTCTTCTTTCTACTTGGGTGCCACAGAGTGACAAAGTCACACATAGATGTAAATGATGCACTGTTAACTGTGACCAAAGGGCTGATGTGAGTCCTAATATTTCAGAGGAAAACAGATCTGAGATGTCCTGGGAAATAATAAAGGGTTACATCACATCGTGCCTGGGCTGTGGGTGTGTGAGGGCCAGGGCTCTTCTAACAGGCAGCAACCAGGGCCTAACCCATTGCTTTCACTACCCCCATGCACGTTCTCATTTATGATATTATTTCGTTTAACAAGATTCTTCCTTTAGCAATCAGGCAAAGATCATGGCCTAGTGTTTTCATGCAGGGATTTCTTCTGGGCATTTTTTTTTGGGAAATCATATATTTTTTTCAAATCCCAAAACCTGAGAAAAATGAATTTGATAAAACAGGCAAAAGTATGATAGTTCTATGAGCACTGAAGCTTAATCAACATAGGGAAATTTCCGATTTGAAGGACTCCATTGACTTCAAGTCAAAATTTGGAGCAGGAAAATGCTGACAACTCCAAATTGAAGGTTAAGGTGGACATTGTTGGGAATGGGCACAGGAATGCATAGGAGAGACGTGGTCATCACATAATCTCGCTTGTGTATAGCTGTTGCAATATTATGAGGGCATGTTTGTGGCTCTACTTGGTTCTATGAGTTATTGTTGCAAATAAAATAATATTAATAGGTTTATGTATTTTTTATACACACTTTTAACAAATCCTATGAGTGGAGTTCCAAGAAATAACAAGTTTTGAAAACAAATATAATTTCCTAAATTGGCAATTTCAAAGCATGATTCTGTGTAGTTCTGTTCACTTTGCTAGAAGATTTGAACATTGCATTATTCAATACAGGCATACCTTGTATTATGGCACTTTGCAGAAATATCGCATTGGTTTCAAATTGAGGGTTTGTGGTAAACCTGCATTGAGCAAATCTATTGGTGCCATGTGCTCACTTTGTGTCTCTGTGTGACATTTTGGTAATTCTTGCAATATTTCTAACTTTTTTATTATTGTTTTATCTGTTATGGTGATCTGTGATCAGTTATTTTTGATGTTATCAGTGTGATTTTTTGTTGTTAGTTTTGCTTGTTTGTTTTTTTAGAGACAGCCTTGTTATATTGCCCAGGCTGACCTTGAACTCCTGAGCTCAAGCAATCCTCCTGCCTCAGCTTCTCAAGTAGCTGGGACTATAGGCATGCATCACAGTGCCTGGCTTTAGTATAATAGTTTTGAAGCTCCACAAACTGCATCCATACAAGATGGTGAACTTAATTGATAAATGTTGTATGTGTTCTGACTGCTCCACCCACCAGTCATTTCCCCATCTCTCTCTCTCTGTCCCTTCCTCCTCCCTCCTTGGGCCTATTCCCCAAGACACAGCAATACTGAAATTAGGCCAGTTAATAACCTTACAATGACCTCAAAGTGTATGAGTGGAAGGAAGAGTCATACATCTCTTACTTTAAATCAAAAGCTAGGAATGATTAAGCATAGTGAGGAAGGCAGGTCAAAAGCTGAGATCGGCTGAAACTTAGGCCTCTTGTGTCAGACAGGTAGCCAAGTTGTAAATGCAAAGGAACAGTTCTTAACAGAAATTAAAAGTGCTATTCCAGTGACCATACAAATGATTAAAAAGCAAAACAGCCCTATTGCCGATATGGAGAAAGTTTGACTGGTCTGCACAGAAGATCAAACTAGCCACAACATTCCCTTAACCCAAAGCCTAACGCAGAGCAAGACTCTAACTGTCTTCAATTCTATGAAGGCTGAGAGAGGTGAGGAAGCTGCAGAACAGTACTTGGAAGCTAGCAGAGATTTGTTCATGAGGTAAATCCATCTCCATCACATAAAAATTCAAGGTGAAGCAGCAGGTGCTGATTTAGAAGTTGCAGCATGTTATCCAGAGAAGATCCAGCTAAGATCACTGATGAAAGTGGCTACACCAAAAACATTTGCAATGTAGGTTAAATAGCCTGTTTCTAGAAAAAGATGCCATCTGGGACTTTTATAGCTAGATAAGTCAATGCCTGGCTTCAAAGCTTCAAAGGACAGGCTGACTCTCTTCTTTAGGGCTAATGCCCCTGATGACTTAAAGTTGAAGCCAAGGCTCATTTGCCTTTCTGAAAATCCTAGTGCTGGCTGGGCGCAGTGGCTCACGCCTGTAATCCCAGCACTTTGGGAGGCCAAGGTGGGTGGATCATGAGGTCAGGAGATCAAGACCATCCTGGCTAACACGGTGAAACCCCATCTCTACTAAAAATACAAAAAAATTAGCTAGGCGTGGTGGTGGGCGCCTGTAGTCTCAGCTACTTGGGAGGCTGAGGCAGAAGAATGGTGTGAACCCAGGAGGCAGAGCTTTCAGTGAGCCAAGATTGCACCACTGCACTCCAGCCTGGGTGACAGAGTGAGACTCCATCTCAAAAAAAAAAAATAATAAAGAAAAAGAAAAAGAAAAAGAAAATCCTAGTGCCTTTGAGGGTTGCTAAATCTACTCTGTTTGTGCTCTATAAATGGAATAGTTGGAGCCCATCTGTTTACAGCATGGTGTACTGAATATTTTAAGCCCACTGTTGAGACCTACTGCTCAGAAAAAGATTCCTTTCAAAATATTACTGCCCACTGACAATGCACTTAAGAGCTCTGATGGAGATGTACAAGGAGTAATGTTGCTTTCATACTCTGCAGCCTATAGATCAAGGAGTAATTTCAACTTTTAAGTCTGATTATTTAAAAAATACATTTTATAAGCCCATAGCTTTTGCAAGGCCATAGTAAGGCCTTTTGTAAGGTCATAGTCCCAGATAGTAATTCCTCTGATGGATCTGGACAAAGTAAACTGAAAACCTTCTGGAAAAGATCAACCATTTTAAGATGCTGTTAATAACATTTGCAGGACAGGCATGGTGGGTCACCCCTGCAATCCCAGCACTTTGGGAGGCTGAGGCAGGAGGATCACTTGACTCCAGGAGTTTGAGACTGGCCTGGGCAACACAGCAAGACTCTGTCTCTATAAAAAATTTAAAAATTAGCTGGGCATCATGGTGAGCACCTGTAGTCCTAGTTACTCAGGAGGTCGAGGCAGGAAGATTGCTTGAGCCCAGGAGTTTGAGGCTGCAGTGTGCTATGATCACACCATTGCACTCCAGCCTGGGCAACAGAATGAGACCTTGTCTCAAAAAAGAAAAAACATGTCAACTTCTAAGAACAAAGATAAGTGATGCCAACAACCCTTTCGAAGACAAAATGGAGTAAGTAGAAGGGGCCTGTGAGAAGCAAGGAAGCGGAGGCAGGTGCCATCTCCCTCAGAAGGCAGAGGAGAGGGCAGGAAGGCGTGAAGTCTGTATAACGTACACTCAGAGCCCACCTCTCCTCCCCTCACCCCTTGTGGGACACAGGAAGTTCATTCTCTGGAGAAACAGGACAGACAGACCTGGATTCCAGGGAACTAAGCCCAGCAGAGGGAGGAGAAAAGCATGCATTGAAATCAAGGAAATAGAGTGAAATTCCCGTCCTGTGTCCTGAGTCCCTAGGGACCCTCTTTCACCCAGTTCTGAGCAGCCCAGCTGCTACTTTCCAGTGGGAGATCAGAGGATTCTCTGGAAAAACTGGCCAGCCCAGGAGAAAAGACCTATAGCTACTAAAACTGGATTCTCCCAACGAAATAGGTAGGTCTCGGCCTGGCCACTCTGTAGAGAAGCCCAACAGCCCTTGTGCCTTGTCCCCATGCTTAGAGCAGCCCCACTCAACCACCCAGATAGCCTGGGGTCACCAGAGGAGGAGAAAGCCATTGGTAAGAAAACAACAAACTTTCTGTGTTCAGATTTTAGGGAAAATGTTCAGAAATCACTTTATTTAAAACAACCACCCCTCTGCTGCAGCAGTAGGAGAATATGTAGAATTATTCTTATGTGAGAGGGCCATGCGCTGAGTTTTGAAAACCATGTTTTTTATGAAAGGTTCACATCACTTTGAATCATTAATCTTTTATTTCCCTGTAGATTTATGATTATTGTAATTATTTAAACAAAATTTCACAAATTTGGTGACTAGTTCAAGAATAGGAGTGTTCAGGCTGGGTGCAGTGGCTCACACCTGTAATTTCAGCACTTTGGGAGGCCAAGGCAGGTGGATCACCTAAGTTCAGGAGTTTGAGACTAGACTGGCCAACATGGCAAAACCCTGTCTCTACTAAAAATACAAAAATTAGCCGGGCGTGGTGGTGGGTACCTGTAATCCCAGCTGCTCTCTGGAGGCTGAGGCAGGAGAATCGCTTGAGCCTGGGAGGTGGAGGTTGCAGTGAGCCGAGACTGCGCCATTGCACTCCAGCCTGGGTGACAAGAGTAAGACTCCGTCTCAAAAACAAATAAACAAACAAAAAAAAACAAAGAATAATAAGAGCCCATCTGTTTACAGCATGGTGTACTGAATATTTTAAGCAAACTGTTGAGACCTACTGCTCAGAAAAAGATTCCTTTCAAAATATTACTGCCCACTGACAATGCACTTAAGAGCTCTGATGGAGATGTACAAGGAGTACTCACTTTTACCAGTGAGTTTACAATGTGTTTCTTATATTAAAAACAAATTTTAATTCAAAAGAAGTTTCTTACTATTCTTTGGGTGTCAGGTGATCCAAAGAACAGAAAATACAATGCATAGCAAAATGCAGTCTGATTTGGAATTTAAAATTCTACACTAATGAATTTACCCAGCAAAGCACTTTACTGAAAAGAAAACCTCTATTTTTTTTCTTAAAGAGGAGCATGTATTTATATTATACTTTTTTTTTTTTTTGAGACAGGGTCTCACTCTGTTACCCAGGCTAGAGTGCAGTGGTGTGATCATAGCTCACTGCAGCCTTGAACTCCTGAGCTCAAGTGATTCTCCCATGTCTACCTCTTGAATACCTGGAACTACAGGTATGCATCGTCATGCCCAGCTAATTTTTTTATTTTTAGAAGACACAGGCTCTTGCTATGTTGCCCAGGCTGGTCTTGAACTGACTTCAAGTGATCCTCCCGCCTCAGCCTCCCAAAGTGCTGGGATTATAGGCATGAGCCACCAGGCCCAGCCAGGGAGGTTTATTTATGTGTAGTTTTTGTTTTGTTTTGTTTGGCTTATGTATTTTTTTTATCCATACCAGACAGCCTCCAATGTTCAAGAGAGGGCCCAAAGCAAATGCACAAATAAACAGAACTGCAAAGGAGTTCAGGAAACAAAGATGATGTAAGGTACAGTAAGAAACTTTAAAACAGTTGTCATCATCCTCTGAAAGATAAGATCCATCAAATAAAAAGGATGCTTTTTTTTTTTTTTTTTAAATAGGAACACCCAGAGAACAAGAAGTAGCTCTTGGAAATGAAAAATATGATAGTCACAATAAACTTAGTGAGAGAGTTGGAATATAAAATTCATGGAACTTGAGCATGAGCGACACAGAAGATGGGTGATTTCTGCATTTCCATCTGAGGTACCAGGTTCATCTCACTAGGGAGTGCCAGACAGTGGGTGCAGGTCAGTGGGTGCACGCACTGTGCACAAGCCGAAGCAGGGCGAGGCATTGCCTCACTCAGGAAGTGCAAGGGGTCAGGGAGTTCTCTTTCCTAGTCAAAGAAAGGGGTGACAGATGGCACCTGGAAAATCGGGTCACTCCCACCCAAAGACTGCACTTTTCCGATGGGCTTAAAAAACGGCGCACCAGGAGATTATATCCCGCACATGGCTCGGAGGGTCCTATGCCCACGGAGTCTCGCTGATTGCTAGCACAGCAGTCTGAGATCAAACTGCAAGTTGGCAGCGAGGCTGGCGGAGGGGTGCCCGCCATTGCCCAGGCTTGCTTAGGTAAACAAAGCAGCTGGGAAGCTCGAACTGGTTGGAGCCCACCACAGCTCAAGGAGGCCTGCCTGCCTCTGTAGGCTCCACCTCTGGGGGCAGGACACAGACAAACAAAAAGACAGCAGTAATCTCTGCAGACTTAAATGTCCCTGTCTGACAGCTTTGAAGAGAGCAGTGGTTCTCCCAGCACGCAGCTGGAGATCTGAGAATGGGCAGACTGCCTCCTCAAGTGGGTCCCTGACCCCTGACCCCCGAGCAGCCTAACTGGGAGGCACCCCCTAGCAGGGGCACACTGACACCTCACATGGCTGGGTACTCCAACAGACCTGCAGCTGAGGGTCCTGTCTTTTAGAAGGAAAACTAACAAACAGAAAGGACATCCACACCAAAAACCCATCTGTACATCACTATCATCAAAGACCAAAAGTAGATAAAACCACAAAGATGGGGAAAAAACAGAGCAGAAAACTGGAAACTCTAAAAAGCAGAGCGCCTCTCCTCCTCCAAAGGAATGCAGTTCCTCACCAGCAATGGAACAAAGCTGGACGGAGAATGACTTTGACGAGTTGAGAGAAGAAGGCTTCAGATGATCAAATTACTCTGAGCTACAGGAGGAAATTCAAACCAAAGGCAAAGAAGTTGAAAACTTTGAAAAAAATTTAGAAGAATGTATAACTAGAATAACCAATATAGAGAAGTGCTTAAAGGAGCTGATGGAGCTGAAAACCAAGGCTTGAGAACTACATGAAGAATGCAGAAGCCTCAGGAGCCGATGCGATCAACTGGAAGAAAGGGTATCAGCGATGGAAGATGAAATGAATGAAATGAAGTGAGAAGGAGTGTTTAGAGAAAAAAGAATAAAAAGAAACGAACAAATCCTCCAAGAAATATGGGACTATGTGAAAAGACCAAATCTACATCTGATTGGTGTACCTGAAAGTGACGGGGAGAATGGAACCAAGTTGGAAAACACTCTGCAGGATATTATCCAGGAGAACTTCCCTAATCTAGCAAGGCAGGCCAACATTTAGATTCAGGAAATACAGAGAACACCACAAAGATACTCCTCAAGAAGAGCAACTCCAAGACACATAATTGTCAGATTCACCAAAGTTGAAATGATGGAAAAAATGTTAAGGGCAGCCAGAGAGAGAGGTCGGGTTACCCTCAAAGGGAAGCCCATCAGACTAACAGCGGATCTCTCGGCAGAAACTCTACAAGCCAGAAGAGAGTGGGGGCCAATATTCAACATTCTTAAAGAAAAGAATTTTTAACCCAGAATTTAATATCTAGCCAAACTAAGCTTCATAAGTGAAGGAGAAATAAAATCCTTTACAGACAAGCAAATGCTGAGAGATTTTGTCACCACCAGGCCTGCCCTAAAAGAGCTCCTGAAGGAAGCGCTAAACATGGAAAGGAACAACCGGTACCAGATGCTGCAAAATCATGCCAAAATGTAAAGACCATCAAGGCTATGAAGAAACTGCAGCAACTAACGAGCAAAATCACCAGCTAACATCATAATGACAGGATCAAATTCACACATAACAATATTAACTTTAAATGTAAATGGACTAAATGCTCCAATTAAAAGACACAGACTGGCAAATTGGATAAAGAGTCAAGACCCATCAGTGTGCTGTATTCAGGAAACCCATCTCACGTGCAGAGACACACACAGGCTCAAAATGAAAGGATGGAGGAAGATCTACCAAGCAAATGTAAAACAAAAAAAGGCAGGGGTTGCAATCCTAGTCTCTGATAAAACAGACTTTAAACCAACAAAGATCAAAAGAGACAAACAAGGCCATTACATAATGCTAAAGGGATCAATTCAACAAGAAGAGCTAACTATCCTAAATATATATGCACCCAATACAGGAGCACCCAGATTCATAAAGCAAGTCCTGAGTGACCTACAAAGAGACTTAGACTCCCACACATTAATAATGGGAGACTTTAACACCCCACTGTCAACATTAGACAGATCAACGAGACAGAAAGTCAACAAGGATACCCAGGAATTGAACTCAGCTCTGTACCAAGCGGATCTAATAGGCATCTACAGAACTCTCCACCCCAAATCAACAGAATATACATTTTCTTCAGCACCACACCACACCTATTCCAAAATTGACCACATAGTTGGAAGTAAAGCTCTCCTCAGCAAATGTAAAAGAACAGAAATTATAACAAACTATCTCTCAGACCACAGTGCAATCAAACTAGAACTCAGGATTAAGAATCTCACTCAAAACCGCTCAACTACATGGAAACTGAACAACCTGCTCCTGAATGACTACTGGGTACATAACGAAATGAAGGCAGAAATAAAGATGTTCTTTGAAACCAACGAGAACAAAGACACAACATACCAGAATCTCTGGGACGCATTCAAAGCAGTATGTAGAGGGAAATTTATAGCACTACATGCCCACAAGAGAAAGCAGGAAAGATCTAAAATTGACACCCTAATATCACAATTAAAAGAACTAGAAAAGCCAGAGCAAACACATTCAAAAGCTAGCAGAAGGCAAGAAATAACTAAAATCAGAGCAGAACTGAAGGAAATAGAGACACAAAAAACCCTTCAAAAAATTAATGAATCCAGGAGCTGGTTTTTTGAAAGGATCAACAAAATTGATAGACCGCTAGCAAGACTAATAAAGAAAAAGAGAAGAATCAAATAGATGCAATAAAAAATGATAAAGGGGATATCACCACCGATTCCACAGAAATACAAACTACCATCAGAGAATACTACAAACACCTCTATGCAAATAAACTAGAAAATCTAGAAGAAATGGATAAATTCCTTGACACATACACTCTCCCAAGAACTAAACCAGGAAGAAGTTGAATCTCTGAATAGACCAATAACAGGACCTGAAATTGTGGCAATAATCAATAGCTTACCAACCAAAAGGAGTCCAGGACCAGATGGATACACAGCCGAATTCTACCAGAGGTACAAGGAGGAAATGGTACCGTTCCTTCTGAAACTATTCCAATCAATAGAAAAAGAGGGAATCCTCCCTAACTCATTTTATGAGGCCAGCATCATCCTGATACCAAAGCCAGGCAGAGACACAACCAAAAAAGAGAATTTTAGACCAATATCCTTGATGAACATGGATGCAAAAATCCTCAATAAAATACTGGCAAACTGAATTCAGCAGCACATCAAAAAGCTTATCCACCATGATCAAGTGGGCTTCATCCCTGGGACGCAAGGCTGGTTCAATATACGCAAATCAATAAATGTAATCCAGCATACAAACAGAACCAAAGACAAAAACCACATGATTATCTCAATAGATGCAGAAAAGGCCTTTGACAAAATTCAACAACGCTTCATGCTAAAAACTCTCAATAAATTAGGTACTGATGGGACATATCTCAAAATAATAAGAGCTATCTACGACAAACCCACAGCCAATACCATACTGAATGGGCAAAAACTGGAAGCATTCCCTTTGAAAACTGGCACAAGACAGGGATGCCCTCTCTCACCACTCCTATTCAACATAGTGTTGGAAGTTCTGGCCAGGCAATTAGGCAGGAGAAGGAAATAAAGGGTATTCAATTAGGAAAAGAGGAAGTCAAATTGTCCCTGTTTGCAGACGACATGATTGTATATCTAGAAAACCCCATCGTCTCAGCCCAAAATCTCCTTAAGCTGATAAGCAACTTCAGCAAAGTCTCAGGATACAAAATCAATGTACAAAAATCACAAGCATTCTTATACACCAACAACAGACAAACAGAGAGCCAAATCATGAGTGAACTCCCATTCACAATTGCTTCAAAAAGAATAAAATACCTAGGAATCCAACTTACAAGGGATGTGAAGGACCTCTTCAAGGAGAACTACAAACCACTGCTCAACGAAATAAAAGAGGATACAAACAAATGGAAGAACATTCCATGCTCATGGGTAGGAAGAATCAATATCCTGAAAATGGCCATACTGCCCAAGGTAATTTACAGATTCAATGCCATCCCCATCAAGCTACCAATGACTTTCTCCACAGAATTGGAAAAAAGTACTTTAAAGTTCATATGGAACCAAAAAAGAGCCCGCATTGCCAAGTCAATCCTAAGCCAAAAGAACAAAGCTGGAGGCATCACACTACCTGACTTCAAACTATACTACAAGACTACAGTAACCAAAACAGCATGGTACTGGTACCAAAACAGAGATATAGATCAATGGAACAGAACAGAGCCCTCAGAAATAACGCCGCATATCTACAACTATCTGATCTTTGACAAACCTGAGAAAATCAAGCAATGGGGAAAGGATTCCCTATTTAATAAATGGTGCTGGGAAAACTGGCTAGCCATATGTAGAAAGCTGAAACTGGATCCCTTCCTTACACCTTATACAAAAATCAATTCAAGATGCATTAAAGACTTAAACGTTAGACCTAAAACCATAAAAACCCTAGAAGAAAACCTAGGCATTACCATTCAGGACATAGGCATGGGCAAGGACTTCACGTCTAAAACACCAAAAGGAATAGCAACAAAAGCCAAAATTGACAAATGGGATCTAATTAAACTAAAGAGCTTCTGCACAGCAAAAGAAACTACCATCAGAGTGAACAGGCAACCTACAAAATGGGAGAAAATTTTCGCAACCTACTCATCTGACAAAGTGCTAATATCCAGAATCTACAATGAACTCAAACAAATTTACAAGAAAAAAACAAACAACCCCATCAACAAGTGGGCGAAGGACATGAACAGACACTTCTCTCAAAAGAAGACATTTATGCAGCCAAAAAACACAAGAAAAAATGCTCATCATCACTGGCCATCAGAGAAATGCAAATCAAAACCACAATGAGACACCATCTCACACCAGTTAGAATGGCAATCATTAAAAAGTCAGGAGACAACAGGTCCTGGAGAGGATGTGGACAAATAGGAACACTTTTACACTGTTGGTGGGACTGTAAACCAGTTCAACCATTGTGGAAGTCAGTGTGGCTATTCCTCAGGGATCTAGAACTAGAAATACCATTTGACCCAGCCATCCCATTACTGGGTATATACCCAAAGGACTATAAATCATGCTGCTATAAAGACACATGCACACGTATGTTTATTGCAGCATTATTCACAATAGCAAAGACTTGGAACCAACCCAAATGTCCAACAATGATAGACTGGATTAAGAAAATGTGGCACATATACACCATGGAATACTATGCAGCCATAAAAAATGATGAGTTCATGTCCTTTGTAGGGACGTGGATGAAATTAGAAATCATCATTCTCAGTAAACTATCGCAAGAACAAAAAACCAAACACCGCATATTCTCACTCATAGGTGGGAATTGAACAATGAGAACATGTGGACACAGGAAGGGGAACATCACACTCTGGGGACTGTTGTGGGGTGGGGGGAGGGGGGAGGGATAGCACTGGGAGATATACCTAATGCTAGATGATGAGTTAGTGGGTGCAGCGCACAAGCATGGCACATGTATACATATGTAACTAACCTGCACATTGTGCACATGTACCCTAAAACTTAAAGTATAATAATAATAAGTTAAAAAAAAAATTCATGGAACTCTCCAAAGAAGTCGAACAAAAAGAGATGGAAAATAAGAAAGGTCAAATATCATACTGAAGACGTTTCAGTGGGAAAGACCAGAGAAAACTGAGGAGAGGTTATCAATAAACTACTATAAAAAACATTTTCAGCACTGAGGCCATAAATCAACAGTTCGAAGGACCCACAGAATACCCAACAAGAACGATGAAAACAGACCCTCACCAAGGCACCGAATCTTGAATTGTCAGAGTATCAAGAATAAAGAGAGAATCCCAGTAGCCGGTGGTGTAGAGAAAAGAAGTCACATATTAAGATCAGTAATGGGAATGGGATGAGGTTTCTCACCTGCAGCATTGGCAGGTAGAAGACCTTCAAAATTACAGGACATGTCTTTCTCCAATTCAATCCCCAGCCAAACTTGGAAATCTCATTATTATTATTATTATTATTATTATTATTATTATTATTATTATTATTATTATTGAGACAGGGTCTCACTATGTTGTTTAGGCTGGTCTCAAACTCCTGGCCTCAAGTGATTCTCCTGCCTCAGCCTCCCAAAGTGTTGGGATTACAGGCATGAGCTACTGAGCCTGGCCTAAACTTGAAATCTTATAAAGACAGACTAAAGGCCTTTTCAGAATGTAAGACTTTAAAACGATTTCCAACCCCCCAACCCTTTTCCCAGGAAACTACTGGAACAGGAGCTCCACCAAAATGCAGGGGTGAACAAAGAAAGAGAAAGATGGGGAGAAAAGCAGCTCAGGAGAGGGATGAAAATCTCCAGAATAAGATCAAAGGGAAGTTCTGAGATGGCAGCTCTGAGCTCTCAGAGCCAGATAAGAGCAGGAGGCTGTGGCTGGGGGAGGGATATCTCAGAGGAAAAAAGTGGCCCATTACCTGGCCATCTAATTACACGGAGGGGTGAGGGGGCAGTTCTGAGAAAAATGAGTGATGGGTACATAGAAAAGAAAGCAAACAAAAAAGGCAATTATTTGTTGTCTTTCAAAATTATTGATTGTATTGTTTGTCCTTATAGATTTAGGGGTACAAGTGCAGTTGTGTTACATGGATATATTGCCTGATGGTATAGTCTGGGCTTTAGTGTACTCATCACTCAGATAGTGTATGTTGTACCCAATAGGTAATATTTCATCCCTCACCCGCCTCCTCACCCTCCCACTTTTTGGAGTCTCCAGTGTCTATGATTCACTTTGTATGGCCATGTGTACACATTGTTTAGCTCCCACGTATAAGTGAGAACATGTGGTTTTTGACTTTCTGTTTCTGAGTTATTTCACTTAGGATAACGGCCTCCAGGTCCATCCATGTTGCTGCAAAAGACATGGTTTCATTCTTTTTATAGCTGAGTAGTATTCCATGGTGTATCTATATCACATTTTAGAATCCAGTCATCTGTTGATGAACACTTAGGTTGATTCCATGATTTTGCTATTAGAAATAGTGCTGCAATAAACATAGTGCAGGTGTCTTTTGGATAAAATGATTTATTTTCCTTTGGGAAAGATACCCAGTCATGGGATTGGTGGATCAAAGGGGGTAGTTCCATTTTTAGTTCTTTGAGAAATCTTCATACTATTTTCCAGGGAGGTTGTACTGATTTACTTCCCTACCAACAGTGTATAAGTGTTCCCTTTTCTCTGCATCTTTTTTTTTTTTGAGATGGAGTCTCGCTCTGTCACCCAGGCTGGAGTGCAGTGGTGTGATCTCGACTCGCTGCAAACTCCGCCTCCCAGGTTCAGGCCATTCTCCTGCCTCAGCCTCCTGAGTAGCTGGGACTACAGGTGCCCGCCACCACGCCCAGTTAATTTTTTTGTATTTTTAGTAGAGACAGGGTTTCACCGTGTTAGCCAGGATGGTCTTGATCTCCCGACCTGGTGATCCAGCCATCTTGGCCTCCCAAAGTGCTGGGATTACAGGCGTGAGCCACCGTGCTGGGCCTTCTCTGCATCTTTGCCAACATCTATTGTTTAACAATGGAAAAAAAAGGCAATTCTGAATGTGGGGGTAGGGTAGACGTGAAGACTCTGTATAGGAAAGAAAATGTAATCTGACATCACAAGACTCAGCTAGGAACAGTGTTTACTTAGCAATAATACAAATACTGAATCTTGATTTTTATATATTGCCATACAACTTACTGTGAGATGGAAGAGTGGAAGTGTGTCTATGTGTGTGGGAGAGAGGGGAGGTTGTTGTAAGAGATAAATCCCAACTGGGTGTGGTGGCTCACCCCTGTAATCCAGCACTTTGGGAGGCTGAGGCAGGAGGATCACTTGAGCTCAGGAGTTTGAGTCCAGCCTGGGCAACATAAGGCAGCCCCATCTCTACCAAAAATTTAAAAATTAGCCAGGCATGGGGGCATGTGCCTGTGGTCCCAGCTATTTGGGAGGCTGAGATAGGAGGATTGCTTGAACCCAGGAAGTTGAGGTTGTAGTGAGCCATGATTGTGCCATTGCACCCCAGCCTGGGTGAAAGAGAGAGACTCCATCTCAAAAAAAAAAAAAAGAGAGAGAGAGAAATCCTTATCTTTTATGGTGGAAGTCAATAAAAAAAGTCTGCAATGAAAAATAGATCAGAGCCTTTAAATATGAAGGTAAATTTTGAAAATAGAGGCCGGGCGCGGTGGCTCACGCCTATAATCCCAGCACTTTGGGAGGCCGAGGCAGGCGGATCTTGAGGTCAGGAGATCGAGACCATCCTGGCTAACACAGTGAAACCCCATCTCTACTAAAAAATACAAAAAAATAGCCACGCGTGTTGGCGGGTGCCTGTAGTCCCAGCTACTTAGGAGGCTGAGGCAGGAGAATGGCATGAACCCAGGAGGCGGAGCTTGCAGTGAGCCAAGATCATGCCACTGCACTCCAGCCTGGGTGACAGAGCGAGACTCCATCTCAAAAAAAAAAAAAAAAAAAAAAAAAGATATATAATAATCATACAAATTTCTGGGGCACACGTCCTATTTTGATACACGAATACGAGGTGTAATGAACAATCAAGTCAAGGTAATTGGAATATCTACCACCTCAAACATATGTCATTTCCTTGTGTTGGGAATATTTCAAATATTTTCTTTTAGTTGTTTTGAAATTTACAATAAATTATTGTTAACTGTATTCACCCCAGTGTGCTATTAAACACTAGAACTTAGTTTTTCTATGTAACTGTATGTTTGCACCCATTAGCCAACATCTCTTTATCTCCCCACCCTTCCCAGTCTCTGGTAATTGTCATTCTACTCTCTACCTCCATGAGATCAGTGTTCTTAGCTCTCACATATGAGTGAGAACATGTGATACTTGTTTTTCTGTTCCTGGCTTATTTCACTTAACAGAATGTCCTCCAGTTCCATCCTTGTTGCTAAAAATGACAGGATTTTACTTTTTATGGCCAAATAGTATTTCATTGTGTATATAAGCCACATTTTCTTTATCTGTTCATCCACCGATGGACATTTAGGACGGTTTCATATCATCACTATTGTGAATAGCGCTGTAATAAACATAGGGGTGCAGGTACCGCTTTGACATACTGATTTCCTTTCCTTTGGATAAATACCCAGTAGCGGGACCGCTGAATGAATCATAAGGTGGTTCTGTTTATAGTTTTTTCAGAAACCTCCATACTGTGTTCTGTAATGGCTGCCCTACCTCATATTCCCATCAACAGTGTATGAGCTCCCTTTTCTCTGCATTCTCATCAGCATTTGTTAATTTTTGCCCTTTTGATAAGAGCTGGTATTAGGCCATTTTGCATTGCTATAATGCCAGTAATTTGTATTGCTAGCTGGGTAATTTATAAAGAAAAGAGGTTTAATTGGCTTACAGATCTGCAGGCTGTACAGGAAGCATGGCGCTGGCATCTGCTCCTGGTGAGGGCCTCAGGAAGCTTAAAATCATGGTGGAAGGTGAAGACAAAACACCTGTATCACAAGGTGAGAGCAGGAGCAAGTGAGAGAGGGAGGAGGTACCACACACTTTTAAACAACTAGATCTTGCATGAACTCAGAGCAAGAACTCACTCATCACCATGGGGATGACACTAAGCCATTCATGAGGCATATTCCCCCATGATCCAAACACCTGCCACCAGGCCCTACTCCAACACTGGGGATCACATTTCAACATGAGATTTGGAGGGGACAAATATCCAAACCATATTGTAGCATTCTAACTGGGGTGAGATGATATCTAATTGTGGTTTGCATTTCCTTGATGATCAGTGATAGAGTGTGTTTTTGAGGCGGAGTCCCACTCTGTCACCTAGGCAGAGGCATGATCTCTGCTCACTGCAACCTCTGCCTCCCAGGTTCAAGCAATCCTCCCACCTCAGCCTCCCGAGTAGCTAGGATTACAGGTGTGCACCGCCATGTCTGGCTAATTTTTGTATTTTTAGTAGAGATGGGGTCTCACCATGTTGGTCAGGCTGGTCACGAACTCCTGACCTCAGGTGATCTGCCCCCCTTGGCCTCCCAAAGTGGTGGGATTACAGGTGTGAGCCACTGCACCTGGTCGATATTGAGCATTTTTTTCATATTCAATAGTATTCATCAGTAGTATGATGCCTCCTGCTATTCAATACATATTCTTTGGTCATTTGTATATTTTCTTTTGAGGAATGTCTATAATTCTAGATTCTTTCTCCACTTTTTAGTGGTTTTTTTTTTTTTTTAGTGTTGAGTTCCTGGTATATTCTAGATGTTATCCCTTGCGAAATGAGTAGCTTGCACATATTTTCTCCCATTCTGTAGGTTGTCTCTTCACTCTCTTGATTGTTTCCTTTGCTGGGGAGAAGGTTTTTAGTTTAATATAGTCTCATTTATCTATTTTCTTTAGCTGTGCTTTTGAAGCCTTAGACATAAAATCTTTGCTTAGACCAATGGGCTGAAGCACATTTTCCTTATGTTTTCTTCTAGCGTTTTTATAGTTTTGGGTCTTACTTTTCAGTCTTTAATCCATTTTGGGTTGATTTTTGTATATGGTGAGAATAAGGGTCTAGTTTCATTCTTCTGCATATAGTTCCCAGCACCGTTTTTTGAAGAAGGTGTCCTTCTTCAATATTTCCCAGCACCATTTATTGAAGAAGGTGTCCTTTTCCCAATGTATGTTCTTGGTGCCTTTGTCAAAAATTAGTTGGCTTTAAATATGTGGATTTCTGGATTCTCTATTCTGTTCCATTGTTCTATGTGTCTGTTTTTATACCAATACTATGCTGTTTTGGTTACTATACCTCTATAGCTTTGTCGTGTATTTTGAAGTCAGGTAGTATGATGCCTCCTGCTATTTTTTTTTCTATATATATTGCTTTAGCTATTTGAGGTCTTTTGTGGTTCCATATGTATTTTAGGATTGTTTTTCTATTCCCATGAAGAATGTCTGGTATGTTGATAGAGATTACATTGAACCTGTAAATTGCTTTAGTCATTTTGATAATATTAATTTTTCCAATCCATGAGCATGGGATGTATTTTCATTTGTTTGTGTCTTCTTCAGTTTCTTTTATCAGTGTTCTCTAGTTTTCATTGTGAAGGTCTTTTGCATCCTTGGTTAAGTTTATTCCTTTTTTTTTTTTAGCTATTGTAAATGGGGTTCATTTCTTGCTTTTTCAGTTCATTTATTATTGCTGTATAGAAACACTACTGATTTTTATATGTTTATTTTGTATCCTGCAACTTTACTGAATTTGTTTATTAGTCGTAACAGTTTTTGGTGGAGTCTAGGCTTTTCTATATATAAGGTTATGTCATCTGCAATAAGGGACAATTTGATTTTCTCTTTCCAAATTTGGATGTCCTTTCTTTTTCTTCCTAGTTGCTCTGGCTAAGACTCCCAATACTATGTTAAATAGGGATGGTGAAAATGGACATCCTTGTCTTGTTCCAGTTTTTAGAGGAAGGGGTTTCAACCTTTCCCTATTTAGTATGATGTTAGTTGTGGGTTTGTCATATATAACCTTTATTATGTTGAAGTGTGTTCCTTCTGTGCCTAATCTGTTGAGAATTTTATCATGAAGGAATGTTAAATTTTATTACATGCTATTTCTGTGTCTATTGAGATGATTATATGGTTTTTATCCTTCATTCTGTTAATGTGATACATCACATTTATTGCTTTGTGTATGTTGAAACATCCTTGCATCCTTGGGATAAATCCCACTTCATCATGTGTATTATCTTTTTGATGTGCTGTTGAACTTGATTTGGCAGTAATTTGTTAAAAAGTTTGAATTTATGTTCATAAAGAATGGTGGCCTGAAGTTTTCTTTTGTTGTTGTAGTCTTGTCTGGTTTTGGTATCAGGGCAATGCTGGTCTCATAGCATGAGTTAGGAAGAATTCCCTCCTCTTCACTTTTTGGAATAACTTGAGAAGAATTGGTGTTAAATCTTTTTCAAATGATTTGTAGGCTGAGTGCAGTGGCTCAGATCTGTAGTCCCAGCATTTTGGGAGGTTGAGGTGGGAGGGTTGCTTGAGGCCAGGAGCTGGAGACCAGCCTGGGCAACATAACAAGACCCTGTGTCTACAAAAAAATAATTAGCTGGGCATTATGGTATGCACCTATAGTCCTAGTGACTCAGGAGGCTGATGTGGGAGAATCACTTGAGCCTGAGTTTGAGGCTGCAGTGAGCTATGATCACACGACTGTACTCCAGACTGAGTGACAGAGTGAGATCATGTTTCTAAAAAAATTTAATAAAAATTGGTAGAATTTTGCAATAAAGCTATCTGGTCCTGGGTTTTTTTGCTGGGAAACTTTTTATTACTGATTCAATCTCATTACTTGTTATTGGTCTTTTCAGGTCTATTTCTTCCTGGTTCAATTTTGGTAGGTTATATGTGTCTAGGAATTTATCCATGTCCTCTAGGTTTTCTAATTTGTTAGCATATAATTTTTCATAATAGTCTCTAAAGATCTTTTGTACTTTTTTCTTTTTCTTTTTGAGACAGAGTTTTGCTCTGTCACCTAGACTAGAGTGCAGTGGTAGGATCTTGACTCACTGCAACTTCTCCCTCCTGGGTTCAAGTGATTCTCATGCCTCAGCCTCCCAAGTAGCTGGGATTACAGGCGCCTGCCACCACACTCAGCCAATTTGTTGTATTTTTAGTAGAGACAGGGATTCACCATGTTGGCTGGGCTGGTCACAAACTCCTGACCTCAAGTGAGCCACCTGCCTCGGCCTCCCAAAGTGCTGGGATTACAGGCATGAGCCACAGCACCTGGCCGATCGTTTGTATTTCTGTGATATCAGTTGTAATGTCTCCTTTATCATTTCTAATTTTATTTATTTGGGACTTCTTTTTTTCTTGGTTAGTTTAGCTAGTAATTTATTGATTTTGTTTATATTTTCAAATAACCAACTTTTTGGTTTTTTGATTCTTTGTAATTTTTTAGTGTCTATTTCATTTAGTTCTGTTCTGATTTTTATTATTTCCTTTCTTCTACTAACTTTGGGGTTGGTTTATTCTTGCTTTTCTAGTTCCTCGAGGTGCATCATTAGGTTCGTTATTTGAAAGTTTTCTACTTTTTTGGATGTAGGTGTTTATTGCTATAAATTTCCCTCTGAGTACTGTTTTTGCTATATCCCATAAGTTTTAGTATGTTGTATTTCCATTTTTCATTTGTTTCAAGAAATGTTTCTATTTCCTTTTTAATTTCTTCTTTGACTCAGTAGTTGTTTAGGAGCATGTTGTTTAATTTTCATGTATTTGCATGGTTTCCAAAGTTGTTCTTGTTAGTGATTTCTAGTTTTATTCTACTGTGGCTTAAGAAGATACTTGATATGATTTTGACCTTGAAAAATTTGTTGAGGCTTGTTTTGTGGTTTAACATATGGTATATACTGGAGAATGTTCCAGGTGCTGATGAAAAGAATGTGTATTCTGTAGCTATTCGATGAAATTTTCTGTAACTTTCTGTTAGGTCCACTTGGTCTATAGTGCAGATTAAGCCTGATGCTTCTTTATTTATTTTCTGTCTAGATGTTATCCAGTGCTGAAAGTGGAGTGTTAATGTTACCAATTATCATTATATTGGGGTCTATCTCTCACTTGAGCTCTAATATTATTTTATATATCTGGGTGCTTCAGTGTTGGGTACATATGTATTTACAGTTGTTACTTCCTCTTGCTGAATTGATCCTTTTATCATTGTATAATGATCTTCTCTCTCTTTGTTTCCTTTTAGAGCTTTTGACTTGAAGCTTGTTTTATCTGATAAAAGTATGGCTATTCCTGCTTGTTTTTGGTTTCCATTTATGTAGAATACCTTTTTCCATCCCTTTGCTTTCAACCTATGTGTGGCTTTTCAGGTGAAGGGAGTTTCCTGTAGGCAACATATAGTTGGGACTTTTTTTTTTTTTTTTAAAACCTATGCAGTCACTCTGTGTCTTCTAATTGGATAATTAAGTCCATTTGCCTTCAATGTTGTTATTGACAGGTAAGGATTTGCTACTACCATTTTGTTACCTGTTTCCTGGTTCTTTATAACTCCTCTCTTCCTTTCTTATTGTTTTTCTTTGTGGTTTAAGCGATTTTCTTTGGTAGTATATTTTAATTCCTTGTTTTTTCAGTGTATCTATTACGGGTTTTTGCTTTGTAGTTACCATGAGACTTAGCTTTAGCTGTAGTAAATTATTTTAAAGGCTTATCTTTAGCTATAATAAATTATTAAGATGACATCTTAATTTTGATTGCAAAAAAAGAGACAGAGGAAAAAGATACTTACCTCCATCCCCCTCTGCATTTTGATTATTTGTTGTCAATTTAAATCTTTTTATATTGTTTCTCTCTTAACAAATTGTAGTTATTAATTTTGATAGGTGTGTCTTTTAGTGTTCATACTAAAGACACAAGTAGCTTACGTACTACAATTACTATATTATTCTGAATTTGTCTATGTACACACTTATTTTTTTTTAGAAAGAGTCTTGCTCTGTCACCCAGGCTGGAGTGCAGTGGCACGATCTCGGCTCACTGCAACCTCTGCCTCCTGGGTTCGAGTGATTCTTGCGCCTCAGCCTCCCTAGAAGCTGGGATTACAGGTGCCCGCCACCATACCTGGCTAATTTTTGTAATTCTAGTAGAGATGGGGTTTCACTATGTTGGCCAGGCTGGCCTTAAACTCCTGACCTCAAGTGATCCACCCACCTCAGCCTCCCAAAGTGCTGGGATTACAGGCTTGAGGCACTGAGCCTGGCTATGTACATAGTTTTACCAGTGAGTTTTATATCTTCAAATGCTTTCTTTTTGCACATTAGCATCCTTTTATTTCAGATGGAAGAACTCTTTTTTTCACATATCTTGTAAGACAGGTCTGGTGGTGATAAATTCCTTCAGCTTTTGTTTGCCTGACAAAGTCTTTATCTCTCCTTTGTGTTTGAAAGATAGCTTTACTGGATACAGTATTCTCAGTTTGTAATTTTTGTTTTCTTCATCACTTTGAATATGGCATCCCACTCTTTCCTGGCCTCTAAGATTTCCACTGGGAAGTCCACTGTCAGACAGATGTATTGGAGCTTTTTTTTTTTTTTTTGACAGAGTCTCACTCTGTTGCCCAGGCTGGAGTGCAATGGTGTGATCTCTGCTCACTGCAACCTCCAACTCCCAGGTTCAAGCAATTCTCCCTTCCTCAGCCTCCTGAGTAGCTAGGATTACAGGCACCAGCCACCATGCCTAGCTAATTTTTGTATTGTTTAGTAGGGATGCAGTTTTGCCATGATGGCCAGGCTAGTCTTGAACTCCTGACCTCAGGTGATCTGCCGACCTCAGCCTCCCAAAGTGTTGGGATTACAGGTGTGAGCCACTGTACCTGGCCTGGAGCTTCTTTATATGTTGTTTGTTTCTTTTTTCTTGCCATTTTAGGATCCTCTTTTTCTTGTTTAACTTTGAGAGTCTGATTTTTTATATGGCTTGAGTCTTATTTGGGTTCAATCTGCTTGGTGCTCTTTGACCATCTCGTAACTGGATATTCATAACTTTCTTTAGGTTTGGAAAGTTTTCTGATATTATTTTTTTTCTTCTCCCCACTCCATGATATTATTTCTTTGAATAAACTTTCTACCCCTTTTTCTGTCTCTACTCCCTCTTTAAGGCCAACGACTCTTACATTTGCTCTTTTGAAGCTATTTTTTAATTCTCGTGTTTGTCTTTCCTTTTTCTCCTCTGTGCATTTTCAAATAGCCTGATTCTTTCTTCTGTTTGATCAATTCTTCTGTTGAAGATGTCAAATGCATTTTTTACTTGATCTATCGTATTATATTTTTCAGGTCCAGGATTTCTATTTATTTTCAAATTTTCAGTCTTTTTGTTAAATTTCTCTGATAAATTTCTGAATTTTGTGTGTGTGTGTGTGTGTGTGTGTGTGTGTGTGTGTGTGTGTGTGTGTGTGTTTAAGTTGACTGAACTTCCTCAAAACAGCTATTTTGAATTCCTTGGCTGAGAGGTCACACATCTCCATCTCTCCAGGGTCATTACTGGTGCCTTATTTAGTCTATTTAGTGAGACCATATTTTCTGAATGTTTCTGATGCTTGCATACATTCATCAATATCTGGGCATTGATGAAGTAGATACTTATTCCAGTCTTCACTGTCTGGCCTTGTTTGTATCTGTTCTTCAGGGAGCCTTCGAATAATTCAAAAGGGACCACCTGTTGAGTTCACTAAACCTGTGGTCAGTGCAGCCATTTTGCAGTAGAGAGGGCCCTAAGCCAAGTTTCACTATGAGTCTTGCAGACTCCAAGATCGCCAACCCTGATGTAGTTCTGGAAAATCAGAGATAGTTCCCTGGTGGGGGAGGGCTGACATGGACATATCCATGGCCTCTGCAGCTGGCACTATGCTAGGTCATACCAAAGCCTATAGTCTCCCTGACCGGTGCAGTACCAGGGCTAGCTCAATGCCTGCAGCTGCTACTGCCTTAATACTGCTGATATTTATTCAAAGGCCAAGGTCACTTTGGTCAGCTGGTGGTGAAGCAGGCTGGGACTTGGGTTTTTCCTGCCATGGTGATGGATTCCCTTCTGTCCCAGGACAAGTCTAGAAGTATGTCCAGGTGGGGGTTCAGCCCTGTGTTTTGTTTTACTGTGGCAAAACTGACACTAGATTCACAGGCAAAGTCTCCTGTACTCTTCTTTCTTCCCAAGTAGAGGGAGTCTCTCTGAACTGCACTGCCTGGAGCTGAGGGAGGGGTGACATGGGTACTTTTGTGGCAGACACCACTGATGTCATACTGTGTCTGGAATTTATCCCTTCTTGTGGGTTCTTGGTCTCGCTGACTTCAAGAATGAAGCCGTGGACCCTCGCAGTGAGTGTTACAGTTCTTAAAGATGGTGTGTCTGGAGTTTTTTCCTTCAGATGTTCAGATGTGTCTGGAGTTTATTCCTTGCGGTGGGTTCGTGGTCTCACTGACTTCAGGAGTGAAGCCGCAGACCCTTGCGGTGAGTGTTACAGCTCTTAAAGGTGGTGCGTCCAGAGTTGTTTTTTCCTCCTGGTGGGTTTGTGGTCTCGCTGACTTCAGGAATGAAGCTGCAGACCCTCGTGGTGAGTGTTACAGCTCATAAAGGTAGTGCAGACCCAAAGAGTGATGCTGCAGGATTTATTGTGAAGAGTGAAAGAACAAAGCTTCCACAGTGTGGAAGGGGACCTGAGTGTGTTGCCACTGCTGGCTCTGGTGGCCAGCTTTTATTCCCTTATTTGGCCCCGCTCACGTCCTGCTGATTGGTCCATTATACAGAGTGCTGATTGGTGTGTTTTTACAGAGTGCTGATTGGTACATTTACAATCCTTTAGCTAGACGCAGAGTGCTGATTGGTGCATTTCTACAGAGTGCTGATTGGTGTGTTTACAATCCTTTAGCTAGACAGAGTGCTGATTGGTGCATTTACAATCCTTTAGCTAGACACAGAGTGCTGATTGGTGCATTTACAATCCTTTAGCTAGACACAGAGCGCTGATTGGTGTGTTTACAATCCTTTAGCTGGACAGAAAAGTTCTCCAAGTCCCCACTCGACCCAGGAAGTCCAGCTGGCTTTACCTCTGAATACTGGGTCACTTTTCAGCCAATGGCCTCTCAGACCAGCACATTACTGGGTCTCATCCAAGGACCATGGTTTCTAAAGCCTGCTTGCCAGCCACTGAAGTTTATTTGGGTCCTGATGCCACTTTAGTTTCCTGGTGATCAAGTGGACAGGGACTCTAGCTCCTCCTGCCTGGGCGGTAGATTCCCCTCTGCCCTGGGCTAGGTATAAATTCTCCCTCTGTGGGCCCCAGCCTGGAATTTCAGGCTGCAGGAGCTCTGCATGGAGCTTTGTTCCATTGTGGTGGGGCTGGCACTAAGTTCTAATTCAAAGTTTCACACTCACTTCCCTTTCTGTTCCCCAAGCAGGCAGTTTCTGTCTCCTACCGTCCTGCCTGGGGTTGGGGTAGGGGTGGTTTAGGCAATGTGAGATTGTCCTTCCTACCCTCTCCAGTGCATCTGTAGCTCTTCAGAAGGTGCTTTTTTGTGTGGATAGTTGTTCAATTTGATGTTCCTGCAGAGGGACAATTACTGGGAGATTCTATTCAGTCACCTTGCTTTGCCCCTTGATATGGTTCGGCTCTGTGTCCCCACCCAAATCTCGTTTTGAATTATACTCCCATAATTCCCACAAGTTGTGGGAGGGAGCCGGTGGAAGATAACTGAATCCTGGGGGCCATTTCTCCTATATTGTTCTCAGGGTAGTGAATAAGTCTCATGAGATCTGATGGTTTTATGAGGGGAAACTGCTTTCACTTGGCTCTCATTCTCTCTCTTGCCACCGCCATGTAAGAAGTGTCTTTTACCTTCTGCCATGATTGTGAGGCCTCCCTAGCCACGTGGAATTGTGAGTGCATTAAACCTCTTTTTTTTTTTTGTAAATTGCCCAGTCTCAGGTATGTCCTTATCAGCAGCGTGAAAACAGACTAATACACCCCTCTCCAAGGTAAATTTTTACCAATAGTTAAAACTAAAAATAGGTTGCCCTTGAGACTGGAGCTCAGAGCTGGATAAGAGTGACAATGGACTGTTGTTCTAAGCCTTGAAGTACTATTATTATGCAAATATTAATGCAATTGCTATGTATTAATTATACTAAACACAAAAATTAGTGCAATTCCCCATAATTTTGCCCCCTTCAATTTTATACTTCACTGCCACCAGGTTCTCTGAATCTGGTGGGAGTGAATCATGAATCCAGTTTATCATGAATCTAAGGAAGTTTCAAGTCCCCTGAAGCCCACCAGAGTTCCTGAAGACAGCCCCTCCACTCTCTCCTGAGAGAGAGAGAAAGCCAGCCAATAGCTCACCAGTGGGTCAAGTTTAGGGCTTATTCCCCCACTTTTCTTCTAAATTGCTGGGCTCCTGCCAGACTCAGTTCTTTACTGCATCAAATCAGCAAACCCTAAATCTCCTGCCTGCTCCCCACCCTAATAATGCAATTCAGCCAAACCGACTTTGCAGGAAGACTCATTAAACTGGAGAAACCTACAAAGTGGCAGGGTTGGGGGGAGGGTAGAAACACACACACACCTCAAACCACAAGCATCTTCGATTGCTTTTGTCTCTGGAGACAGCAGAATGGATGGGCTGCCCTGGGCGACTGAGCAGATGGGAAACTCATTACAGATGTGAGCTTTAGAGGAAGAAGGACATTTGGAGACCCATACACTTCAGGAGTTTGGGGGTATTCATGTGTTGCCTGGAAACCAGAGACCAAATAGGAAACAGGAAACCCCAGGAGAGAGAGGCTGAAATATTTCGGCATCATTTCCAGAGGTGAAGGCTGCTCTCCAAGGCCTGAGGGCGGCTCTGGTCCTTATTTCTCCTCCAGCCTCAGATCATCAGAACTCCTTCCCCCTCATCCCTCCTTACCCCTCAATCTCACTTTGCACCTCTTAGAGTTCAAAGTACAGAGATAGGCTTCTAAAGGGTGTTGGAGCCCATAGACACACACACACACACACACACACACACACACACACACACACACAGCTGCAAAGCCATTTTCTGGCACTGATTTCTGATGAAACTGAGAGTCTAACAGAAATATCGACTCACACCTCCAGGCTTCCTGCAGCTGTAGCAGCTGCCTGTGCGGAGCATCGACTTACCACTTCCATTTGTGTGACCTGGGTGAGGCTGTGGCTGAGTCCATCCCAGAATCAGCAGCTGGAGCTGATTGTGGCCAAGCCTGGGAAATTCTCAGGGCACAAAGGAGTCCAGAGCATAAAACCTGAGTGACCTCCACCCTGGGCCCCCCGCTGAACATGCCAACTGTGTCTTTCTCTGCTATAGAAACAGGCCTGACAAAAAAATGCATCTCCTTCAATATGCCTTGCTGGTTCCTGGCACTCACACTTGGTCTCTCTACTGTATCTCTCTCTCTCACTCTGTCACTCCAAACCCATATGGAACCCCACTCCCTCTCTACCTGAAGAGCTCCTCAGGGGCTCCAGTTTTTTTGTGCTTACCCCTCCTCCTCCACACTCTGTAGCTTTTTTTTTTTTTTTTTTTGAGACAGAATTTTTGCTCTTGTCACCTAGGCTGGAATGCAATGGAATGATCTTGGCTCACTGCAACCTCTGCCTCCTGGGTTCAAGTGATTCTCCTGCCTCAGTCTCCCACGTAGCTGGGATTACAGGTGCCCGACACCATGCCTGGCTAATTTTTGTACTTTTAGTAGAAACAGGGTTTCACCATGTTGGCCAGGCTGGTCTCGAACTCCTGACCTCATGTGATCCACCCATCTCGGCCTCCCAAAGTGCTGGAATTATAGGCATGAGCCACTGCACCCAGCCCCCTGTAGCTTTTTGACTGTATTTCTCATTTGGCACAAGCATCTGCACACTGGAATATTTGGGGCGTGTGTATGGTATGAATTTCAAGCATCGGCAGATCTTGCTTTCTGTCATCAATTGGAGTTGGGGCATTCTCTCAGCCTCAGTTTCTTCATCTAGAAAAATGTGAACAATCCTTTCCTCTCAGTGGTGCTATGAGGATTAGGAGGCATAAAGTATCTGGGTCTTGAATAGACTCTTCTCCAAAGAAGATATACAAATAGTTAACAAGTACAAGAAAAAATGCTCGATATTATTCCTCATTAGGGAGATGAAAATTAAAACCACAATAAGATACCACTTTACACTTACAAGGATGGCTATAATAATAAAAAAATGAAAAACAGACAGTGTTAACAAGGATGTGGACAAATTGGAACATTTGTACATTGCTGGTGGGAATGTGCAATGGTGCAGCATGTGTGGGAAACAGTTTGGCAGTTCATTAAAAGATAAGCATCAGCCAGAAGTGGGTGGCTCACGCCTGTAATCCCAGCACTCTGGGAGGCTGAGGCAGGCGGATCACTTGAGGTCAGGGGTTTGAGACCAGACTGGGCAACATAGGGAAAAACCATCTCTACAAAATTTTTTTTAAAAAATTAGCCAGGTGTGGTGGCACATGCCTGTGGTCCCAGCTACTTGGGAGACTGAGGGAGGAGGATCACCTGAGCCCAGGAGGCCAAGGCTGCAGTGGGCCATGATCTTGCCACTGCACTCCAGCCTGGGCTACAGACAGACCCTGTCTAGAAAAAAAAAAAAGTAGCATCAAATTACCATATAACCCAGCAATTCTGCTCCCAGAATACCCCAAAGAATCAAAAATAGAGATTCAAACAAAGACTTGTACATGAATATTCAAAGCAGCATTATTCGCAGTAGCCCAAAGGTGAAAACAATCCAAATGTCTATCAGCGGTTAAATGGATAAATACAGTGTGTCCTAGTCATACAGGGTAATATTATTCAGCCATAAGAAGGAAGTACTGATTCATGCTACAACATGGATGAACTTATGCCAAGCAAAGAAGTTAGAAACAAAATGTCAAATATTGTCTAGTTCTACTTATATGAAATACACAGAATAGGTAAATCCATAGAAACAGAAGCAGATTTGTGGTTGGCAGGGACTGAGGGGAGAGGGGGAGAGGGGAATGCTTGCTTAATGTGTACAGGGTTTCTCCTTAGGGTGATGAAAATGTTTTGGAACTAGATGGAAGTGATGGTTACACAACAGTGTGAATGTACGAAATGCCACTAAATTGTATACTTTAAAATGAGTAAGTTTATATGAATTTCACCTCAATTTTTAAAAATCTCCACCACAGGCCTGTGTGTGATGATGAATAAAAGTCTTTGGGCTGGGCATGGTGGCTCACGCCTGTAATCCCAGCACTTTGGGAGGCTGAGGAGGGCAGATCACTTGAGGTCAGGAGTTTGAGACCAGCTGGCCAACATGATAAAACCCTGTCTCTACTAAAAATACAAAAAAATCAGCTGGGCATGATTGCACACACCTGTAGTCCCAGCTACTTGGGAGGCTGAGGCAGGAGAATCACTTGAACCTGGGAGGCGGATGTTGCAGTGAGCCAAGATTGTGCCACTGCACTCCAGTCTGAGTGATAGAGTGAGGCTCTGTCTCAAAAAAAAAAAAAAAACCAACAAAGATCTTTGGTTCTTGAAGTTGGCTGCACATAGGAGTCACCAGTTAATACTGATGTCTGGGTCTTACACCCAAATATTCGATTTCATTGGCATGAGCAGTGACCTGAACATCAAGATTTGTGAAAGCTTCCTTCCCTGGTGATCTTAATGTGCAACAAAGTCTGGGAACCCCCTCTTAGAGCATTCCCACCAGGCAGATGTGAGAGGAGAATGGAAACAGAGCTCAGCTTCTCTCAGGCTTGCAGAAACAATGCTAGTACAGTGCTAGCATCTGTACACTTGAATGTTTAGAGGTGTGTGTGTGCATGTGTGTGTGTTAGAGGGGGTTTTGGTTTCTACCTTGCAGGCCAGGCCCTCTTGGTACCGAGAGGTTTAGTTGGTAAGACGGAGGCTTCAACATTCTCATCTCCTAAAGGCCTTGAAGACCAGAGACTTACAATTTCTGCCCAGGGTCCAGGCCCTTACCTTGCAGATGTCCCACCTGGCCTTCCAGGAGCAAGCCAGCTGCCAGGATCACCCACAGTCCTGCACCTTCCCTTCTGTTTCCACCTAGCTGGGCACCTCTCCTCCCAGCTTTCAGGCCTGCTGAGGGCTCCTGGCCAGCTGGAAGGGATGCACTGGCTGCCCTAGCACAGGTTGTGCTTCCTTGTAACTTGCATCGGCAGGGACTGACCTTGTACTTGAGCGTGTGAATGTGAAGACCGTGAAAAGCTACATCTGTCTGTGAACACATGAAAGTCTACCCAAGGCCTCTGGAGTGTGGGGTGACTGAGTGGAGTGTACCTGTGGCCACTTGTCTATGTGGATGAGGGTCAGTGAAGGCTGCCAGGCGCAACCATAAAAACTTCTACCTTGGAGGAGTCCCACGTATTTCCTATGTAAATCACCTGTGGAGCCAACCCCAAAAGGCTGGATTAAACCAGAGGAGGTGGGGTATCTAATTCTTCTGGAAGCAGAGTGTTGGAAAATCCTCAATAATCTTTTCAAATGGCTCCTTCTGGGGGCAGCTACTCTAGACTTAATCTTGACCAAGCACAAAAAATCAGAAAGTGCTGATGGCAGATCTTGTGAGGAGGTGACTGTGCCCTCTTAGCGTCCATGAAAACCAGAGAGCATAGCCCAGATTCAAGGGCAGGAGACTACCCAAGGGTGTGCAGACTGTAGGCACGGGCCATTGGGCCACCTTGTCGTCCAGCTGCCATGCTCAGCATTCATTTCCAGAACTGCTGCTTGTGAGCTCCTCCATGCCCATCTCCGCACGTCTCTGGCCACCCAATCTCCCCCTTTCCCAGAGTTCCTTGTGTTGCAGAGTAGCACAACCATCCAGTCCCCTAATAGTGAACCAGAGTCACCCCTTTCACCTCCCTCTTCCTCCCCTGCTCCTGCCCCAACACACTCAATCACCAAAAGTCCTGCTTCTTCCCCATCCTAAGTACTTCCACTCTTCCCCAGCCCACCATCATGGTTTCACTGTAGGCCACCATCATCCCATGCATGGGCTACCACAGGACCCCCCTTTAACTAGGCTCCTGGACTGGCCCTGCCAGCACATCCCCACACCCACTCCAGAGTGAGTGAGCCACAGAGGGACTGGGCCCTGTCCTCCCCTGCCTAGCGTCCCCTGCTGGCTCCCTGAGTCTTCCACGGGGTCCTGGCCAACCTCCTGAGCGTAACACAGCAGGTCATTGCCTCCCAGGGCCCTTCCCTGACCACCCAATCCAAAGGGGCTCCCAGGTGTGCCCCATTGCAGGGCTGAGGGTTTTTTGTTGTTGTTTTAAGAGACAGAGTCTTGCTCTTTCACCCACGCTGGAGTGCAGTGGTACAACCATGGTTCACTGCAGCCTTGACCTCCTGGGCTCAAACAATCCACCTACCTCAGCCTCCCAAGTAGCTAGGACTACAAGTAAGCACCACCATGCCTGGCTAGTTTTGTATGTTTTTGTGGAGACAGGGTTTTGCCATGTTGCCCAGGCTGGTCTCAAACTCATGGGCTCAAGTGACCCTCCTGCCTTGGTCTCCCTAAGTGCTGGGACTACAGGTGTGAGCCACTATTTTCTCCATAGCATTTCTCATTACTATTTTCTTATGTATTTGTCCCCCTCCACCATGACACCTGTTCTTGTTTCTGTTTCTGTAGTATATTTTTCACACCTGTAGTTATTTGCCTGTCTTCTCTTTTCTTATGTTGAACTTTTATAGAATTACTGATACTTGACTTTTAGATCTTAAAAAAAAAGCAATTTCAGGAGATTCTGCCCAACGGATCTTGAGTGACTTTGTTGTGTCTTGATGTTCTGAGCACTTGGCACTAGATTTTAACTAGTCAGTCCCACGCACCAAGCCTTAGGACAGGACTTCAGAAAGTCCAGAGGAAAGGAAGGCGTGACTCCAGAGACAAAGACAAGAAATGTGAGGAGAAAAGGGAGTGCCCAGCGGATACCAGCAATGACTTCCATGAAAGAGAGGGACATGTTTAAATAAACACAGCACTTCTTAGAGAGCTCTTAGTGCAAAAGAACCTGCATCAGTTCTGGGACCAGGGGCAGAGAAGAAAAGACGAGCTCAGGAGAAAGATAAGAACTTTCGAAAACAGGGTCAGAAAAGCTAAAGCTGAGCTTTGCAAAAACAAGTGTTTTTGTTTGATTATTGTTTCTATATTGGTGGTTTTGTCTATTCATTCCTATTGCTGTGAAAACACATTACCACAGACTTAGAGGCTTAAAACATCACAGATGTATAATCTTACAGCTCTGAGGTCAGAAGGCTGACATGGGTCTCACTGGACTGAAAATCAAGCTGTCACCAGGGCTGCATCCCTTCCTTCTGGAGGCTCTAAGGGATAATCTGTTCCCTTGAATTTCCCAGCTTTCTAGAGGTTGCCCATGTACCTTGGCTTATGGCCCCTTCCTCGCTTTCTCACAGCCAGAAATGTTGGGCCATGTCTTTCCACTCTGCCATCTCTTGGGCTTTCCCTCTTCTGTTTCCCTCTCCTGATTTTCTTTCTTTCTTTTTGAGATAGTGTCTTGCTCTGTTGCCCAGGGTGGAGGACAGTAGCATGATCTTGGCTCACTGCAGCCTTCGCTTCCCAGGCTCAAAAGATTCTCGTGCCTCAGTCTCCCAAGTAGCTGGGATTACAGGTACACACCACCACGCCTGGCTAGTTTTTGTATTTTTAGTAGAGATGGGGTTTCACCATGTTGGCCAGGCTGGTCTCGAACTCCTTACCTCAAGTGATCTGCCTGCCTTGGCCTCCCAAAGTGCTGGGATTACAGGTGTGAGCCACCATGCCTGGCCCCCTCTCCCACTTATAAGGACCCTTGTGATAGGATCCACCAAAATAACCCAAGCCACCATCCCTATTTTAAGGGCAGCTGATTAGCAACTTTAATTCTCTCTGCATTCCTTAATTCTATCTACATCCTCTTTGCTATGTAACACAACACATTCATTCATGGATTCTGGAGATTAGGACACAGACATCTTCAGGAAGCCTTTCTATCACAGTTTTGTTTGGAAGAAGATTAATATGATGAATAAGAAAGGGTAGACCGGCTGCTTTGGGAAGGTGGGAAATCTTAGTAGATGACAGAGCCCACTCAGGTGCTCTCTGTTCCCTGAAATATAAAACATAATTTTAACAGGACATTGTAACCTGATACAGGAGTGAGATAGTGGAGAAGTTGAGAATATTGGTTCATAAATTTAAGTGTGCAAGAAAGGTCACATTTCTCTATTTCTTTTCTTTTCTTTTTTTTTTTTTTTGAGGCATTTCACCCAGGCTAGTGTGCAGTGGTACAATCTTGGCCTACTGCAACCTCTGCTTCTCGGGTTCAAGCAATTCTTGTGCCTCAGCCTCCTGAGTAGCAGGGACTACAGGCATGCACCACCACACCCAGCCAATTTTTGTATTTTTAGTAGAGACGAGGTTTCATCATGTTGGCCAGGCTGGTCTTGAACTCCTGGCCTCAAGTGATCCACCTGCCTCAGCCTCCCAAAGTGCTGTGATTACAGACGTGAGCCACTGCTCCCAGCCACATTTCTCTATTTTCTTCAAGTTGACTTAAACTGACTCCAAGTGCCAGCTTGGAGTCTTCCTTGAACTTCCTTACCAGCTTGGCAGGAAACCCAATTTAAATTATTACCAAGGCTCTCTCCTTTCTCCAGAATTCGGGGGCTGCACCTTAAAACAATCATCATCATCAACAACATAACACTACATGCTAGGCATGGTTCTAAGTATTTATATGTATCAACTGATTTAATCCTAACAATAATCCTGAGACAAGGAATGCTACCATCCTCATTTCACAGATGAGGAACCAAGGCCCAGAGAGGTCAGGAACTTGCCCAAGGTCACACAGTTCCAGGCCATTATGGCTGTGGATCTTAGTAGATGACAGAGCCACTTTGTCCTGTCCAAACCCAGAGTGGTCCCTTGAAGGTTCTGTCTCAATGCCATGTGTGGGGTGTGAAAATTATTGCTGGGATGGGGCACTCTGCTGCCTATGCCCATCCCCAGGGCACCATGCAGCCATCAACCCAGCTCTCACCACTTCCTTAGCACTCCCTCCCACTCTGATTGATGTTTTCTCTCTCTCTCTCTTTTTTTTTTTTTTTTTTTTTTGCCTCAGGGAGTTCTGTCTTACTCTTCCAATTGCCACTAAAAATATTTATCATACTCTTTCAACCAACACCAGGAATAGATAATCAAGTAGGTACTTCTGCTTTTGGCCTCTTTGTGCAAAACTTCCCCATGGGAAGGAACACATAGGGACCCAGTTGCTTTCACCAATCTTAGGACCAGGACATTTCAGTGAGAACACACTCACATTAATACTTTGAGAAATCATCCTGTTACACAGGAAGAGCGTGTCCTGCACCTTTGAATTGGTTCAGATACATCCCAGAGCATGGAGAGAGGCTGCAAAGATACCCAAACTCTGCTTGGTCCTCTTTGAGGTATCCTGGAGAAAGCAGCAGGTGCCAGGAGACCGGCAGACATTGAAGCAACTTTCAAAAAACAATTCAACCATTTTTTAAAGTTTAAATTTAAAAATGGAAAAAGAGGTAGATTCCAAAATTGACAACCAAACCTTGGCAAAATCTTCTGAAAAGATTACTAAATATGTAATTTGTAAGCCTTTAGCAGAGGAAATGGTCTGACTTCCTTTAATAATACAGTCATCACCAGACTGGAGGATCAGTGAGGTTTATACTCAAGGAGATTCTGGACTGTAGCAGGGACCTTAACAAAGACTCTTGTTACATCTTCAAGGTCAACATGAAGAAATGCTGTCCAGGTAAAAACTTGGTTGGATTGGTTTATAGCTGGTTCAACAAAAGTCCTTTAAGAGTGTTTGCCAATGGAATTCTATCAAGGGGGCAGAGTGGGCAGGGATCAGGGCATCCTTAAATTGATGTGTACTAGGTAGATCTGGCCTGGCCTTATCACATTCAATATCTGAATAACTCATGTGATGATACAGAAGGCATGTTTATGGAAGTGTAGCTTGCACTGCTGAGCTGAGGGTGGAGTGAAGGAGAGCTCACAGTTCAGATAACTGACTCTCAGCACAGTGCCTGCCACACAACAAGTAGCATCTTCTTCGCGAAGCCTCTACTGACCTGTGTTCGGTGAAACTGAGTACCCCTGAGTGCTTTGTATTTCTCATGATCCTGTTTGTTGTATACGTGTGTGTACACAGGGCCTCTCCTACTAGATATTAGGCTCCTGAAGGGCAGTGACTGCCTTGTTCATTTTTGTATCAGCATCTAGCACAGCGCCTGGCATGTTGTAGGTGCTTAACAAACATTTGTGGAGGGAAAGAAGGAAGGAGAGAAGGAAGAAGGGGAGAGAGGGGGAAGGAAGGAATTAAGTTGACTATTGCTCATCTCTTCCCATATGAAGGGGTTGTGATCATTTATATTGTTGCGTAACAAGCCACCCCAACATTTAGTGGCTTAAAGCAATAATCATTTTATTTTCTCATGATTCTGTGGGTCAGGGATTCAGGCAGGGCTCAGCTGGGTGGCTCTTCTTCTCCACGTTATTGGCTGGGGCCATTTACTTGGCTGTATTTGGCTGGTGGCTTGGCTGGCCTAGAAGGCTTCATTTGCATGGCTGAAGCTTCGGTGCTCCAGCAGGTAGCCTCTCCCCCTCCATGTGGCTTGAACTTCCTCTCAGATTGATGGTCATGGGATGGTTACATTTCTTACCTCACAGCATGTTTTCAAGAGGGAACATTTCAACTGACAAAGACTTATAAGAAGCTGTGAATCTCTTAAGGCCCAGTCTCAGAAGTTACATTATATCATTTCCACTAAGTTCTTTTGGTCAAAAACTGGTCACAGGGCCAGCCCAGATTCACAGGGGAGGGGCTCACTGGGAGGAGTAACTCAGGTTATGTTGCGGGGTGGGGGTGCTCCTAGTGGCTGTGTGATGTGGTGAAACAATCCTAGGCTTTAGAGGCAGGAAACCTGGTTTAAATCTCGCCTCCCTCACTTACCAGGTGTCACGTCACCTAGCTTCTTGAGATGAGGATAACAGCATCACCTCTTTCAGAGTGCTATTGTGAGCCTCGAGTGAGATCCTGCATTTGAAAGTGTTCTACAAAAGCCAGGCCAGTTATTATGAGTGGCAGAACCAGGACTAGACACTGAGCCAGGCTTCTAGCCCACGTCCTTCTCCTCCCTTCACACTCCCCTTAGGAAGAAGCAATAAATACATATTCATTGAGGGCCAGTGGACACAGGCCACCCTCTCTGCGCAGGGATTCTTTCTCATCCTAAATAAGATGCAGGTTATGACATTGCCATGTGACTCAATAGGTCTTGGGCTTCTGTTGCTGAGGACAGGGAATAGGGTTTCCAGGAGAAAGTGGAGTTTTTTGTTTTTGCTAGGGGAGGTGTCTGATTTAAATCCAGGCAGAAAATAAGAGGAGTAAGAGGCTGGGCGTGGTGGCTAACGCCTGTAATCCCAGCACTTTGGGAGGCCAAGACGGGCGGATCACAAGGTCAGGAGATCGAGACCATACTGGCTAACACGATGAAACCCTGTCTTTACTAAAAATACAAAAAATTAGCTGGGCGTGGTGGTGGGCGCCTGTAGTCCCAGCTACTTGGGAGGCTGAGGCAGGAGAATGGTGTGAACCCGGGAGGCAGAGCTTCCAGTGAGCCGAGATTGTGCCACTGCACTCCAGCCTGGGCGACAGAGCGAGACTCCGTCTCAAAAAAAAAAAAAAAAAAAAAAGCAGTAAGAAACATTTCTTTTCAAAAGGCTTTAAACTAACAATGTCCTTACCCTGCAACATCCCCCTAGCCACCCCTCACCCATGAGTAGCACAGAATACATCCTGACCCCACAGCCAGAGCACATTTGCCCAAGACTGTGCCTACAGACAGCCTGGCATGGAGAGGCCAGCAAGGCTGACCAAGTGCCAGCCATTTCAGGGTTAACAAACAAACCTGCCAAAGAGAATTGGGTCATGTGTGTTCTTTCCACAGAGAATGGCTGAACGAGCATTTCTCTCCTAACTGGTTTCCAAGCTTCCCCTGCAGTCTGTTCTCCACACAGCAGCCAGTTATCCCTTTAAACCTTAAGTCAGAACTCTCCAGTGGCCCTTCAGCACATCAGGGTAGAAGCCCACGTCCTCAGCTATGAAGTCCTGCTGGGCCTGGCCTCTCTCTCACTCTCAAATGCTTGCCTTTCCTCCCTCCCTCCCCACCGCTCGTGGAATACGCCAGGCTTTGGGCTTTGCACAGGCTGTCCCCTGCATCTAGAACACTCTTCCTCCAGATATTGGTGTGGCTCACCCTTTCACTTCCTTCAAGTCTTTGCTCAAATTTCACCTTCTCAATGGGGCCCACCCTGACCATCCTATTTAAAACTGTAGCCTAGGGTGGGTGTGGTGGCTCATGGCTATAATCCCAGCACTTTGGGAGGCCTAGGCGGGAAGATCACTTGAGGTCAGTGATTCGAGACCAGCCTGGCCAGCGTGGTGAAACCCTGTCTGTACTAAAAATATAAAAATTAGCTGGTTGTGGTGATGCATGCCTGTAATCCCAGCTACTCAGGAGGCTGAGGCACAAGAATTGCCAGAACCCAGGAGGGGAGGTTGCAGTGAGCCAAGATCATGCTATTACACTCCAGCCTGGGCCTCGCGACAGAATGAGACTCTGCCTCAAAAATAAATAAATAAAATAAAATAAAATAAAATAAAATTGCAGCCTTCAACTTATTACCTTTATTGTCTTTCTCCCTTCACTAGAAGGTAAGCTCTATGAGGGCAGGAGTCTGTTTGGTTCACTGATATATCCCAAAGTGTCTAAAGCAGTTGCTGATTTGTGGTGCTCCCTGAAGTTCTCTGCTGCTATTTCCAGTGCTCCCCTTTCTGGGTACATGGCAGAATTACACTCTCCCTACTCCTCTAAGACAGCCATGTGATTTGGTTTGGTTCCTGAAATGAAAATTAAAGTAACTTGGTACTTCCAGCAGGAACGTTTAAGAACCAATGTGTGACTTGCTCTGATTCCCCCTTCGTCCTGTTATTGATGGGTGATACCTCCCAGGGTGGTGGGGCTTTGTCAGCCCTCATCCCTCAGTGAGGAGCAGGTGGAACAGAGCCCCTGGAACCTGAGATGGACAGCGAGCATTGGCAAGAAACGGACTTTGCTGGCCAGGTGTGGTGGCTCACACCTGTAATCCCAGCACTTTGGGAGGCCGAGGCAGGTGGATCGCCTGAGGTCAGGAGTTTAAGGTCAGCCTGGCCAATATAGTGAAACCCCATCTCAACTAAAAAAATACAAAAAATTGTCTGGCCATGGTGGTGGGTACCTGTAATCCCAGCTACTTTGGGAGGCTGAGGCCGAAGAATCACTTGAACCTGGGAGGTGGAGGTTGCCATGAGCCAAGATCGCACCACTGCACTCCGGCCTGGGCAACAAGAGTGAAACTCTGTCTCACAAACAAAAGAAAGGGACTTTGCTGCTGTGAGTTACTGAGATAGTGGGGATGTTTGTTATTACAGAATAACCTAGCTCATCCTGACTGATGCAGTAGGCCCTCAATTAATATTTAATAAATTGACAATGAATCCTTTTGCAGTCCTCATAAAATCCTGAGTTAAAAGAGCCCCACTCTAGGTACTCATATATGTATATATATACACACACACACACATATATATATGTGTATGTACATATATATGTATATATTATAAATAATAATTATGGCTATTTTTTGAGTGGCAAGCACTTAAAATTTTGCAAGTCACAGTTCTAAGCATTTATCATTTACTTCCCCACTTAATTCTCTCAATAACCCTATGAGATAAGCGCTATTATCATTTCCATTTTTCAGATGAGGAAACTGAGGCCCAGAGAGGTCAGGAAAGAGGTTAGTGTCAGCCACTGGACTCCACTTGAATTTAACCAACATTCTGGAGCTCATAGTGGGTGAACCCAGGCAAGCAGCCCCCAGGGGGCCGCAGTCGAGGTGTGCCACCTGGCCGGTGGAATACCTGTGGTCACCATTTCCTCTGCCAATGGATGTGCAGCCCCTGGGTGGAGAGCAAGCAGGGGTGTGGGCTCAGTGGCAGGGAGGGGGAAGACACTTGGCTTATATGCCATGTAGGGTGTTGGGTCACATGGATGCCTCAAGTCTGGTTAACATGTTAGGATGTTTTAAGTGCTTTGGCTTCCAGTAAAATTTCCCCAAAATGTACTTTTGGGGGAAAAAACACCCAATCAGAAAAAAAAAAATCCAACCCCCTTCCTTGCCCTTTAATTTTTAAATCCATGTGTATTCTTTGGGAAAATTCAGTCCATATGTTTCTCAGTCTTTTATACATTGAAATGTTTCCTAGGGAGTATTTGACTTCCAAAAGCCTCAGAACCTCCCCTCTCTTTCCTGTCCCTGTCTTCTGCATTACCCCATCTCTCCCAACACTTTCGGAACAGGAATTCACATCCTGGCAAAGGCAAACTGTGGGGGAAGCACTCAGGCTATACTCAAAGAAGTCAGAAGCCTGAATGGCCCTGGGCCACTGAGATGCCCAAAGCAGCATCCCCCAGGGCCTGTCACCTCCGAGCCTCATAGCAGATCAGGCTGGACGCTCTCGTCCTTCCCATGTGAGTCCCACTCCACTCCCTGCACACTTCTTTTGGAACGATGGATGCCGGAGTTAGGACAGCCAGAAAGTACAAAGATGCATGTGAAACCAGATGGGGAGTCACATTTTGTTGGGGGCTGGATCTTGGGTGCATGAGAGTCTCATAGCTCTGCCCACTTCTGATGGTGACTCTTCCTGAGGGAGGGGTGGGTGGCAGGGGGTGTGTGTGTGCAGTGCAGCAGGTCTGAAGTGCAGGCTGCACCGGGGCTTTAAGCCAAGCTGCAGGAGGTGGAAATAATAATAATTATTAATGCTTGCCATTTGAGTAGCACTTCATAGTTTAAAAAATGCTGTCAGCACTTTGATGTAGCCAGTTTTTTGGAGCCAGAAAACTTCGATTTGGATTATTTGTCCTAGCTGTGCAACCTGGGCAAATCGTCTCATCTTTCTGAGCCTCAATTTATCCTGCTGTGAAATGGGAACGATAACGATTCCTGCCTCATACGTTAGCTGTGCGTCTCCTGAGGAAACGTCAGTGAACACCCTTTCAAGCTGTGAAGTGCTAACAGCTAAGGTGCTGCTGTGGAGGTGACGCCGCCACTCAGTCTCAAACCTTGATGCGCAGGGGCATGGCCTGCTCAAGGATGACAAATGAATTTTCAACTTTCCATTCTTTATTTTAATCTAAAAAGGAAAACAGATGGTACCACTGTCTGGCTTCTTGGGTGCTCCCCATGGTCAAAAATATGTGTGGGTCTCCAGATTCTGGATGCCGGGGCCATTTCCAGGAGGGACCATGGAGCCTCCTTGGGGAGAGCTCGTCCTAAGGGAAGAAGGCAGGGCATGGGTGTCTGATAGAGAGAGGTGGCTTTGAGTGCCTCTGGGGAATCAGACCAAAAGACAAAAAGGATGGAATGGTTTCCATGGGTGCTCCCTGAGCCCCCAGGAGCACAGGGCAGCTGAGCAGAGGCTCACATAAAGAGGCTGTATTAGTACGTTTTCATGCTGCTAATAAAGACATACCTGCGACTGGGCAACTTACAAATGAAAGAGGTTTAATGAACTCACAGTTCCACGTGGCTGGGGAGGCCTCACAATCATGGCAGAGGGTGAGAGTCACATCTCACATGGCAGCAGACAAGAGAAGAATGAGAGCCAAGCGAAAGGGGTTTCCCCTCATAAAACCATCAGATCTCATGACAGTTATTCACTACCACAAGAACAGTGTGGGGGAAGCGGCCCCCATGATTCAGGTATTTCCCCCTGGCTCCCTCCCACAACACGAGGGAATTATGAAAGCTACAATTCAAGATGAGATTTGGGTGGGGACGCAGAGCCAAACCATATCAGAAGTCTAGCATGGAGACGCCTCAGCAGCCACCCACAGTGCCCCCGTGTCCCTCCCTGGGCTCGGTGGTAGACAACTTTGCAGGGAATGGGAGGAGGCACAGCAGGGGTGGGGCAGGCACCACAGTACTGTCCCGACATGCATTGACACAACCCCGAGGACTCTGAGGATAATGGGGTATTGACGTGGGCGTCCCATAACAGCGGGTGGAGGCAGACTGGGAAGCGCTGTTGATCCTGCGACTGTGACCTTATTTGGCTCAGGATCATGTGTTTGGGAAGTTGGGTCCCCAAGACAGAGCTCGAAAGCCTTAGCATCACACATGAGGTGTGGCTGGGTCCTTGTCTGTGCCTCCCTCCGCAGCATCCCGGTCCTGCCTTTTACAGCTCTGTGTCTTTGCCCAGTCTGCTCCTTGGCCTGAAGATTCTCCTCCTGGAAACTTTGCCCCAGACAACACACACATGAACACATGGTACACTTGGGGTGCAGCCTTCCACGTGTACTGCTGGCCTTTTCTACTGCTGGCCTTTTCTGATCCTTTGCTAAAATGCACCCCCGCCACCCCTGCCCCCCGCGCCTCCAGCAAGCCACCTTCAGCCCAGCACCAACAACTATACCTGGCTCCTTGAGAGCAGGCCTCGTGTCCAACTCCTCTTTCCCTCAGGGCCCAGCACAGTGCTTGATCAATACTGGTGCAAAGCATGTATAAAAATGAATTAATAGGTGGAGAGGATGAGGGACTCACCCAGGATTCAGACCAAGATCAAAACCCACATCTTCTGAAGGAACAGCATTTCTGTGCTCTCGCCCTTCTAGCTGCCTCCGGGGCTCCTGTGGAGGGATGATGGCCTGGGACACACGGCCCCACGAGCCCTGTTTGCAGCCAGCACTCTCATTCAGCCTGGGGTGGCCAGGACAGCAAGCGCCCAACCTGCATCACTCCAGCCAGGGCGCACCGGCCCGTTGCAGGGGCCTCAGCTTTGCAAGCTGCCCTGGGCATCCCTGGCCGCTCCTGGCTTTGATTCTACTCAAGGTTCTCAAGGGATGTCTTTCTGAGCAGGAATGAAAGTCTGACAAGACTGAGGAAGTGGCAGCCAGTGTGATGCAGGCCTGCTGAGGAGATGCCTCCAGCTGAGAGGCGTTTTTGCTGTACATTAAGATCACCTGGGGAGCTTTGAAACCCACCAATGCCCAGGCTCCTCCCACTTTATCAATTATGTCAGACTCTCTGGGGGTGGGACGCAGGCATCAGTCTTTACAACTCCCCAAGTGACTCCAATGTGTAACCAAGTTTGAAAAAAGATGATCTAGAGAACTTTAAAGAAATGCCCATGTCCTGGTCTCACCCCTAGATTAGGCTGTCTCTGAGCCGGGCGTGGTGGCACATGCCCGCAGTCTCAGCTACTCACAGGAGGCTGAGGTGGGAGACTCACTTAAACCCAGGAGTTCGAGTCCAGCCTGGGCAACATAGTGAGGCCCCTGTTTCAGAAAATAAAAAATTAAAAAATGTTATGCTCTCTCTGGATGTCTGGGCATCATTTCATGTGGTGTTAATAGGTCTCCAGGTGATCCCAATGTGTAGATGAGGCAAGAACCGCTCATCAAGCCTGAAGCACTCATCGTGCCGATGGAATCTGCAGCCTAGAGAGATCAAGGCACTTGCCCGAGGGCATGTACTACCCAGAAGGACCAGGACATGAGCCCAGCTCCAGGCTCCTGGATCCTAATCCAGTGTTCTTCCTGTCACAAGGCAGAGGACACACATGGGGACTCCTTCTAGCTACTCATTTCAGTTTAGGTGTTGGGTTGCCACATTTAGTATAAACAGGTTGCAAAGCTGCTCTTGATCAGAGAGCTTACGCAGGGTGACCTATCTACTCCCCTCGACTTTTATCAAACCCAAGGGCAAATCCTTTGGAGAGATATTACCCAGCTCTGGGAACAGTTAGAGTTCTTGTGGCATGACTACTGACACAGATGGTGATGTTAAAATGCAAACTTATACTGGGTAAAACTGGAAGAAAGAACAATTCCCAGAGGAATTTTCTGGGCTGCACACACCCTGGGGTCTCCTGGAACCTGCCTGGGGTCTCTAGTGTCTTTTTTTTTTTTTTTTTTTTTTTTTTGAGATGGAGTTTTGCTTGTCGCCCAGGCTGGAGTGCAGTGGCGTGATCTTAGCTCACTGCAACCTCTGCCTCCGGGGTTCAAGCAATTCTCCCGCCCCAGCCTCTGGAGTAGCTGGGATTACAGGTGCCTGCCACCACGTCCAGCTAATTTTTGTATTTTTAGTAGAGACGGGGTTTTACCATGTTGGCCAGGCTGGTCTCGAACTCCTGACCTCAGGTGATCCACCCACCTCAGCCTCCCAAAGTGCTGGGATTACAGGCATGAGCCCCCGCGCCTGGGCTCTAGTGTCTTTTGTCCTGATTCATAGCACTTTTTTCTGTCCTTCCTACCACGTGGTTCAGTGGGAGCATCGTGGACTTGGAACAGGCTGCCTGGGTTTCCTGCCACCTCCACCAAAAATAAGTGTGAAAGCCAACATGTACTGAGTACTTGCCAGGTGCAGGCACTGTACTTTCAGATCCATGACCTCTCTTCATACACAGGAGAATTAATACTCAGGTAGAGATCATTAAATGCCCATTTCACAGACGAGAAAACTAATATTAATAGTTTGCTCCAGGTTACCTGGGTAGTAAGTGATAGAGCTGGGATCTCAGCTGAGGATGCAAAGTCCATGCTTTCTCCCCTAAAGCACCCCGACCCCCAGCATGGGTCCTACCCAGACAAAATCCTCCTTGTCTTTTTTTGTTGTTGTTTGTTTGTTTTGAGACAGTCTCGGTCTGTCGCCCAGGCTGGAGTGGAGTGGTGTGACCTCAGCTTACTGCAACCTCCGCGTCCCAGGTTCAAGTGATTCTTCTGCCTCAGCCTCCCAAGTAGCTGGGATTACAGGCACCTGCCACCATGCCTGGCTAATTTTTTGTATTTTTAGTAGAGATGGGATTTCACCATGTTGGCCAGGCTGGTCTCAAACTCCTGACCTCAGGTGATCTGCCTGCCTTGGCCTCCCAAAGTGTTGGGATAACAGGCGTGAGCCACCACCGCTAGCATTTTTTTTTTTTTTTAAAGGCAGAGTCTCGTTATGTCACTCAGGCTGGAGTGCAATGGTGCCATCTTGGCTCACTGCAACCTCTGCCTCCCGGATTCCAGCGATTCTTGTGCCTCAGCCTCCTGAGTAGCTGGGACCACAGGCACACACAACCACATCTGACTAATTTTTGTATTTTTAGTCGAGACAGCATTTCGCCATGTTGGCTAGGCTGGTCTTGAACTTCTGGCCTTGAGTGATCCTCCTGCCTTGGCCTCCCAAAGAGCTGGGATTACAGGCAGGAGCCACCATGTCTGGCCCCTCCTTGTCTTTTGAGACCTCAGTGACTCGCTTCCTGCCCTTTTAACCCACACTGTAGCTTGGACTGACCCTGGTCTCTCTGTGTGTCCCATGGAATGGGGCAACTGAGGATTGGGTACCATCTCTAATTTACCTCTTGACTGCTGGGCACCTGGCCCATAGGAGGAGCCCAGAAAACTGTGGTGCCTTCTATGGCCACCTGGGCCCCCGGTGCCCGAATTCTCCGCCCTGTGAGGGCACATGCCAGGTGCTGAGGCAGCAGAGACCTTGCTCCACTCTGCCCTGTCCCAGACCTCATCTCCTAGAGTTTCCTCTTAAATTTAAGAGGTCTCCTTCCCAGGAGGCTTCTTTCAGATCCAAATATACAACCAGGGGAAGGTAACTCCAAGCCATGATCATCTTGACATGAACTTACTTGGAATAGGACAGAGGACTGGCATTTTTATTTTTATATGACATTTTTATTATTAACATAACTTTGCAGTAACATTAAGGGAATTTAAAAGCATGCCAATGCATAACCCCTTCTACTCCTCTTACACAATTGTTTTCATTTATCTGTGCCCCTTTCTAACTTTAGTCAGAGAAATACACATTTTTTTACTTATTTCTAATCACAGTGTTTATAAACAATCTTATGTTCTGCTTATTTTACTTAGAACCAGCTTATAAATGTGTTTTGAGACATTTGTCTTCATGTTGATGCATTCTTACATCTGTAGAGTCTTCTATAACATTTTTTATGCTGTAGTTAAATTGTTCCTCAATAGTTGAAGATCGAGGCTCATTTTATAAATAATTTTGTGATGAATATCTTTGTACACACATTTTTCTTTTTGGGGGGAATTATTTCTTCAGGTATGTTTTGGAGGGGCAGGGAGGCCAGCACTGGTGAGGAGACCCATGAGATTGGAAGGGGTGTGTGGGGAGGAATGGAAGGTCGAGGAAGGGAAGGAAGAGAAATATTTGCTCACACAGCAGCTTCCCATCCACCAGCTGACAGGCAGTTACACGTACCAGACATCACTAGGAACTTCTGTGCCGTCTCTGGCTCTGAAAACCTTTGCCCTCTTCCCTGCCTACATTTATACAATTTGGCCATGAGAAAAGACCTCACCTGTGAACCCTACTTATTTAGAGCACAAGGCTGCGGAGCAGTGCATGCATCTATTTGTGCTTGAAGAAGAGAACAGAGGCTGGGTGCAGTGGCTCACACCTATAATCCCAGCGGTCGGGATGCCAAGGTGGGTGGATCGTTTGACTCCACGAGTTTGAGACCAGCCGGGGCAATATGGCGAAACCCCATCTCTACGTAAAATAAAAAATTAGCCAAGCGTGGTGGTGCACACCTGTAGTCCCAGCTACTGGGGAGGCTGAGGTGGGAGGCTAGCTTGAGCCCAGGAGGTTGAGGCTGGAGTGAGCTGAGATTGCACTACCGCACGTCAGTCTGGAGAACGGAAGGAAGCATGAGCTGGTCTTGTTTTCCTTATGAAGGTTGGGCTGAGGATGGAATGTAATACATGCAGAAATGCCCGCTTAGACCTATTGAGGAAGTACCGTGTGCTGGATGCTAAGTACTTTGTGCAAATGATCTCACTGCATGCTCCCACGCAGCGAGGCGGGTGTCGCACATCCTCTCTAGGCGCTGGTCGGTGGTGATCACAAGGTTTAATCCACATATGTCTGACTTACTTCACTTCCAAGCCCTAGTGAGCAAGGAAGATTTAAGTCATTTCCCAACAACTTCAGGAGGCAGCTGGAACTCTAGCCCACACCCCCACCCAGGCTGGAAGAGAGGCTGTGCTGTCGGTGGCGGCGGGGTGGCAGTGAGGTGGCAGGCAGAAGTGCCTGGGAGACCTGAGGAAGACAGCAGCGAAGTCGGCTCGAGGATGTTCTCTAAATGCCGAAGAGGAATTTCTCATCCTTCCAGTTGGGGCTGTAATTGTTAACGCACACGTTCGCCGCTGCCTGTGTCAGAAGCTGCTGGAAGGCAGGGTGTGGTCACATTCTACCTTGGTCCTGAGCGGTGACCAGGACCCAGTCACTGTGGGCTGGAAGCAATGACGGCCAAGCTCAGCTGTGAGGACAGGTGGGGTCCCAGGAGGTGTAAGGAAATGGGAAGGGCACCCCCAGCAGGGGAGAGAGTATGAGCTCAGGCTGGGAGAGGGGAATGAGCCTGGAGTGTGACGGGGCCAGGAGGAGATGGAACTCTCGAGGTTAGGTCCCTACTGGGGAAAGGTGAGAAAGAAGGCTGGGAACAAGGCCCCTGGGTGAGCTTTTGGCCTTGGGAACGATCCTTCTCTAGGTCTGATTTTCTCTGGCTCAGAGCCGAGAACAGCGATGGGCCCAGACAGCTGATTACATTTGGCACTTTCTTGCAATCAGGAAAGGGGAAAAAATAACCCAACGCTAGATTAGGTAAACAACCAGGATCCAAGTTGCCACGTCCAGACCCTGAGTGAAAACAGGCTGCAGTTCAAACAACACTCCCAGATGAGCACAGTCCTGCGGATGCTCCGAGGGAGGGAGGCGGTGGTGCCTTCTCTGCGGGTGGGGCCCAGATGCTGCCCTGGCCAAGGCGAAGTCTTGGGGGGCAGGTGGTGCTTGGGCCAGACCCGTCCCACAGCACCCCCACAGCACCACCAAAATTGCTGCATGGGAGGTGGGAGAAGATCTTTCCTCTGCAAACCCTCCTCTATTCCTCACCCCTACTGTCCCTCCAGACACTCCAGAACCTACCAGGAAACCCTGGGAGGCAGAGACCATCTTTTGGAATCGCCAGGGCTTGCTCTAGAAGCCTCTGTGGCCTAGATTCTAGGTCCCCAACCTTGTTCTCTAGAGCTGGCAGTGGAGAGACATGGTCAGCCCTCTCTCTGAGTCCCACCTCCTGGGCCGTTTGCTAATTTGGGTTGGAACTCTGGTGTTAAGTAAAAACACCAGGGATTCCTGGCAAGGACTCACACAAAATGAGAATGAGAAGTGCCTCCAAGTCTTCCCAAGCCGTGTAAGCAAACAACCCAAGCTGTTGACGGCCTCTGGAGAATACTCCTTGGCAACAGACAGCTCCAAACCACCTGCCTGAGCTTGGGAGCTTCCTCGGCCTGTGGTTTGTGTTAGACATCCTATCCCATGCATCCAACAGACAGCTGGATATTTCCATCTGAATGGAGACACCTCAAGCTCAAGGTCAAAACCAAGCTGACTCCAGGCCCTTCAGGTGTCTGTGTCTCCCACTGTTCTCTCCCTGGGCTGGCACCTCCTTCCACCTGGAGACTAGGGCCAGGGACATGGGATGCACCTTGATCTCCTCTGTCCAGACACCAAATAATCCCCAGCTCCATGTCCTCCTCTCCACCTCTACTGCTGCCTCCCTGGTTCAAGGCTCTCATTCTGGACGGCCGCAGCCCACTCTTTTTTTTTTTTTTTTTTTTTTTTGAGACGGCGTCTCACTCTGTCACCCAGTCTGGAGTGCAGTGGCACAATCTCGGCTCACTGCAAGCTCCGCCTCCCCGGGTTCCTGCCATTCTCCTGCCTCAGCCTCCCAAGTAGCTGGGACTACAGGCGCATGCCACCACACCTGGCTAACTTTTTGTATTTTTAGTAGGGACGGGGTTTCACCATGTTAGCCAGGATGGTCTCGATCTCCTGTCCTCGTGATCCGCCCGCCTCGGCCTCCCAAAGTGCTGGGATTACAGGTGTGAGCCACCGCGCCTGGCCCTGCAGCCCACTCTTGAGTGACCTTCCTGCTTCTCTGTCCTGACCTCTGTCCTGTCATCCAGCCTTGACCCAGCTACAGGGGCGTCCGTGCAAAATACAAAGTTGATCATGCACCCACCCCCATTCCCATAGAATATATGCTGGAGAAAGCAGTTGAAAACCAAATCCTTGTAGGGCAGCCTTCTTACAAGAGTAAAGTGGTGGCACTGTTTCTGCTAGTCAGAAAATAATCTCTGTCCAGCTTCCTTCCCCTGACAGGAAGGGATGGGGAGAAAAGGTAAAGGCTGAATTTATGGCTTCTTATTTAGGTCTGCATGGAGAAGGTCTTAGTGGCCTCTGAAGGCTCATACTGTGAGAAATGTGGGTGGAACCCACCAGGCACGCTGTGTTAAGTTGGAAAGAGTAGTATGAACACAACCTTACAAGTAAATATGTTTCTGTCTCTGTTGCCACCAAAGCAGCACGCTTACCCCGTTTCCCCACCTTCCCTGCTCCACGCTCACATGCAGCCAGCACTCAGATTGTGATCTTTAATAGCATTCTCCATTAAAAGGAACCAGGATTATTTGGAGGAGAGTTGATTCCATATCTTGAAGCAGGAAACAATCAGAATGGGTCTGGAACATCTTGTTGCCAGGAGGTAAGGATGTTTTCAGGAAGTCAGGTGCAGCACTGCCAGGACAAAGGAGTCAAACCAAGGGCGCTCTGGAGCCACGCCTTGGCATTTGGACATTAATTGGAACAGGCTGAGCTAAAGACAGACTGGATTCATTACAATCCTCAAAAAACTTTAAGTGTACAGAGAAGTGGTTGGAGATTAAAAGGAGGCTGGATCTAATGGGATATGTTCATTCGTATTGACTTTTTTTTTTTTTTGAGACAAAGTCTCGCTCTGCTGCCTAGGCTGGAGTGCAGTGGTGCCGTCTCGGCTCACAGCAACCTCCTCCTCACAGGTTCAAGCGATTCTTCTGCCTCAGCCTCCCGAGTAGCTGAGATTACAGGCATGCACCACCACACCCGGCTAATTTTTGTATTTTTAGTAGAGACGGGGTTTCACCTTGTTTCCCAGGCTGGTCTTGAACTCCTGACCTCAGGTGATCCGCCCACCTTGGCCTCCCAAAGTGCTGGATTACAGGCATGAGCCTCCACACCTGACTGTGTATTGACTTTCATAAGTAGGGCATTTCCTATGAACAGGTCTTTTGTTTTTTCTGTTAATTGCTTATCTGTATATAAAGATAGATCTGTGTTTGTCTCTGCTGTGTAAGCAGGAAAGAAGAAATGCAGGGAACTCTGAGTCAGCAGATTTGTTTGGGGGAAAAGTAGGCACTGTCCTAGGACAGGGTTTCTCAGCCTGGGGGTCACACATGACAACTGGGTAAAGAAGGGTCCCTCATGTGTTCCCAATGGGCCTGGAGAGAAGCACAAACTTCACGGACTCCATGCCTCCTCCCTTAGCTGATGAAACTTCACGATGGCCCCTACAAATTATTATACAACACCAATGAGGACACACACGTTTTTAATAATCTAACAGCCCAGGTCACCAATATATCATGATGACAGGGCAATGGACTGTGTAACGCTGCCAAGTGAGATGTGAACTCATCTCATTCCAGGGGGAAAATTCAATGTTGCAAAACCCAGACACCTTTCCAAAAGGTGTGGACTTTAAAAGTCTTAGTGAAGTAACAAGGTTTAATGATGAAAAGGGAGCTCCCCTTATTTGAATCGTCTTGGACTTTGCAGCCCAGCCTCATATCCTTACCCAGAATCAACTGTTCAACCACCCAGACTCTGCAATCCCAGCAGTTCGAGGTGGTTCTTTTTCTTCTTCTTGTGGTCTGGTAAGATTGTTAAAAACCCTAGGAAGGTAAAAATAGTACTTGGTAAAAATCACTGAAATCCTAGGAAGCTGTCAAAATTGGCACCCCAGGAAGGTGTGGAACTTAGGATAAAAAACAAAGCGAAATCCACTGTATTAACACTTTTATAACAGGCTTTGCTGTAAGGGTATTAAACAGTTCAGAATCATGACTTTTTTTGAGTTTTATATATTTAATATCTTTAAAGTAGTTAAGAGGAGCTGCTCTTTATGAATTTAATTAAATGTTTGGTTGGAGGTGTTTGCTTAAGTTTGCAATCAAGCTAAATATTTGTGAAAATCCAATTTGCTAAATTCATGATTTTTTTTTTTTTTAAAGGGACAGGGTCTCACTCTGTCACCCTGGCTGGAGTGCAGTGGTGTGATCATGGGTCACTACAGCCTCGAGCTCCTGGGCTTAAGTGATCCTGCCACCTCAGTCTCCTGAGTAGCTGGGATCACAGGCTTGTGCCACCACATCTGGCTAATTGTTTTTTTGTTTTTTTTAAGAGATGAAGTCTTGGCTGGGCACGGTGCCTCATGTCTGTAATCCCAGCAATTTGGGAGGCTGAGGCGGGTGTATCACTTGAGGCCAGGAGTTTGAGACCAGCTTGGCCAATGTGACGAAACCCTGTCTCTACTAAAGACACAAAAATTAGCTGGGCATGGTGGTGCATGCCTGTAGTCCCAACTACTCAGAAGGTTGAGGCATGAGAATGCTTGAACCTGGAAGGTGAAGGTTGCAGTGAGCTGAGATTGTGCCACTAAACTCCAGCTTGGGCGACAGAGTGAGACTCTGTCTGAAAAAAATAAATAACTAAAACAAAAAATAAAAAAGAGATGAGGTCTTTTTTATATTGTCCAGGCTGGTCTCAAACTCCTGGGCTCAAGGGATCCCTCCGCCTCGGCCTCCCAAAGTCCTGTACTGGGATTGCAAATGTGAACCACCACACCTGGTCATGATTTTTTTTTTTTTCTTTCCCAAGATGGAGTCTCGCTCTATTGCCCAGGCTGGAGCATGATCTCGGCTCACCGCAACCTCCGCCTCCCAGGTTCAAGTGATTCTTCTGCCTCAGCCTTCTGTGTAGCTGGGACTACAGGCATGCACCACCACGCCCGGTTAGTTTTTGTATTTTTAGTAGAGACGGGGTTCCTCTATGTTGGCCAGGCTGGTCTCAATTTCCTGACCTCGTGATCCACCCACCTCAGCCTCCCAAAGTGCTGGGATTACAGGCGTGAGCCACTGCGCCCGGCCAATTTTGTTTTTTTAATATACTGTATTTTGTAGAGCAATGTTAGGTTCACAGCAAAGTTGAGCAGAAAATACAGAGAATTCCCATATATGCCCTGCCCTCACACACAATCTCCTCCACTGTCAACTTCCCAAATCACAGTGGTACCTATACTGACGCGGCATCATCACCCAGAGTCCATAGTTTACATTACCATTCACTCTTGGTGTTGTACATTCTATGAGTTTGGGAAAATGTATAATCACATGTATCCACTATTACAGTATCACACAGAATATTTTCACTGCCCTAAAAATCCTCTGTGCTCCATCTATTCATCCTTCCCTCACCCCTAGTCCCTGGCAACGACTGTTCTTTTTACTGTCTCCATAGTTTTGCCTTTTCCAGAATGTCATATCGTTGGAATGATACAGTATATGGGCTTTGCAGTCTTCTCCATGCCTTTTCGTGACAGCTCATTTGCTTTTATCACTAAATAATATTTCACTGTCTGGGTATACCACAGTTTAGCCATTCATTTACTGAAGGACATCTTGGCTGATTCCAAGTTTTGGCAATTATGAATAAAGCTGCTGTAAACATCTGTGTGCGGTTTTTTTTTTTAAATGGACATTAATTTGCAATTTATTTGGGTAAATACCAAGAGGCATGATTGCTGGGTCATACAGAAAGAGTATGTTTAGTTTTATAGAAACTGCCAAAGTGTCTCCCAATGTGGCTGTACCATTTTGCATTCCCACCAGCAATGAATGAGAGTTCCTGTTGCTCCTCATCCTTGCCAGCATTTGGTGTTTTTGGATTTTGGCCATTCTAATAGGTGTGAAATCGGACCTTGTTTGAAATACGTGTTTGATGTACTAGCTATGTAGTGTGTGAATATTTAGAGTAATGTTCATAGTTTAAGGAGTGATGATTGTTAAAAATGCATAAGATTAATAAATGGGCATTGAGCCAGGTGTAAACAGTAGTTGGTATTCCTCTCCATGCCTGGGAATTCTACAGATTTGCAGCGCCTTGAATATGACATGAACAGTGCAGGACTGTGTACCAGGTGGAGGTGGCTAGGGACCACATTCTCTCCATGGTAGTATTTTGAGGGAGTGTCAAGGGAAGATGGGTCAATCAAGGTTGGAGAGGGTGGACACAGGACTTGGGGCGGAGGTGGCTAGGGAGGGCCGCATTGCTCTCTATGATGGACTAGAAGCATTTTGAGGGGAGTGTCAAGGAGAAAAGGGTCAACCAAGGTTGGAGAGCATGGGGGAAAAGCAATATGGCAGAAGATCAAAGCCCAGGATTGTGTCAATGGCCAAGGAAAAATTTAATAGGGTGTTTAATATTTCATTTGATGTGAGTAGCATTGCTGTGATGTGAACCTTCTTTGTTTTTATAAGTTGGCTACACTATAAATGCCTTACGTGAGTGGTTTTTATGAAACTCCAGGAAAAATGTCCATGCCTGCATCCATGAGGGACAGAAAGAAGGAACAGCCATGGGCAGGGGGAGGTGAGTGAGACTGAGATACTTGTGGCAACAGCCTGAAGTGACTTCATTAATGTGGTTCCCCTCCCTCCAAGGACTGCTTAGGGATGTTGTGACAAGGAAGTGGGTGAAAAGGTAACAGGTGACATATGATGCAGGCGTGTTCGAGCCAGCCCTTATCAGCTTGCAAGTTGATTGTTAAATTTGCAGGAATTTTGGTGAGCCAGATATTAAACCATTGGTAGAGTGAAGTCAACCACAATGGGAGGTATTCTAATATTAACACCACAGAAACTGGTACAAACATTACAAATCAGCACTCGCCCCCCCCACCCCCTGTCCACAGCCTGTTAAACATTGACCAGCACACCACCACATATGAGGCCATTTCTTTTCTTTTTTTTCTCCCTTTTTAGAGATAGGGTCTCGCTCTGTCACTCAGGCTAGAGTACAGTGGCTCTACTGTACTCTACTGTTTGAGCTCACTGTAGCCTCAAACTTCTTGTCTCAAGCAGTCCTCCCACCTCAGCCTCTGGAGTAGCTAGGACTATAGGCATGTGCCACCACACCTCACTAATTTAAAACTTTTTTTTTTGTAGAGATGGGGTCTTGCTATGTTGCCCAGGCTGGTCTCAAACTCCTGGCCTCAAGCAATCCTCCAACTTTGGCCTCCCAAACTGCTGGGACTACAGGCGTGAGCCACTGTGCCCAACCGTGAGTCCATTTCTGATCTTGCTCCCATCCTTTTTCCAGGCTCATTTTGTGTTACTTCCTGTTTTCACCCAGATGCCAAAGCAGTCACAATTTCTACCTCCTGGTCTTCTGCAAATACACTGCCCTTACCCTGGCTCCTTTCCAGTTTTCAACTGAAATATCACCTCCTGGGGCTGCTGCCAGCACAGACAGTGCTTGAACACCTTAGGAAAAGGTGTCTGACCCCATGGGGCCCCTCCTTGTGCTCCCCTCCCATCCTCTCCCCTACAGTTTGAGGTCCTTGAGTTGGGCCTGCACATTCACTCATTTCTGAATGAGGAGAGCCTGGTGTGGACCGGACCCTCTCTCAGCTTCTGCAGAACTAATCTCTCCTGGTAGTTTTGTGCCTCAAGGACAGTCATGGTGGGACCAAGTGGCGGCTGATGCCGTCTTTGAAGTTAGAGGGAAAAGTCTGCAGAGCTTCCCTGGATGAGGCGAGGTGAGGGGCAGCAGGGGGCGCGTGCGGATGACAGGGAATTAAAGAGAAGACCCCTCATGTGCTGAGGCCTGAAGCTCCACTCCGGTGTGGCAGGATTTCTGGCCTGCGCCTGCCTCTATTGTGGAGGGAGGAACCAATATCACAGCGTGAACTGGTCCCCAGGGCTCTGGGATGGCTCCAAGGTGTCCCTGCATCAGACCACGCTGTCTCTGGGCCGCCCTCTGTCTCTGCTGTTGCTCCCGGTCAGAGCCATTTTCTGACTTGTCGGCAGGACTGGAAATGGTGACTTGAATGAAAAATTCAAGCTGCAGGGAAAATTTTTAGGGCTGCAGAGAGAACTGCTCTCGGGGCTTTTACAAGGCTCTCTTTTCCCAAAGACGGCGCCATCCCAGAGCATTTAAAACTTGTCCCTGCCCTCAGCTCCACCAACTCCTGTTAGAAGGGAGGGGAGGGAAGATGAAGAGAAACACAGGGGAAGATGCCTGCTGAGTCAGCCCTGGGAACCGAAAGACAGAGCCGGCCCCTGCACGCCCTGCCTCCCCTCGGTTCACCAAGGACAGGCAGCAGTCAGGAGGGGCTGCCAGAGACTGTGCCCTCACACCCGCTTCCTTACTCGGAGCAGCGCCCATCACAAACCCTATTGACTTTAGAATGCTGTGTATTGCTTAAAAATCCGTACTGATGCAAGCCAGTCTTCCTAAGGGTGGTCACTGTCGCCATCCCCAGCAGGAGAGTGCTTCGGGAACCAAGAAAGTAAGCGTCCACGCCCGCCTGGTGCAGCAGAGAGGAGTCCTGCCCAGGTGCCTGGCCCGTCCCAGGCTTGGTTGGGACATGCGCTTCAGCTACCTTACCTCTCTGGTTTCAGATTCCCCTCTGAGTGGCCAAGATTTCTTTTCCTGGAAAGCCGAGCACCTGTTTTTCCCGAGCCTCTGGTGCCCAAGCCATCACCACTGCTTTCCTGGGAACCACTCCAGGGTGGTTGACTTGGTACCTTGCAGAAACCCTTTTGCTCAAAAAAAAAAAAAAAAAAAAAAATCTACCTCTGAGCCAGGCGTGCCTGCCAGGAGAGACCTGGGAATATGAAATTCCTTAGAAGGTTTGCTCTGAGGCTGAAAGCAACTAAATGGCTGAATGGGATCATGTGGAGCTTCTTGTCCTTCTAACCTGAGAAACTCAAGCATCACATATTTTCTTGTATCTTCTTTCTCCCTTTTCTACTTAAGACTAAAATAGGTGCTCAAATAGGCGACCGTCCTGCTGCCTCCATCGAAACACACTATGGCTCTAAGACGCAAAGATGCAACTCTTTTTGTGACTCGTGGACATGGGGTCATCCCTCAGTGCTCATTGTGCTCTTGACATAAATGATGACCCTGCAAACAGCTACTGGGTGCTGCCTATAGGCCAGCATTGTGTTAAGCAGTGTACAGGCACCATCTCATTTAATCATTTCAACTACGTTGTGAGGAAGGGAAGTATTATTTTTGTCATCATTTTCCAGGTGAGAAAACCAAGCCTCAGAAAGTTATGAAGCTGATCACACAGTTCATATGCAGTGGTGTTGGAATGTAGACTCAAATATTTCGGACTCGGGGTACAATACTGCCTTCCTGTGACTTGTAAATTCAGTCCAGTTGTGAAGTGCAAAGTCTCACTTGGACTGGTAATATGGTTTGGCTCTCTGTCCTTACCCAAATCTCACCTTGAACTGTAGTAATCCCCACATGTCATGGGAGGGGCCCGGTGGGAGGTAAGTGAATCATGGAGGTGGGTATTTCCTGTGCTGTTCTCATCATAGTGAATAAGGCTCACGAGATCTGATGGTTTTATAAAGGGGAGTTCCCCTACACATGCTCTCTTGCCCGCTGCCATATAAGACATGTCTTGCTACCCCTTTGGCTTCCACCATGATTGCGAGGCCTCTCGAGCCATGTAGAACTGTGAGTCGATTAAACCCCTTTCTTTTATAAATTACCCAGTTTTGGGTATGTCTTTATTAGCAGCATGAGGACAGACTAATAGAACTGGTCTTTGGACAATAGACAAACTATAACACCAATCCTTTTTTTTTGAGATGGAGTCTCACTTTGTCACTCAGGCTGGAGTGCAGTGACGTAATCTCGGCTTACTGCAACCTCCGCCTCCCGGTTTCAAGTGATTCTCCTGCCTCAGCTCCCTGAGTAGCTGGAATTACAGGTGCCCGCCACTACGCCCAGCTAATTTGTGTATTTTTAGTAGAGACGGGGTTTCACCATATTGACCAGGCTGGTCTCAAACTCCTGATCTCAAGTGATCCACTTGCCTTGGCCTCCCAAAGCTCTGGGATTACAGGCGTGAGCCACTGTGCCCGGCCTAGTCCTGTTTTGAGAAAGTAGAAAATGCCATCCCTAGACAATCTCTGTCAACACATTATTAAAAGGTTAAATTAGTGTAAGTTTACCAGTTGCTGACAGACATTGAACTTCTTTGGCCTGGGTTTTTCTCTACAAGTGGTGTTTTCCCACTTCCATGTTGTACCCAGGAAGTATGATGTTGGACCATCTGAAGTTGGTGTTATTGTAGGTCAATACCGATAGACTATCAGCAATTTCATGTGAGTCAACCTAATCACAGATACTGCAGCTTGAGAAGCCTTTACTATCTTTACCACCCCATCCCCCCAAACCCTCAAGCAATAATTCTTTCTGCCCCAATTTTACCCTCACTTCAAGTTCCAGCTAAAATAATGCCAGCTCCTCCAAGAAGCCTTTCTCGAATTCTCAACTGGAAACAGTCTTTCCTGAACTTCCACAGCACCTGATTTGTACCTCTCTTCACTATCTTCTGGACATATTGGTTGTGTATATGTGTGCATTCTTTTGCCTGGTCAAGGAGCCATGTCTAATTTTTTTGTTTGTTTGTTTTTGTTTTTGAGATGGAGTTTTGCTCTTGTTGCCCAGGCTGGAGTGCAATGGTGCAATCTCGGCTCACTGCAACCTCTGTCTCCTGGGTTCAAGCGATTCTCCTGCCTCAGCCTCTGGAGTAGCTGGGATTACAGGCACCTGCCACCATACCCGGCTAATTTTTTGTATTTTTAGTAGAGACAGGGTTTCACCATGTTGGCCAGGCCGGTCTCAAACTCCTGACCTCAGGTGATCCACCTGCCTTGACCTCCCAAAATGCTGGGATTACAGGCGTGAGGCGCCTGGCCAGCCATGTCTAATTTATCCCTATCTGATCAGCTCTCAGCATAATATCTGGCACATGGTAGCTGCTGGTTAAGAGTTTACTGAGCTCAGCTGTATGACTTTCTGCTCTTGTGGTGGCAGTGTCTATCCCAGGGCTTCACACTCTAGCTTGTAGGATAATCTGAGCAGAAATCGGGGAATGGGGGGTAGTCCTCCCAGTCTCTCCCACCCCCACCCTGGTACCTTCTCGGGAAAAGGGTAGTGAAAGTGCACCTCTGGCCCTGCTTGGGTGGAGAGTAGCTGAGAAGCCCTCTCTGAGTGAGACTGAATGAAAGGCTCAGGTGAGGATCACTTTAGATGTGCCAGGGACAGGGCCCTTTTAATGTCATTCTACCTCAGAGAAACATCTCCCGAATCCGGCTGATTGGCAGAGCCACAGCCACAATTTCAGTCATTGCCTCATGTACCGTCTCAGGAAGTGGTCTGCTGGCCGGTGAGTCAGAAGGCAGGGGCTCTGCATTTTCCCCACTGACTACGTTCTGGAAAGGATCCCCTGGCAGCCCTTCCCTCCCAGGCTTGATTAAAATGGAAGGGATTAGTGAATTTGTGTTTCCTCCAGAGAGGCGAAATCCACACAAACTGAGTCGGCTTCGTCTCTAGAAAATGTTGATGGTAGAAGACTGCATGCTCTTGAGTAGCTCATCTCAAGAGCTGTGGTTTCCTCTTTGTATCTCCTGGCTTAAAAGCATGACAGGAAAAGGGGGAAGCCAGGATTTGAAGTGGCTGACAATCTCCATCTCTTTGTGGGCAACTACCCAGTGCAGACTCCAGATCCAGCACAGTCTCCAAATCCAGCGCAGTGGAGCCAGCATATGGGAGACATGGGGTGCGGGGGAGAACACAGGCGGAGACGGAGGGCTGTTGGGTCTTCCAGGCACCAGCTGTGTGACCTGGGCAGCAGGACCCCTCCGGGTCATGCTGCACCTCACTTTCACCACCTCTCCTGTCTGCCAGCCTCAAGTGAGAATGCAGATGGTGCAGGCAATACTGCTGAAAACAAGTTCAGGGGCACAAAACCCAACCGCAAACACACATAAGAAAGTACTTAGAAAAATCATAAAGAGCTGCATGAATGTAAAGAATCAATATTATCCACTCAGTCCTTAACTCGCTTACTGAGTGGTTAGGAGATGCTAGGCAGTATGGGCAGTGCCTGGACACAGATGAAAGCTCCTGGCCCTCGAGGAAGTCAGACAGCAGTGGGGAGACAGACAAAGACAAGAGGAATCACCAACGCTAAGCAAAGACACAGGCGTGAAAGCATGCAGGAGCACGCAAGAGACTGTGTTGAGGAGCC